>NC_000009.12:73845552-74470552 GCF_000001405.40 Homo sapiens
TGCTATTCAAAATATTAACATCAACCAAATGTACTGCATTGAGAGATAAGAGAATATTAGTGAAGAGAGAAATTATGGTGGACTGCCATAAAAGAAAAAACCTCACCCTGGGGTTTTTCAAATGATTCATTTCAAATGAGACTCATTTCAAATGATTGGGGAGGTTTGGAAAGGGGAACAGAAAATACATAACAGAATAAAGAAACTAGTGCGCAGATATATACCAACTATGTGCCATTGTCAGTATGTACTAGCTAATCCAGTCCAGTTTTACTTGCACAGGAGAGGAAACAATCTAGCCTGGAGCAGAGCATCGATGATGAAGAGCAACAGAAGTGGCCAGGCCTTTAAGGTGAGAATGGACTTAGAGGTGCTTGAAAGGCAGAAAGAGAAAAGAAACTCTTACGCTCCTGAATAGGAGCTTACATTGTTATTTAAGCAATATTATTCTAGAGGGGAAAAACTAGAGATAAAATAAATAATAAAAAGGGTATAACAGGAACACGGGTATGAAACAATGAAATCCTGGGTTAGAGTGGCAGCATTGTAGACAGAAAGGAAAAGGTGAATCTGAGAAACACTTCCCTACAGGGCAAGAGGCTCTGGTAAAGCTCTAATGCCCTATGCTTGTAGAAGAAGCTTTAACTAGAAAGTACACTTTGTGAGCCAAATCTAAAACTCTGGGGGAAAACAGGTAATCTATGAATTTATAAGAATAAGATTTTATGTTTCACAGCTCAGAAAAATATCCAGAACTGCATCTTTGGCTTTCTTATAAATTCATAGATTACCTATTTTCCCCCAGAGTTTTGATTTTAACTCAGAAAGAGTACTTCCTGCTTAAAAGCTTATTCTACAAGCATAGCGTGAGAGAGAAAGAATTCCCTGACCCAGGAACCGGACTTGTTTGTTTTCAGAGTTTTTGTTTTCAACTAGTTTCGGCAGTGAGAGCGCAATTACATTCAAATAGGAGAGACTTGCAGTGTGCTCAAGTCCAGATTGAGAAAGAATCAGAGGTTCTAGGATTGACAGAAGGTTCTAATTGGCTTTTCATATGGGATAAAAGACTGGGATGTATGCTCTTTGTAAACTGAGGTGCCTATCATTATTCAAAGGATGACTGAACTCTTATTGCGGAAAAACGTGTGGGAGGCAATAAACGGTCTTTTCATTTTAACTTAAGTGACGCAATTAAAAATGATGCCCTGATTATTTATAATTTTTCTAAGCACCTCCTTCTCACAATACCACACCCCTCCTCATCACATAGTTACGTTTTTTCAGATACTAACCTATGTTACCACATGTATCTGACCTGAAATATCTACATTGGATCTGATTGTTTTTAAAAATTCATCAAAAATATAATGTGACTCCCTCCTTTCTTAAATATAAGTTGGTGTATTTGCAAAGGGAGGGTTATATCTTGTTCTCGAGTAATCTCCAAAAGTACTATTTGGTTTTATCATAATTCTCAGAAATAAAGTGAATGCACCTACAGAACCATTAGCTCTAAAATAAAAGGTATAATGCTGGGTTGCAACCCTGTGCAATTTCAGACACCCATGCTTATATTATATATTTCATTGATTAACTTAAAGTTACATGAAATATTTCCTTTGTTTATTTATTCATTCACGATCACCTGGAGAAAATTTTAAATATTTCTAACTTATTACAGTGTGATGTAAAAGCCAAGTGTGCCAAGGGATTTTAATATTCTCAATTTTTTTTAGAAAAGTTTAAAACTGGAGAAAATAATTGTCAGTGCATGTTTCCCTCCATTGTTACGTCTGCCACCTGATTAAACTATGCTAATGAGACAGTAACTCCTGCAAAATCAGCACTGGGCATCATTTGTCAATAAATGAAAACAAAAGTCTATCAATTTGGTACTTGTCAGTTTGCGTTCTTATAAACAACAACAACAAGGAGTAAGAAGAGCAAAAGGGTGAAGAACTTGTAGTTTCAAAATTGTCTTAGTTGGGGTGTTATTTTGGAGCTCATTGGTAAGGTCAGCTGATGCAGGATTTCAAAGGCAATTAGAGTAAATCAAACTGCAGAACATCCCCATGGGCTAGTTTGAAGATATCTTCGAAAGATGCTTTTTTTCCCGCTAACCCTGGTTGCTGCCACATCTAGCAGCTGCTTTCTTTTTGACAATTCGTCACTCCTGAAAAATGTTTGCAAGCAGTTTGAATAATTTCCAATTCATTCTTGCAGGAAATGAGGATTTGCTTCCTCACTTGGGATACCTGCTGCTAGGTTTATTCACTAATAAGCATGACAAATGTTTTAGCCTTTGATCAGTGCTAATTTAACAAGTAAGCTCCCCAGAAGAAAAAAAAGTCTTTGAGGCTCAGGGGCTCAAGACAGCACATGAGTTGGAAATATGATTGATTGTGTTGCTGTGAGAAATTTCCATAAAAAACTTTTATCACACTGCTATGTTCTCAACAATTAAATCAAAAATGAAAGATAGTTACTTTCCGAAGAAGGACAGAGGCAGTCTAGCAAACTTCACAAGACATTATTTTAAAAAAACTAGCTCAGAATAATTTTCCAGAGAAATATCAGTTTTCTTTTTCATCAATTTCCATCCACATTACTTTATCCATTTGTTTTTCCTCATTCTAACTTATCATCTTCACACATGATTCTTTGTTCTCCTCCCTCAACAGACCTACAAGTAGTATTTAAAATAAACTGTAACATGAAATGTATTATGAAAATTGAACAAATCAGACGGAAAATAAATGGATGCTTTGTTGTCATGAGTTTAGAATTCATTACTGTAGAAAGGAGTTGGACAAAATTAAGTGTCCAAATAATGGAAGTTTCTGCAATTTGTTAATTGAAGAGTAGTTAACATATCCATTCACCGAAGGAGACATCAGCAGTAAGCAAACATAGAGAAGGTCAAGTTCCCCTGGTTCCATATCAAATTTTGTATTCACATCATATGACTGTATGACATATGACCCAGTATATGGCTGAGTTTTTTTCCATGGTAAAAGAAGATTTTGTTTACTTTGGGAGGCTGAGGCGGGTGGATCATGAGGTCAGGAAATCGAGACCATCCTGGCTAACAAGGTGAAATCCCGTCTCTACTAAAAACACAAAAAAATTAGCCGGGCGTGGTGGCGGGCGCCTGTAGTCCCAGCTACTAGGGAGGCTGAGGCAGGAGAATGGCGTGAACCAGGGAGGCGGAGCTTGCAGGGAGCCGAGATCGCGCCACTGCACTCCAGCCTGGGCAACAGAGCGAGACTCCGTCTCAAAAAAAAAAAAAAAAAAATCTTGTTTGCAGGTTACCCTGAAGAAGTAATACAGGGACTGTTTACCTTAAATCAGTTCTTACTACACAGAAGTTTGCATTTCCAATTAACATTTCAAAATATTTAACTTATGTAAAATAAAAGATGCACAAATGAGTCATTCCCTTAGCGTTTAATACACTCAACAAAATACTCTCTCTGCAAGAGGTAGGCATATGGATATAAATGTGGGTAGAATCTAGTCATCAGTAATAATAATTTTCTGTGATTAAGCTTTACACTACAGGGTGACAAAGGGCAGAAGTAACACCATTTTAAAAGAAGAATCTGAAAAGGAAAGACTAGAAAAAAAACCTTCCACGATGATTCAATGGTATGAGGAGAGCTAAAAATATTAAGACAAGACAGATACCGGTTACTATATATGGACACAAGCATATGTACTAAAAGCCTAACAACACAGAAGAATACTGGTTCTCTTGTGCTACAGAGGAGAGAAGTAGGCGAATGGGATAGGGGAGTGGTATAAATGAGTCTCCGTTCGTATCTGTGTTATTTTATTTTCAGAGAAACAATCAGAACATTTAACCTCTGTAAATTTTAATGGTAGTGGTAGAAGTGTTCATTGAATTTGCTTCTAAACTTTTTGGAGGGTTTAAAATATTCTGTAATAAAATGTATCAAAAGTTTATTAAACTTTATACAACTGCTTTTAATTATAGAAAGAAAATGATGGAGAACTGTTAGAGGAAATGCTCAAAAGTTCTTATTTGATTGACTTGCAATATGTAACTTTTTTTCCCTATGTGTAAAATGGAAAAATATGTCGTTAAGAGTTCATAAGTTTAAAACAATGGTAATTTTTTTGATAAGTTCACCCTAAAATTTTGTGTTTATTTCATTTATTTATTTATTTATTTATTTTCTGAGACAGACTCTCACTCTGTTGCCCAGGCTGGAGTACAATGGTGCGATCTCGGCTCACTGCAACCACTGCCTCCCGGATTCAAGCAATTCTCCTGTCTCAGCCTCCCAGGTAGCTGGAACTACAGACACCCATCACCGCACAAAGCTAATTTTTTTATTCTGGTAGACACCAGGTTTCACCATACTGGCCAGGCTGGAATCCATATATAGCCTGTCAAAAGGATATACAGAGAAATTTTTCTGGGTCACATTGGAAATTTGATATTATATTATGGTATTATATGATAAAAATAAGTTTAAGAAACTAGAAGTATCTAGCTTGGAATGAAAAATATAGTTTTGGGGGGAGATCAGTCTTTAAAAGCTGTCATAAAATACATGAAGATTTGACATGTAGAAGACTAAGTAGAATAATTTTAAGTAAATCTTAAGTAAAAAATTAACACCAGCCAGCAGAAATTATAATCAGATATATTCTGGCTATTGGTTAAAACCATAAAATCATTCTAGTGATCCAATAATAAGATAGGCTGCCTTATGAATTAGTGAGCTGTTAGAAAGGTGCAGGTGTATAGGACTTTTCATTCTATGGCTTCATGCTTACTATTTTGAAATGGACATATTATTCAATGCTTATGATTTGATTATTATAAACTTGCAGTTAAATAATTTGTTTCATAGAATTATGTGCTAAATGTTCTTACAGTCTCTACTACACCCATCATCCCCTTATAAATAAACTGGGCTGCTCACACCTTATGTGGAAAGGAGAGCCTGTGAGATACCATTTGAAAAGGTACCCCTAACCATTGCTAATGGAATCAGACTCAGACATATGAACCGATGACTCTACAAACGATGCTAGAAAAAAAACTCTGGAATAACTTGGGCCAATAGGATGCTCGATATTGTAAAGATCATGTGGAAAATATGCAAAAGATTGATTCATCAACACTAGGAGAAGCTACACGTCAACAAAATAAGGTGATGATGTAGAGTAGGATCAATGAGCAATCTGTTTCACTCCGTATCAACAAGAATATGAACAATGCAACCCAACTGGCTGACAATATCAGCAATCCTTGCTGTGGATGGTTCTCATATGCATGAACTTTAGTTACCATGGTTTAGGTAAATGACACCAGTCCTGCTGCAACATGGTTTAAATTTTGGTTACCAGAGTTTATTAACTGTGAATAGCTACATAAAGTACAAATTTCTGCTTACAAAAGCATGCCAATCTACAAATCCCTACACAAAGGACAGATGTAGATCATGACCAACGTCCAATCCTGTCACTTTTTCAACGTCAGTGATTGGTCACTGGGCATAGCTTTCTGTTCACACACAGACAGCAAAGTTCATAGTGTGTTTGTTACCTCTTTGTCTCCCAATGATTCATACAAGTGATATTTTACAGAAATGGATAAGCAAATGGAGATGAAAGTAAAGCAAAAGACAGAGATATAGATCAATGGAACAGAACAGAGCCCTCAGAAATAACGCCGCATATCTACAACTATCCGATCTTTGACAAACCTGAGAAAAACAAGCAATGGGGAAAGGATTCCCTATTTAATAAATGGTGCTGGGAAAACTGGCTAGCCATATGTAGAAAGCTGAAACTGGATCCCTTCCTTACACCTTACACAAAAATTAATTCAAGATGGATTAAAGACTTAAATGTTAGACCTAAAACCATAAAAACCCTAGAAGAAAACCTAGGCATTACCATTCAGGACATAGGCATGGGCAAGGACTTCATGTCTAAAACACCAAAAGCAATGGCAACAAAAGACAAAATTGACAAATGGGATCTAATTAAACTAAAGAGCTTCTGCACAGCAAAAGAAACTACCATCAAAGTGAAAAGGCAACCTACAAAATGGGAGAAAATTTTCACAACCTACTCATCTGACAAAGGGCTAATATCCAGAATCTACAATGAACTCAAACAAATTTACAAGAAAAAAACAAACAACCCCATCAAAAAGTGGGCGAAGGACATGAACAGACACTTCTCAAAAGAAGACATTTATGCAGCCGAAAAACACATGAAAAAATGCTCACTATCACTGGCCATCAGAGAAATGCAAATCAAAACCACAATGAGATACCATCTCACACCAGTTAGAATGGCAATCATTCAAAAGTCAGGAAACAACAGGTGCTGGAGAGGATGTGGAGAAATAGGAACACTTTTACACTGTTGGTGGGACTGTAAACTAGTTCAACCCTTGTGGAAGTCAGTGTGGCGATTCCTCAGGGATCTAGAACTAGAAATACCATTTGACCCAGCCATCCCATTACTGGGTATATACCCAAAGGATTATAAATCATGCTGCTATAAAGACACATGCACACGTATGTTTATTGTGACACTATTCACAATAGCAAAGACTTGGAACCAACCCAAATGTCCAACAATGATAGACTGGATTAAGAAAATGTGGCACATATACACCATGGAATACTATGCAGCCATAAAAAAATGATGAGTTCATGTCCTTTGTAGGGACATGGATGAAATTGGAAATCATCATTCTCAGTAAACTATCGCAAGAACAAAAAACCAAACACTGCATATTCTCACTCATAGGTGGGAATTGAACAATGAGAACACATGGACACAGGAAGGGGAACATCACACTCTAGGGACTGTTGTGGGGTGGGGGGAGGGGGGAGGGATAGCTTTAGGAGATATACCTAATGCTAAATGATGAGTTAATGGGTGCAGCACACCAGCATGGCACATGTATACATATGTAACTAACCTGCACATTGTGCACATGTACCCTAAAACTTAAAGTATAATAATAATAAAATAAAATAAAATTAAAATTAAAAATTTAAAAATAAAAAAAATTTAAAAAATTTAAAAAAAGAAATGAAAAGTAATAATGCCAGGAGTAAAATTTAACTGAGGCATAAATGGAGTTACAGAACAAATATATTTCAGCTGACGGCCAGAATGTTGACACTGTAGTCCTTCAGCAGATGTTAAACATATAGACAGAGGAACTTAGGGAAGGTGAAATTATTGACATAAATGAAGAAAAGAATGAAGATGTCTCAGGAAAAGGAGCCATAGCAAAAGGAACTCTCAGAAATATTTCCTGAGATCGAGTAAAGGATGAGATAGTGGAACCTGATCCAACCTTTAAAAGGAAGCATGACAATTCACGAAGACATAGAAAAGAAGCTAGCTTCCTATAGTAAGTATTGTGTCAAGCAGGCAGGCACTCAAACCACTCCAAATAAGTACTTTGCAAAGAAATAAACCATTTTCATTCTCAATTTTTCAATGTTTTTAATAACTGTGGTAAATAAATACTAGTTTTACCTTTTAAAAAATGCCCCTATAATGTATAGTCAAGAGTAAGGGATTTTTCAATATTTTTGAAATATTTTGTAAAAGTTACATAAAGATAATAATTTTCCCCAGTCATAATTAAGAGTGCTTTGCATGGTTTCAGCTTGAACAGTCATTATTACTGTCCGACACTAGTGTGCAAAGTGAGGATGGCATGTGTGGTGTAGATTAAGTGTAAATGAGAAATGAAATAATGAAAACCAAAGGAATAATCAATGTAGTACTTCTTGCACATACGATTTGAAGGAAGTTTGGAATCCAGCTTATCATAGTGAAAAATTTTGTTTAAAAAATTAAAGGTTGTGTACTTTCAGAGTTACATCTAAGAATCCCAATTTGCAAACAAAAAATTGCTATACTGGTAAACAAGAATTTTGTAATCAAGGACTGCAAACTTGAGACTTATTTATGCCCTCTCAACCCCGTAAGAATTCATAGACACGTCAGAAAATTGGGTACGGATGAACTAAACAAGAATGACATTATCCAGAAATGGTCAAGGAACCTTGCTGAACCAGACTGTGCCAGATAACAGAAAAGGATACTGGCAGGAGAAAGAAATTCTCAATTCTTTATGCATCCCTCAGGTTTCTTTCTTTCAGTAATGTACTTGTGAAAATGCTGTTTCAGCTTTTTCCCTTGCTTTCTTTTTGAACTAATTTACAAAATGAAGTTGATTCATATCAGAAATATCTTTGTCAGTGCCAACCTGTCAGTGCACCTAAAAAAGCTTCTTAGTGAAGAGAAACACTTCTTAGTGAAGAGAAATCTGAAGTAGAAACAGCTTTGAACTGCAATGCAGAGGATCAAGTCCCACCTAGTTTAATAGCTATGCCACTCTTGGCAGGACACTTGTCTTCTGCCCTTAGTGTCCTTATCTGTATATTGAGGGGTCATTTAAGGCTTGTTCTACCATTGTACATTGTGTGATAATGCAGGAGCTTTAATACTGGACAAATTATTTCCCATCGTTTTCATGGACCAGAATTCTATGTCCAATAGTTCTATTAGGGCTACTGTTAGTCCTTCCATTAAAGTGTTGTTAGCAAGGTGTTATAACTTGGCTGACTCAATAAGTGAGTTCATTTATAGAATAACATCAAGACTTTAAATATACAAAATCACATTATTTTACAAATTCTTATAAAGATATGCCACACAGCTGCATGTAAGCATTTGGGGCTTACAGATTAATCCCCTGAGGAATATGTAATTAAATGAGGTAACAATGATGGTATATATTTCAATTTAAAAAATAATTTTAAAAATATATTTATTGAAACAGCACAATTCACTATTAACCTCATGAAACATTTCTTAGGCTTGATCTGAAAGAGGCAAATTAAAAGTATAGTAAAATACCATTTCTCATCCATTAAATGATGCACAAAAATCCAAAAGTTTGGGGCATGCATGTATTGCTGATAGGAATGCAAGGTGATACAACCACTATTGATTGCAATTTGGTAATATCTAAAATAAAATATATATGCATTTACAATTTGATTCAGCAACCCGAGCTCAAGAAATCTAACCCAAAGCTACAGTGGCAAAAGTGTGAAGTCATATATCTAGAAGAAATTGCAGCAATTGCTTTACTAGAAAAACATGGTAATTTTCCAAATGCCCACCATTAGAGGAGTGGCTGAGTCAACAATTTTACATTTACAGAAAGTACTATCTAGGACTTTGTGCCTGCAGAAAGGAATAAGTATCTCTATACATGGTTGTGGAGTTATCTACAAGATACGTAGTTCAGTAAAAATATAAGGTGCCAAACTCTTCATACTGTACTACCTTTTATGTAAGAAAAGGAGTATATTAACACATATATTTCATTATATTTAAAAAAGCATTGGAAAGATAAACGAAAAATAATAAAAGTGATTACTTCAAGGAGGATGCAGAGAATAGAGTTGAATACTAGATTCCTTTGTATTGGTTGGTTTTGAAATTGCTCGGTTTTGAAAATTTAGCTTTGGGACAATCAAGCCTTTTACATGATTATAAGACAAATTTCAGTCAGAGTGAATAAATCAGTTCCCAAAACTGAAAGTAAAACAAAACTGATAATTGAGTGGCTGACTTAACTAAACCCAGGAGAATCACTTCAAATAACACTTAAATGTAGATGTTAACTAAACACCTATAATTGAGTATATCCTAAGGTCAAAGGAATTACAAAAGCACACTAAACTCTTCTTCATAACTAAGTAGTTAGTAAATGTTAGCCATTGTTAGCAAGCATTATTAGTAATAGTAATAGTACCAATATTACTAGTAGTCTGAACTAATAATAGTAATTGTAATAATAATAGTAAAAGGAAATGAGTAACTATGCTGGTGCTGTTTAAAACAAAGGTTTTAGTGTGAGAGATAATGGATACAAATATAAGATTAAAAATTAAGTGAGAACCCCATAATTATAAATTTGAATTGGAAATGACCATATTTCCAAAAGTGGAAAATGTCTAGATACAATTACAAACAATGACTCTCTCAGTGTCTTGGTCCTAATATATTCCACTGAAGGAAACCAAGGCTACTTGGAAAATTGGCTAATTTCAGATCTTAGGTAGCAAATGTACAAGATAACCTTGGAGCATCACGTTTTACAAGAAAGCAAAGAAGCTATTGAAAACTACTGGGATCATGTGAAAAATGATGCAAAAGCAAGCTAGAAAGTACTCTTACTGACCAAAGTCAGGAAAATGTGCATTATTACATATACATGAGGCCTGTTTATTATTTAAAAATTAATATGAAGAAAAAATACAGCAACAGTTAATTCTTTCTTATTTATTTGTAACCAATCTTTTCCAAAACTTCAGTGTGTTTTTTTCAGAAAAGTATCTTCAAATAGGAACTTGAAACCTATGGGGTTATTTTACTTAGAAACACCACATAAAAATTATAAACATCACCAAATCTTAAAGGTAATATTGGCACTTTCCAAATAACATGGTATGGGGGATGAAAATAATTTTGCCAAATTTTTGATACTATAAAGGATTATTTTAATCTAAATTTAATATTCTTATGACCTATAAATTAAACTTTGTATAGCATTTTATTTAAATTTTTTATTAAAAATTATATTGTTGTACAATTTATTTCAAGAAACTAAAGTATTTAAATTAACAAAAAATAATTTTTACTATGTGCATGTTACAAATATTATTAAAGAATGAGGTCCTGTGGACTTTTGCATGCATATTTATTTATATATTTTTAAATACATTTACCTATTTATCATAGATCATGTAAGAAAGATGGATAATTTTTAATTCTCACACAATTTTGTGGCATTGTGTATAACTTGAAAAGAAAACTACAAGTCAAAAACATCATTACGGAGAATTTAGTCTTTAAGAATGTGAAAAAGAGAGAAAGAATTAGAAATGACAATGTCATACCTTGTTATTTTTAACATCATATTAACTTTGGGTGAGTTTGTATATTTATTCATTGTAAATTGATACATTTTTTCTTTATTTATGGAAAATACATGGATCTATTAATGTACATTATTATTTATTTTTATTTTATTTTATTTTATTTATTTATTTTTTGAGACGGTGTCTCGCTCTGTCCCCCAGGCTGGAGTGCAGTGGTGTCACCTCAGTTCACTGCAACCTTTGCCTCCTGGGTTCACGCCATTCTCCTGCCTCAGCCTCCAGAGCAGCTGGAACTACAGGCGCCCACCACCACACCCAGCTAATTTTTTGTATTTTTAGTAGAGACGGGATTGCACTGTGTTAGCCAGGATGGTCTCGATCTCCTGACCTCATGATCTGCCCGCCTCAGCCTCCGAAAGTACTGGGATTACAGGCATGAGCCACCAAGCCCAGCCCAATGTACATTATTTTTAAATATGTAAATAAATACATGTAGTTATATCCTACAGTACATTTATTGAATTTAAAAGAACTTGAATTAACAAGAATTTTCATTTAACACTTGCACTTTCTATAGGCCTTTCAAAAAATATAATGGAACAGCTGAAGCCTTCAAGTCTAGAGCCACGATGCAGTCTTCTTGCTACTGGAGAGTTGCATACATTGCATTAAATTCTTCTAAGAGACTCATGGATTGCTCTTTCGTAGCAGTGATAATATCTGGTATCCTATCCCATATTATGTTAACTTATTAATCAAATTATTTTATTTATACTGCTTTAATTTATTTATTTTGTCTTTAAGTGTTCTGTTTTATTTTTATTGACTACTAAAGTACACTTTATGTATAACATCCCTTTATTGTTTGTGAGGCTGGCTTTACGTGCAATAATCAAGGAACTTTAGCTGATAGACTTATTATAACAAAATTAGAGGAAAATGATTTCTCTGGGGCACTATAACAGCTGCTATTAATTTCTTAATTGTTCTCGTGTATGTTGCTTAGTATAATCGATGTCAATTTGTGAGTTCTAGAACACATTAAAAACAGTCTTCATTGAAATAAACTATAGCTATATTTTTCTTTACCAGAATATGTGGTCATGAGATTTTTCAGGAACAAATGACCTTTTGAAATGGGAGAAGAATTAATAGTTTAATAGCATTGGCAGAAGAAACTGTTCTTTTAGGGACATCGGAAATATCTTCTTGGCCAATTTGGCTTTGAGTATTAAATTTCAACCACAAAGTTTGGGTCCTTTTAAACGTTTTTATATTTTGATTTGGAAACAATTTCAAATTTCAAATTTGTGGATTTATCATTTGCTTTCTCTATCTCACTCTCTCGCTGTCTCTTTCCCTCTCAAATAAATACATAGAATATGTAAAATAAATAAAATACACAAATTAAAATAAAAATATTTTTATTATACCTACTTGGGATAATTTGCATACTTCAATAATGTTTCTTAAAAATAATGATATTCTCATATAACCTCAATATAATTATCAACTTCAGTAAATTTAAAATTGATATAGCACTTACTAATGTACCATTTTTGTCACAATTTTGTCAATTGTGTACCCAATAACATTCTTTATGGTATTTGTTTACCTTCAACACGGTATCCAGTTTAATGCATCAGCTATTGCATCCAGTTGTAACATCTTTGCTCTTTGTTCATTTTATATTACAGTCTCTTAATATTTAAATATCTCCCGAAAGACATAGCATTAAAGTAATTGTTATAATCTATTATTAATAAAAGAAAAGCAACAAATTGAAAAAACAAACACTTGTATAGTGTTTCTATAGAAGAGAGTACTTCTCTCTTATCTTTTATCATCATTTCTCCACCAAACTTTATTATTATTATTATTATTATTATTATTATTATTATTATTATTATTTTGGTAGAGAGATGGTTTTGCCATGTTGGCCAGGCTGGTCTCGAGCTGCTGACCTCAAGTGATCCACCTGCCTCAGCCTCCCAATGTGCTGGGATCACAGGCGTGAGCCACTGTGCCCAGCCTCCACCAAACTTCTTAAAAGTATACTCTCTACTCCCTCTTCTTGGCTACAGATACCTTAACTTTCTGTCATCTGTCTTCTGGCTTTTCTACTCTGAAAACGTTTTTGAAGTCTACCATGACTTTAGAAATCCAATGAACTTCTTGTGCTCTAACTCCTTCTCATCCTTTCTTAAGCATTTTTTTTTCTATTTACTACCCTCTTGATACTAGAACCCATCTCTTACTTTGCTCCATTGACCCTGGGTTCTTGTATTTTCTTTACCTTTTTGGTCAGCTTTTATCTTTCTCATTTCCTGCTTCATATTCTTTTAGTGTCTTAAAAATAAAAACCTTTCTAAACATCCATCTTCAGCACTCTTCAAACCCATGGACGCAAAAATTATTATCATGTTAAGAAAATCTAAACAGATATCACAAATCTAATTCACCTGAGTTTCAGGATCCGTCTTTCAATTTGTTGTCTCATTGGCACTTCACCTTCGTTATCTAAATGTTACTCATAGCCCACCCTGGTAAATTGACTTCACCCTTGTGTTTCTTGTAACAGTTTTACTTAGCTTTAAAAATATGTGTGACTCTCCCACCTCTCTTGCCCTCTATCATCACCTAGGCTTCCCATTTCTAGTTATTCTATCTTGTTAATACTTCTTATATCTATTTTCGCTATTCAAACCACCATTATCTAGTTCCAGTCTTATGTACCTTTCAACTTCTTCAACTGATTTCCATGAATCCATTTCTCTTTTCATTCTAATTAGACTATTTCTCTATTATAATTTCTAATCTTAATTACAAGATTGTTTTACAGTGACATTGCTAAAGAATGCTTCTGATTATTTAATTTTCTTGTGAAAAAAATTTAATGTACTTTTATAGAGAATAAAGTACAAAGTCTTTTACCAGGCGATTAAGTTTATCAACGATATTGGCCCCAAATACTTTTTCAAACTCTTTATTTTTTTTTAGTATTTCATAATGTACTCCATGATGTTTTTGCATCCTGTGTCTTACTTTATGTCTTCTTTCTCTTTTGTCCACATTTTTGCATGACTTAAAGCCCAAAGCAAATGTCTCCTTAGTCAAGAAGTTTCCTGGAAGTTACCAGATGGAATTAATCTCTCCATCCTGTGAGACTCCATTTAAATGACATATATATACATATTACAGTCTAGGAGGTTTTATATATGTATATATATACACGCACACACAGACACATACAGACATATGCACAGACATACTTATATATGCATATATGTTAATATACATATGCATATATATGTGTGTGTTTGTGTGTGTGTGTGTGTGTGTAAAATCTCCTAGACTATAACATTCTAGTAGTTCATTAAACCTCTAGTCTGATTCTTCTTTGTGTCACAAAATCCCTTGCACACAATAGGTTCTTGATAAATACTTGTTTCTTAAATAAATGAGTGTGCTAATAAAGTGGAGAAAATATCGGCCAAATAATGAGCATTTAGGTTACAAAGTATTTGTTATATGAGGATTTTAGTTTTAAAATGATTTATTGTAGTAAGATTTGACTTTTCCAACAATTAAGTATTATTACAATTTTATCTCTGAATTGCAATAGCTTTCCAGTTGCTAGAGGGCTGAACTTATTTAACGAATAGATTCCTCAGTGTAAGCGCTCTACACTTCCAGTGAACAGAAGTAGAAAGGCATCAGCAGTTTATTACATGAACACTTTCACTCATGTCCTAGGATCCTCCTGAGAAGCTCAGCAGCAAGGTGGCTGATCCTGTTGTAAGGGCTTATTGACGCCAGATGCTGCAATTGAGATGAGTTTCCAAAGGTTAATGAATTATATGCATAACTGAAAATAGCAACATGTTTTCCTTCAGCAAACAATTTTTCTGTAGTAGAGGGACTGCAGATCCGTACTTTCCAGTGAAGTTCCTCTGTGAAGGAACCTTCCTTAAGAGTTCACCTCTAGGGAGGCTTTTGAGTCCTCAAGTAGTTGATGAGAAATGAGTGCAATGTAATGACTGTAATTTTCTGATGGTGACAATAGTAAAGATTTCATAACTAGAGATCTTTATTTATTCTGCAAATACTTCAGGGCTCATCTTACATAGTTCAAGTCATTCGATTATACCCATCACTTCTTGGATTATTTTATATTGAGGATAAGTGTGAGATACAATGATTCTCAAAATTTATGGTACATCAAAATCACCAAAAGCCCTGAAGGACTTGTAAAAATGCTGCAGGTTTGGAGACAGGAGGCCAAGGTGGGAGGCATTCCCAGTTTTTGATTGTGTAGGTTTTTATGAAATCTGAGAATTCGCATTTGGTGGGATCCAGTAATTTGCATTTTCGTAAGCTCTCAGGTGACACTGATGCTGCTGGCCCAGGACCCACACTTTGAGAATCATTGCTCCAGTTTCCTAGCCTCAGACTTGGCTACAGACTGGAACTGCCTAGAGAGTTTTCACACTACCACCACCACCATTACCCTGGAATTTCTGATTTAACCAGTAGGGAGTGTGACCTTGTCACAGGGAATTTTAATGCAGGTAACTCAAAGTTGAAGGTATAATCCACTGCACTAGCTTCCTCTGAGAGGTTATTAGAGTTCAGGAATTCAACCTTCAGACTTAAACACAAAGGACAGAATATAAATAGGAGAGACAAGGAGAAGGCTGAAATGGCAGCTTATTGCTATTCCACCTCAGAAAAGCCCCTTCTGGGGCAATAAAGACCCCAGAAAGAAAACCACACTAGCCATGTAGAATGACTACTGCTAACACTTTTTCTTCTTTACAGCATCTAGTAAAACCATACAAGTACTTACCATCTGAGGAGGAATTCGTAGAACCAAGTTAATTAAGGGCAGTAATTCTCTTACCTGGAGGGCTTGCTAAAACATACAGTACTGGGTCCTATCCGAAGAGTTCCTAGGGGATTGGACTGATGGAATTTATTTTTATTCCTAAAAAGTTCCCAGGTAATGTTGATGCTGCTGGTCAGGGATGACACTGAGAATTGCTCTCAGGAATGAGAAGCTCAGGAAGACTTGCAACATAGAGATAGTTCTAGATGTGTCAAACAACCAAACAAGTTGTCTTGGAGATCTCACCCAATTAGTTCTAGGTTAACCAGGAGTAATTAGTGAAATTCATGGGGATGTACATAGGTATGATAAAGACAGTATGTATTCAGTAATTCTGTATTAGCTTAGGCCGAGTTTATTAAAGGCTATGTATTATGTAGTACATACTAAAATTTTCTTTTAAATTCTTGCAATAAAAAAGAGCGTCAAATACATCATAGATAATAATTGAATTAATTCTGATTTAGCTCTTCAAAGATGATCTGGATTCCCAGCCAATGGGAAAGAAGATATCTAGTATCCATTGATTTTTTTTTTTTTTTTTTTTTTTTGAGATGGAGTCTCTATCTGTCACCCAGGCTGGAGTGCAATGGCGCGATCTTGGCTCACTGCAACCTCCACTCCCGGATTCTAGCAATTCTCCCACCTCAGCCTCCGGAGTAGCTGGGACTACAGGCACATACCACCACAGCCAGCTAATTTTTGTATTTTTAGTAGAGACTGGGTTTCACCATGTTGGCCAGGCTGGTCTCGAACTTCTGATGTCAGGTGATTCACCCACCTCGGCCTCCCAAAGTGCTGAGATTACAGGCATGAGCCACCGCATCCAGCTGTATCTATTGCTCTTTATCCCTGCAATGCTACCAAATCAGCAGTTAATCATATTGGACATCTAATACTGATTTATTTTCTTAATAAATATATGCTGAAACCCTTAAGAGTCCTCAAATTTGAGAATTACTCTCTAGCACATAATTTACTCACTCTTCAATTAGCCAGACACTAGGTTAGGCATTAATAATAAAATAGTCAATTAAAAATAAAAGACATTATACCTATTTTCATGGAGATTAATGGGGAAGATAGACATCAGCCAACTAATTCATCTAGGATATTATTACAAAGTGGGATGCTGCAGTAAGAATGTTTTATTTTTTTAGAAGTGTGCCTGTTGTATAGGGATGGGGAGTATTTGAAGAGAAGTCTGATTTTACATGCTCAAAACCACATTGTGCTATTAAACTAAAGAACATTAAGTAGATAAACACACACTGAGAGGCACATTCTCTGCCTGAGTGGCTTCAGTATAATTGGCCAAGAAAATTCAAATTTATGACTCAATGAAAGTACAAATCAGTACGTGTCACTAACCTTTAGGGAATATTGCTCGTGATTATATCTATGGATGTAAAAGTCACATATGCCAAAGATCTGCTGAGTTCGGTCAAGCTTATTTTTAAAGACATATTGGCAATCTCAGTTAAAACTGTCTTTTATTGTTGAGAAATTACAAGCCATTTCTTCTGATTCAAAATAAATACATGTAACAGTGACCTTTTTAGCAGCAATACTAATTTAGGTTAAATAATATTTGTCCAGTAGGTTATATTCATATTTATATTCTAAATATACCATGGGGTCCTAAAAAATGTGTTGTCAAATAATTCATTATTGTATACAGAAATACATTTTTGAATAGGTACTATGTAATAAGACAGCAGTTCTATGTTTTTATTCTCCCTTTCCCATGCACTTACTTTATACAGAGTGAACTTTTTATGAATTATAATACATACTGAGAATGGCACACATCCTAAATTTATAGGGTAACTAATTTTCACAAACGAAACATACCGATTTGAAGAGTTTTAGAAGGTAATGTGAAGGTCTCCCTTTTCATTTGTGCCAATTTACACTGCTCATAGCAACAGATGAGAGTTTCAGTAGCTTCATATCCTTGCTAATATTTGTTATTTTCTTTCATTTTAGGGATTCTCATGAAGTGTAGCAGCATAGAATTGTGGTTTGAATTTGTAGTTCCCTGATGACTAATAGAATGAAATACGCTTTCACACGTGTTTTTGGATACTATCTTTTGTGAAGTATTTGGTGTAGGCTTTTACTTATTGATTCGTAGGAGTTTGATAAGTGGTATGGTACAAGTACTTTGTCACCTCCATCCACTGCAAGTATCTTCTCCCATTCTGAGGGGTATCTTTTCACTATGGTAACTTTGTCTTCCTGGCTGTATATACCCACTCTGCTTTTCAGATTCCCTAGTATGCTTTCTAGCAACACCTCAAACAGCTTCAAAATTTGACAAATGCATTGAGGGAAAACACTGGTGTTTGAGCCCCTGAGTTACCAATTTTACTACCCCAGCCTCATTAACCTACCAACGTATTGTAGTTCCCTTTACATCAACCTCCAGCAGTAACTCTCTATTTAGTAAAAGCCTCTAGTTTTTTTGTTTTTGTTTTTTACTTGAGCAGCTTTTTTATGCCATTAACTATAAACAAAATTTCCCCAGCTTTTCTATTTGTTCTCAGTGTGGCTGTTAATTGTTCAGAAGTCACACATCCTACTTGGAAGTTGAATCTGTACCACATACCAGATTTCATTTATAAAGCACCTCAAATCCTGATTAAAAATAAGTAAATATGTGAGAGACCAGGATACTGAATCAACTCCTAACTTAAAAATGACACAGAGTGAATCATCCAAACCAGACAGTAACAGTCAAGAATAAAGATGATAATTTGAAATACAAACTTTTAGGAATTAGATTAAACTTGGAGTGTTTATTTTTGTTTCTGTTTGTGATATGCTATGTGTTTTTGAGAAAGAGCAAAACAGAGCAGCCATCTGGAAGCCAAAAGACTCAGTTCTCATAGCCTGTCCTATTTATGATAAGCTGTTATTTAATCTCCCTGGGACTTCATCTTTTTGATGTATGAAATGAAAACTTGAAGCTAACTCATGGAGGGTCATTTTTTGCCTTTGAAAATTGGTTTCTGCAATCTTTCCTTTTCAACTTATTTTTAAGTCTAGAGAACTAAACTCAAAATATTAGTTGTTGCTTTGGACCAAAGAAGAAGCAAACTGAGAGTATTTACTCTTCAAATTCACTCATGGTTTGATATGACAGACAATGTAGTAATTTACTGGGGACACTTTCCTAAATATGGAGAGTAATATAGCATAATAGCTAAGGGTGATGACTCTGAAGCCATACTGTCCAGGCTCAAAACTGTCTAGGCTCAAAACTGTCTAGGCTCGAAACTGTCCAGGTTCAAATCCCAGCTTCAACACTTATCAGATGTGTGATCGTGAACCAGTGACTTGACCCTTTATTAATATTTAAAATGAGCATTTAAAAGTTAAATTTGTAAAATACTTGGAACTATGTCAAGCAAACAGTAATTAATATAAAAGTTTTATAAAGAGAGAAAACATTATATATACACCCATTTTTTACAGTATACAGTTCACATGAAAATATCTTCTTGGTATTATTTTTAATTGGAATTTAATAAATACTTGCTCTTAGTGGAAAATTCTTGTTTATTTTCTGAGAAAATTGAACATGGTCATGAGATTACATTGCTACTTAAAGGAGCTTCACTAAATATGCATAGCTGGGTTAAAATTTTCATTATTCTTCAGTAAGCTTTGTTTTCTTAGTTCAGAATATGTCTTTATTGGAGTCAAAATGTCAAGGAAAAGGAAAAAGCAAAATAAAATAGTCATTCTTCTGAATCTTCTGCTCTCAGTACTTAGTAATCCTGAAATAATTTCCCCTCCCACCCCAGGGGAGAATAAAAAGTTTAGAGGGCTACTTTCATTACTTTTTGTCACATCTGCCCTTCTATCTTTTTTCAAGTCCCAGTCAGGCTCCTAAACTAAAATCCAGAAATACATCAAGAAACGCAGATCTGATGTTGGGAATAAGAAGAAGCCCTAAATCCTAACATCTATCCTAACTTCAAAATCCCCTGCAACGTTTCCCTTATCACTTGGTCTTCTTTAGTCCCTTGAAGAATTTGGCTTCACAGTCTGAAGAATAATATTGAAGGAACTGAGAAAGTTTTAGGTAGAATCGAAGTCCAGCCTGTATCATCTAAAATACCATATTAGAAGCAAAAGCACTTTATTTGAAATTAAATTTTTAACATTGTTTTCAAAGTAGCAGATTAGTGAGAACTATCAAGTTTTTTATAGTTATTTGTCTTTCCATTTTCTAGATTTGTTTTAAAATTTATCATAGGCAGCCTCAAGATAAGTAGATTGTGACTTTATTTATGTGAAGTTTTTAATCACAGGAGTTGAGATGGCTTGTCAGACTAACTTTCTGTTTTCCAGTTTTTCTCTTTTGAGTCCTATTCCACAGAAGTCCAGGATTTTCTTTACGATGGTTCTTACAGTGCATTCTCACATCCTTGGTTCCCAGTTTTGCTTTGAAGCATCAGCCTGGAGTCTTTAATCTAAAACTCAATATGGGTAACACTTTCAGGAAAGACGCTAAAGTTTAAATTTTCATATATATTATTGAATTTGAATTAAGACATTTTTGAGATCCAAGGTAACAGGCTTTTGTCTAGAATTGGATCAGACTGTACACAATTCACATTAACTTTTTTTCTTTTTTGAGCAAGATTAAAATCTGAAAAGCATGCTCCTTCTGAGGGATGTGTGCAGGAGGTGAATTGAATACATATTCTGAAATGGCTAAGGGTACTGGGATGTTGGGCCTATATAAAGGAGAATATTCATGAGGAAGCTGTAGTAAGATTGATACTTTACCCAGGTCTCCCAGGATCATTTATACCATTATTTTGTGTACTCCCATCCCTCACCTTCTGTGTGGTTTTGCTTTTTCGTAACCAATGTCTGTTGCTTTTCTTTAAAGGATGGCCCTTGAGCTACTGGAATAAAGTTGCCCTTTTCCCCTTAAGTATAGAGGGTCACAAGTGCTCCGGGACTCTTATCCCTCGGTGTATTGGCTGTTACCCAAATTACTGACAAATTTAGAGTCAGGAGAGCTCAACTGACTTTCTTCAGGATGTACAACTCTTAGTGGAAGTTATGCTCTAGAAATGCCCTGAAGAATCAAGCTGAAGCTCACCCCTTCAGAAGACCTTGCATGACAGCTCACCCTTGATTTACTTAATACCACCCTTGTCCAACTTTTCTCCTTCATTTTTCTCATTCTTTCCTGGATTACTCCCTTAATAAATCACTTGCTAACACATCTTCCTATTACAGACCGCTTCTGGTTTAACCCCATCTAAGACACAGGACAAGATAATCTAAAATATTCATTAAGTCATTCACATACATTCATGCAACAAATATTTATTAAGAGCTTTCTGCGGACCCAGAGCTGTGCAATGCTGAAAAAGTGGTGAAAAGTCAGGAAACTGGAAACGACGAACAGTAAGTCAATAACTTCACATAATTAGTTGGTTGCTAATTATGACAAATGTTATGGAAAAAAAGAACATAGGCTTTCTAAATGTCATTCATCAGAAAGAAAGAGTTTACACCTATCCTAAGAGGCTTCAATGGACAGATCTAGGGGAAATGGATGGAAGTTACAAAAAAGTAAATTTTAGCTGAATATAAGAAGAAAATTTTAGCAATCAGTCCCATCTAGAGTTTTGTTGTTGTTGTTGTTGTTGTTGCTGCTGCTGCTGTCGGAAAAAAAAAAAAAAAAGCTCTTATGAGAGATGAGGAATCTCCATCATTGGAGATATTTTTGATTAAGCCTTAAAAACATTTATTATGTCCAGGAGAATCAAGCTTAAGTTGGACTGGATGAATTAGCTGAAATCTTAAAATCTACAACTCTACTTATTATGCTGACGCTAGGTAGTATATTAGAAGAAAACATGAGAACAGCTCAGAAGGCACCAAACGATTTTAATCTGAAGTGTTAAAGTAAATGTCAGAGGGAAGTTTAGTAAAATAAGTAACTGGAGGGATAGCATTAGGAGAAATACCTAATGTAGATGACGGGTTGATGGATGCAGCAAACCACCATGACACATGAATACCTATGTAACAAACCTGCACGTTCTACACACGTACCCCAGAACTTAAAGTATAATAAAAAAAGATTAAAATGTTTGTCATAAACTTTGCCAAACTGTAAAAATCACTTTCAGCCATCATATTTGACCTACTTATAAAATAAAAATAAACCTGTACTTATTTGTAGAATTAATTTCCCTTCATTCAAAATACGAATGTAGGAAATCACTTATGAGACACTGATGGAAAGAAAGGCAATATGAAATCTGAAAGGTCATTGGTCTTATTTTGTATTCCTATATCATAAAATCCACTGTCTTTTGTTAGATAGTCATAGCATGTGAATATGTACTGTGACACTTCTTAAGTGCTACAGGGATGACCACTTTGGGTCATCTGTCCATGTATATACAGTAAATATATATATATATGTATTACATACATAATACATTATATACATATGCATTTTTCTATGTATGTTGTTCATAACATCAGTACACGTCAGGTCATTCTATAATGCAGGTATATGTTACTAGAAATAACTTGACATGTACCCTCGTTACAAACAACATACATAGAAAAAATACATATGTGTGTAAATGTTAAAATTATGTCAAAGAGTAAATATTAGGCTGAGCATGGTGGTTCATGCCTGTAATTCCAGCACTTTGGGAGGCTGAGGCAGGAGGATGACTTGAATCTAGAATTTTGAGACCAGCCTGGGCAACATAGAGAGACCCCATTTCTACAAATAAATTTAAAAAATTAGCTGGGCATAGTAGCACACATCTCTGGTCCTAGCTACTCTGGAGGCTGAGGCAGGAGGACTCAGTAAGCTGGGAGTTCAAGGCTTTAGTGAGCCTAGATCACACCACTGCACCCCAGCCTTGGCGACAAAGTGAAACCTTGTCTCAGAAATAAATAAATAAATAAATATTACATTAGTGTTCCCCTTATTAATATGGAAAATTTTGAGGATATAAGCCATGTCTGTATTGTTTATTATTGTATCTTCAACATCTAAAGTAGCATCTGGTACAAGGTAAATGAAAAATAATTATTTGGTAATAAACACAAGAGTAAAGTGACATATGTGGTGTGTAGACACACACATATAGTGCACAAAAGAGGGGTATTATTGTAAGTAGTAGTTCTTCATCATGACTTAGTTGTATTTATTTAGTTTTAGAGTAATTTGTTTCCTCTAAATTAACAAGGTCTTTTCCAGGCAAGAAAACAAATGTCAGCTTCCTATGAGTGACCACTGATGCTTCACTTTTAGCTAAAATAATAGGAAGAAGAAACGATCTTGGTCATGTCGGCCTATATTTTTAAGATATTTTGTTAGTAAAATATTTTAGATGCTATGGAGAATTAGGAAAAAAAATCTCTTGAGTAAAGAATGGAAAATTTATAACCAAATGTTGAGTCTGTATGAAAGTCCATAATGAGATCGTTTCTGTGGTAATGAGCTTTAGGTGAGCTTTATACTTTTGCCCCCCAGTGTCTTCGTACTCCACCCTTTGCCATCACCTCTGGAGCCAACGTAATTTTGCTCCATATAAATCACTCTCATTAGGTGAACTAGGTTGTGTTGATGAGTGCAGCTTGAACTAGATTTATAAAGTGACAGAAAGGTAGAATTCTCAATTTATTCCAATATTTTGTATGATCTTCTAGGAACAGCTTTATGATGTGGTAATTGGGCAATAGTTCAGCATTCTGATAGCCCCGGGAGATTCAATTCCACAGTAACAAAAGATATTTAAAAAGTATATCTTTTTATTTAAAGAGTATACTGAACATCAATGCATTTATTTTACTTTTCTTAAAAATCTGAGAAATACTTCAATATCTGTATTTTTTAATCTTTTTATTCAATATTGTTCAAGCTTGGAGCACTGACTCACCAAAGGGTGATGTAGGAGGCGTCAAGCTCCACTGGGCTAGCTAAGTTCTGTACATCACTGATTACTACCCTGATGACTTCTCTATTCAGGCCCGGAAGTCAGATTTGCCTCTTTGTAAGGAAACCGCAGGACTGACAGCACACAATGAATCATGCCTAACAACATGCTGACAAGCTGGCAAGAGACAGCCTGTACAGTGACAAATACAGGTGACAACAAGTGTAAACATCTGTTTGGTAGAATTTATGAGAAAAGAATACAAACAAGGAGACTTGTTCTTTCATTTTATAAGAGAATTTAGAGACTCTTTCCTTTCTATTCAATAGCAGCAACGTAAGGAATACATATTAGCCCTCAAGATTTATTTATTACAAGCACAACTAGATTATAAATGGTCTGTGCAGATTAGCATTTTGATTATCAAACCGCTGTTCCAAATATCTGATGAACAGATATTAGAATAGTTCTTAAACATACTGATTAAACACACATTGATGCTGCTATTTTTAACACTTGCTTATATTCAGGGGTAAATCAGCTTCCTTAAAGCTTAAAGTGAAAAATATAAAAGATATGTAACCCTACCAGTCATTTCTCAGGGAGACAAAGATCCAAATCCTCACTTTTGATTCAATATTGGGGATTAAATAAACAATTTTTAAAAGGAGGTCAACAGATTAACATGTCCATTATTACGTGTTCAAATAGCTTATGCAGTAATCAAATTTTTCATTTCACCATCAGCCTGTCATTCCCCACATTTGCCTTTGTCTATAACATAAAGCACCATAATTTTCTCAGTTCTAGAACAAGTTCTCAATGTAAAAATTTTGTTTCTTAACAATTATAATAGCAAAACAACAACAAAAATAACAATAATAAATCTTTTCAATAATTAGTTCAAAAATTAGTTCAATAATTAATCTCCCCGCTTCCTCCGCAGGAGATTTTGTATCAGACTGACAATCACTGCTGCACAGATGAACTTTCACAAACGGTAATGTGTTGCATTGTTCAGGTGATTTGGGCAGAATAAAAGTTAAGACACTTTAGTTTTTAACAATTTGATTTTATCCCCTTTACAGCTCTTGATTTGAGCTGTATTGTCTTATAATTGTAATTGTTGGTTTCTCTTTTTTCTCTGTTATACTGGAATGACTTTGAGGGTAGGACATGTGCTTTTCACATAGTAAATGCCTATTTTAATGATTAATATACTAATGTCATTTAATGTCAAATAAAATAAACTAGGCTGGAGTAAAATGGACCTCGTTGTTTTCCTCTAGCCTGAATGGCCCAGCCCCTGACCCTGAATCACTTTTACTAGTTTCTTTTATTTCCATTCTTTCTTTCTTTTTTAAATTGATTGAGTTATTGGATATTTATTGAGTATCCACTATGTATCAGGCAAAAGGAACAGAAACAAATGGTCTGTTCAAAGTTACTTTTAACTCTTTCAGCAATGTCTCATCATAAAAAAAAAAAAAAAAACCATTCTTCTGAGAGTACACGTTCATTATCTGGTTACTCTTCATACACTCAAGTGTCCTTCCAAATACTGCATAATGCTGAGACTACTTAACCTTCCAATCGTTGGCTGGGCTTGATGGCTCACACCTGTAATCCCAGCACTTTGGGAGGCCAAAGTGGGTGGATCATTTGAGGCCAGGAGTTAGAGAACAGCCTGGCCAACATGGCAAAACACTGACTCTACTGAAAAAATACAAAAAATTAGCTGGGTGTGGTAGTGCCCACCTGTAATCCCAGCTACTCTGGAGGCTGAGGTAGGAGAATCACTTGAACTCAGGAGGCAGAGGTTGCTGTGAGCTGAGATCATGCCATTGTACTCCAGAGTGGGTGACAGAGCAAGACCCTATCTCAAAAAACAAATAATAATAATCCAATCATTGTCTAAAAGACTAGAGGAATTACCATTGTTTTCACCTCTGTTTGACAAAGCAGTAATCAATGGAGTAAAATCCTTCCTTTTAATGGCAGTGGAACAGCATGATACTTGATGGTGTCAGATGTCCATTTTTAGTAAAAAACAAACACTGGGCTATACATGCTATGCCAATCAGTGAACTTCTGAGAACACAGTTTTCCTTCCTTATATTATCTGAATACAAAGCATCAGTTACAAGGAGTTTGTAAGCAATTTTAGTAGGCTAAAATCAAAGTGCAGTCAATGATGCATATGTCTTCAAAGTATCAGAAACTTGAAGCAGTGTCTGTAAATGAAGTTTGCCAATACTCCAGAGCAACTGAGGCAGTATAGGGAAGAGACTTGATCCTGACAAGTCACATAGGTGAAATGGTAACCAAAGTCCGGATGGGTCTTACGTGCCTGGGTATATTCCCTCCCCTGCCTTCTTGCCTTCCTTAAGAAGCTAAACCAAATCACATAGCAGGAAGAGTCTCCTAACTTAGCTGACTGGGCTAAATTCCTAACCATAAAAGGAAAATCCTAACCATTTGTCTCTTTTGGGCAATGTTTGCCGAAGTCACTGAAGCAACACTCTGGCATTCTAGATAAGAATCTGACCAGATGCAGTGGCATAAATACAAGATGGACTCTGGCGCTGTCCTTTCACTGACTCTCCTCATTACACTCTCATCATAATGCTAAATTCTTTGCCCAAGACAGGCCTTATATGGTCCTGCAGTGCATATTAGAGCATGACATCTTACTGCACAAGGCAGGAGAAAGGTCCACCTAAACATGTTTCTGCGTTATTCCCTTTTCTTGCCTCAGCTTCCTTAAAGTGACAAAGGCCAAGCCCCTTGGGGACCTGGCATCTGTTTCACTTTCCCCAGCACTCCTCCCTTGTGCATTGGAGACACAAGCTTACTAAACCTGAAACCGCCTTTGCAAAAATTATAACTGAGGAAATTATGACAATGAACGAGATCAGACCTAATCAACTTCATCTTGCTTCTAACCTTTAAGCTGTCCTTATTCATTCCTGGGCATAGGCTGAACTAACCTTGGGAAGGAGTTCAGTTTATAGTTTAACTCTGAAAACAAAATTGATAATATTCCTTACCTGAAAAACAAAAACAAACAAGTAAAAAAACCCTCCTTGCCTGACGACCAGTATGCCTTTGTAAGACTTACAAATTAGCTACAAGATTAGGAATTATTATTTAGGGGCCATTCAGTCCCTGGTTGCAAGAGTTTGAGCCTCTTCAAATTGCTCCTGTGAATAACATCAGTATTGTAACACCTAAGATCAATGCTTGAGATATTTTGCAGATCCTGCACTCATGCACCAGCTGACACCACCCAGACAGGTAATCTAACTCAACCCCTTCTGCAATCCCACCAGGAACAGAAGACAGCAACAAAAACTCACTTAGACTCCAGATGATTCCATCTCTAAACTTACTAACCAGTGTTTCCCATTTCCGGAGCCCCTACCCACCAAATTATCTTTAAAAACTCAGATCCCTGAATGCTCCAGAGACTGATTTGAGTAGTAATAAAACTCCGGTCTCCCACACAGCTGGCTCTGCATGAATTACTCTTTTTCTATTGCAATTTCCCTGTCTTCATAAATCTGCTCTGTCTAGAGCCGATAAATCAGCAGCGGGCAAGGTGAACTGCCCACTGCCTAGTGGGCGGTTACAAACTTTTCCTGAAGGGAAAAAAATACCTCCCTTTGGTCTCTTATTTTTACTTACACAAGAGTCAAAGTACTCAGGGTTCCTGTGCGGTAACAAAACCAGTTTTTGTTCCAAGTAACACCATTCCATATACATTTAACGTCGTTTATTTTGTAAGATATTCAGTTTGTTTGTGTGGTTTTTTGTATGATTTTGATGGCCATTGGACTTCTAAGTTTTGCATCTTCTTGACAAGGACTGGGTTGACCATGCATATATGCTGCTGCCATCTTGATGTCCTTGAGTGCTTCCCCAGTTCCCACCTGCAGCACACCTGCACCCCTCAAGTCAGTCCTAGCCTATTTCTTCTCTCCCTGGTTTCTGATGGAGATCTTCACTGTCAGTATCTTCAGGGATACTGGGAAGCAGAGAAAGGTTCTGAATATCTCCAGCTATCCACGACAGGATCAGGGCCCCCATCTTGTCCTTATCATTACTTTAATCTCCAGTATTTGGAGGTTAAATACTGTAAAAGCAATCAGGATCATTGCTTTTACAAAAACTCCATTCAGAAGCTGATTTAAAAATAAGAAGAAAAATCTTCCTAGGCATAACATAACACCTCAATATATTCAAACATATTGTCAATGGTTCTCTGCTGTGTTGTTAAATTTTAGAATTAGAGGATTTTAGAGCAAAAATAGACTGTAGAGATCATTTATTTAAGACTCTTAATTTTCCTTCTTTCATATTTGGCACATGGTTCTACCATCCAGTTTGTTCTGCTTTTATTGAGTGAATTTCAAAGTAATATTTTATCAAATGTCATGTATTTACATAATTAGCATAATTACATATAAGTGCATAATTGGTGTAAATATATGTAATTACATTATTATAGTATGCAAAAATCTTGTAAAAAGCCTTTTCTAACTTTTCAAGCTAAAACATATGCATTGTGCAATCATATTAGATAATTGTTGGTATTCAGTATCTTGCTCTTCTTAATTGATTTAACCAAATAACAAATCTTAATATGTGTGTTTAAAAGATAATGTTATCTTTCTTTTTGGCCAGTTGTGTAATGATTTGTTTGTTTGTTTGTTTTAAACAACAGAAATCCTGAAAAAGAATCACATTATTTTTCTATCATTTGGCTCAGGTTGGTATGTGGAACAAGCAATCCTTGATTTGAATACAACACGTAGCTTCATTTGCAAATTTTATTTGGAGAGAAATGAACACATTGCAAACTCTGTGACTTGGCAAATAATGGGCATAAACGAAAATGCTGGATGCCACCGTCACTATGTTGGAGCTCCTAGTGCACCTCATGAAAACACTCTAGTAATTTTAAATTCTGGACCAGACATAGAGAAATGACCAGTAAGTAGAGAAATCCACACTGACCCTCTATAATCTCTTTCTTGTCAGTTTCTGTAAACAGTTCTAAATATGTTAAGAAAATGATTTCATTCATCTCTCTGACACTCCAGAATGATTTCCACATCAAGTATATCTCTTTGAAACCAAAACTTGAATTTCTGTGGAAAAAGTCTAAATCCCTCACATCTACCAGGTTTGAAGATATATATTATTGTCTGTGGTGATTTTTACATGTCTTTGCTTAGTATTGAGAACTGGTGAATAAAATTATTAAGATAAGATGATATAGTAAGGATATTTTTCTTCTCTCATTCTCTTGAAAATCACCTACAATATTAAGAAAAATATAAAATGAAAAGTAGAAAACATCTTTAATCCCAAATTATAAAATACAATGTTGAAAATAGAAGGTTAAATAATAAACAATGCATGGAAGAGAGAAATAATCATTTAACCATAGTGTTTGAAGGAGTAGGTAGGTGGTTACCGAAAAGATGCAGGTTACTGTGCTTTTAAAAATGACTTAGGAATTAGTGGCACCACCAACATAGTAAGATGTAAGATGTAAGAGTAAGGCAGATGACTGAAAATAAGGATAGCAATATCATCAGTTAAGTCATCAGGTAAAGTAAATTCTATACAAGTAATGCAACAGCTAGTTCTCTCTATCATAGAGCTCCACAATATTTCCCTAAGCAGGAGACAGGGTGGATCCTCTGGAGAAAAAAAAAAAAACCGCAGAAGAAAAGACTTACAAATGCCAGCATTTTTGTGTCTCTCAAAAAGGTAGCTAGCGATACAACAGCCTTTTCAAGTATTAGGCTATTCAGCAAGCCATTCCCCCAATTCTGTCCAAACATACACAGAATTTATTGCATATTGAACTTATGAAACAAGAGGAGGGCACTATGCAAAAAGGCATATCAGAGAAAAACAAAGACCTATTGACAAAAGAAATCATAAGATACAATATCAAGATGCTAAAATACTAGTGATAAAGAGAAATAATTGGTCATAAACAATGGGTAAGAAACAAAGTGATATTCAATTTCTCAACAGCAAATGTAAGATAAGTGACACTAAAACAATACCTTTAAGTGTTTAGTCAAAATGATACCAACATACATATTTCTGTGCAGATAATCAATAGAGTGTGCGGCTAAAATTAAGACATTTTTATTTATGCATCAAAAAAGCTACTTCTCATTAATGCATTTTCAAAGAGCTTCTGGGAAATGTGTATCCCCAGACAGAGGAAAAAAAAAAAAAACAAGAAAGGGAAAGACACAGAATTAGGAAGCAGAAAATGCAGGAAAAAAGGATCTAATGCAGGAAAAAAAATATCAAGAAAAGCAAAATAAAGTTCCAGGATGGCAACTGTGCAGCTGACACACAGATCAACTGGACTAAATTAGTGGGCTTCAAGAGGAACAGCTACAGGATCAGGTTTAACCATGTAAAAACTTGTACTAAGAGATATTTTACTCAATTATTGGAGGATTTAGATTTAATCAGGTATTAAACATTTTTTCAGATAAAAATGAAGTACATATTAACTTGAGAAAAATGGAAAAGTTGTACAAGAAAGAAATAAGAAATATAAGCACAGTATAGACCTGTAGCTCAAAAGTAATCAATACTTTCAGAGTTCTAAAGTTGAAATGAGTGAACAGGGACTTAACCAAAAAATTAGTCCAGAGTTACAATGGCAGGTAAGGAAAGAAGAAGGAGTATAAGAGAACTAAAATCCCTTTTACAATACAAGGTACATAAAGTCTGTAACTGAGGAATCTACAAGTAGAACTATATTCATATTATAAAGAAAGATGGAGATAGAATCCAGGGGAAATAACTAAAACATTTGCAGCTAGCTGCCACTGGAAAGTGGGGATATATTTATTTATAAACTTTTTAAATATTATTTCATCTTTTAAATTATTTCTATAAATATTTTGTTAAAAATTACAAATAATTTAACAATTTTATATCACATCTCAAAACAAAACCAATCAAGTTTTTTTATATGAGATCATTTGCATTAGAAATACTTAATTTGGATTTGATAAATTAAATTTAATTTTGCTAAATTGTTAGGAAGATATCCTGGAAATTTAAAAAGTGTATAGAGTGATTGAAATTTGTAGTGCATAGGGAAGTGGAGCAGAATCTACACACATCAGACAAAAGAAACACAGAGTTGCAGGTGTCCCAGGAGGCACCTTCAAGTAGAGGCGAACGCCAAAGGGATCTGCATGGGCTGCTAACAAGTGATATGGCGTCTATCTGATGGACTAAGATAGAAACCTGAGTTATTCCTGGCTTTCCTTCACATGCTTTTTACATCCAGACAGTCATCAAATCCCACCTCTAATCTCCTTCACTCATGTTCTTCATCTCTTTATCACAGAGCTCCACATTTATTCATCATCATTTATTCTTTGAATTGTTGCAAGAGCCTGTTCATTGATTTCTTTGAGTTTTAAACTGCTGTCATTTTTTTTTTTTTTTTTTTGACACGGAGTCTCGCTCTGTTGCCCAGGCTGGAGTGCAGTGGTGCGATCTCGGCTCACTGCAAGCTCCGCCTCCCAGTTCACGCCATTCTCCTGCCTCAGCCTCCGGAGTAGCTGGGACTACAGGCGCCCGCCACCACGCCCGGCTAATTATTTTGTATTTTTAGTTTCACCGTGTTAACCAGGATGGTCTTGATCTCCTGACCTCATGAGCCGCCCGTCTCGGCCTCCCAAAGTGCTGGGATTACAGGCGTGAGCCACCGCGCCCGGCCTAATTGCTGTCGTTTTCATAACGAAACATAATCCACTCCTTTTCCTACTGTAACTTCTCATTTCACACAGGACCCATTGAAGTAAGAATATTCTAAAATTAAGTCGTCTGGAATCAAAACTGAGTCTGATCCCTGTCTTTGTTCCTGATCAGCTTCCTGATCTTTGGCATGATATTTATACACTGTCTCATTTTCTTCGTTTGTATATTGGGGATGTTTATAATTATTTTGCAGGATTATTTTGAATGTGAGAAATAATATCTTTAATTTGATTTTCTTTTGTTAGCTAATTAAATGGTAACTAACTTTTATTCATATAATTAGTATGGTCTCATCACACAAGGCCCTTTGCAACATTGCTCCTACTTCTATGTCTAAGTTCTGCTTCACTTTCCTATGCTCCATCCATTTCAATCACCCCAGACGTCTCTGTATAATTTGGCCATGTCCTATCACAACTCTAATCTTGTTTGTATTCCTGGAATGCCCTGAAAAACTCCTACTCAGACTTAAAAAGCCAGCTCAAATATTGTGTTCTTCGTGATTCTTTTCCTTCTTCATTGAGGTAGAGTCTAACACTTCTTCACACACCACTAACAAACTAGGTTTGAAATGTTACTTTTGTACATTTAAGAACCTTTTTTACATTTTTCATTTTAAAAACATTTTAATAGCAAAAATATTATAACAGAGAGGAGTACATACTAACGAATGTAATTTAAATAAGATTTATTGTATAAACATAGATGTTTTAATAACTGTAATCTGGAAAAAGAAATAGAACACAGCCTGTATCACTGAAGCTCCTCTATGTCCTTCCATGATTACCACCTATCCCGTGCCTCCTTGAGTTAATAACTATTTTGATTTTGTGATTTTTTTTTATAATTTGCTAATTTTAATCTGAATCTTTGAAACATACGTTTTTCTATTTTAAACTGCACATGAATGGAGGTATGCTGAATAAATTTTTTGACATATTTTCTTTAACTGGTCTTGAAAACATGTTTTAACATATGTCTCTCTGACCAGCCTATATGCTTCTCTAAGCTAAGAACAAAATGAAATTTACTTTTATATCTCTAGTACCAGGTATACTGTCTTCCATAACAAAAGTCTATTAAAAGAAAAGATGAATAAATAGACGGCTGGATAGATAGATAGATGATATTCTTGTTATTGGGAACTACATAGTTTAGGAGGCTATAATAAGTGTTTGTTCTAATGTGGAGCTGAAATGAATATTGATTTTCTAAGGCAGGGTTTTGATGCAAAATGCAGACTTTCAATGTGGCAGGTTATAAGTTAAGTATTTTTAAAATATGAATATGATTGAGTTGGCTGAGTTTCATATGTGCAATTAGCTTGTACTTCCAAATATGTCAAATTATTCAGTGATTGCCAAGATCACACTTTCTAACATGCCCTATAGTAAAGATTAAGAACTCTTATAACATTCATTTCTCTAGAGCCAACGAGCATGGCAGTGCAAAGTTAAATTCTATGCATGCATCCAGAAAGAGAATGGCATAAGGGCAATGCTAATTACTTCAAAATCTGACCAAGGATGTATAAATAGACCCTACCTAAGATCTTATATATATGAAAATTTGAAAGTATTGACCTTTACTATATCAGAAAGTAGAGTTAAAAGGAAACTCTCAAAAATCATTTATAAGCTTATAAAAGCAAAGTTTCTATTAAGTGACCAGTGTATTTATATGCGATAAGAAGATACTACTTTTAATGAAATAAATACATAAACATTTTGAACTGTCTACAGAAAAACTCAGAGAGATGGTAATGAAAACACTCTGTTTATATAAAAGAACTTCTTCACTAGTCCCATAGAATAGAGTGAATAGAGTCTTGTCTTAATACAGCATTGATTTATTATGTAATATATCCATATTCCCGATGATCAAGATCTTGCTGGTGTATATGGAGGCTGAGGGCCAACTTGGCTCATGTGAAGAAAGATAAATTTTTTATTGTGTCTTGAGTGTTTTAATATGAAACAAAACTAAAAAAGAAAAAGCCTCTGTCTTAAGCATCACTTACATTATGTAGAAAGAAGCAATTTTAAAATCATTCGTTCATCATATAAGAGTATCATCAACACAGGAATCACCATTTAGAGTGATAATGAAGATTCTGTTTTCACACAATGGGAGCTATTTTAGTATTCTTTCCTTAGCTGCTTCTGGCAGTTCACATTGTCAGCGAAGTTAATGCTGGATGTGGAACATGATTCCTCTCTTTTTTTTTCCACAAATTTATTTTTTTTTAGATCAACAGATAAAATTTTATGTATTTCTCATGTATGACATGAGGTTTTGAAGTATATATACATTGTTGAATGGTTAAAGTTAGCTAATTAACATATGTATTACCTGACATAGTTATCATTTTTGAGGTAAGGACACTTTAAATTGAGTTGGTAAAGAGAAAAATGACTTAGAAGAAAAAAATAATAAGGCCTTATGCAAAAAATGGTGAGATATGACTGCTCAGGGAGAAAGATACTTCAAATAGCTTAAAATGCTCCCCATTGTCCAATCTAAATTTTCTTTGATCTTTTAAAGTTTTTAAAAAATGTAGCAACATTTCCATTAATAATTTAAATCTTAAAATCATCATGCACTAAGTGCAAGGTAGAATTTCACTTTTTTATATATAAGGTTAAGTCAGGTGGTAAACAAGGATTTTATTCTCCCTTTGCATTAATTATTTATTTAATAGAGTTTGTTTCTCTCTTAAAAAGTATGGTACAACAATAATATGCTTTCCCATTGCATCATAAACCCCTATTTAAACAATCCATTTTTAAAAAAAGATACTGGCAACAAGAAGTGTGATATTTAAAATAACATCAAATTTTGCTTTACCAAACGCACCACAGATTTTTAAACAGTAAATATTCTCACCTTCAAAGTAACAATACTGTCATTATTTATTTTTTTAAGGCAAAGAATGTTCTTTTGGAATTTGTTTTTGAGCCTGTTTGAAAGTTATTCACATTTAGCCTTATTCATTTAAAAACGATTTGGAGGTAAAGCCATGTTATTTGAATACTTACCCATTTCATCCAGGAATCTTGGCTCTCAATAGCTAATGACTAATTCCAAAAGCCAAATCCGACTTCAAATCATCATTTTTTCCATCAATCTGAGACATTCAAAGAATGCACCATGGGATCTTGAAGGCATTAACATAAGAGATGCTTTCCAAAATGTCTTGAGCAGTGAGAACGTCATTGAAATATTAATCCACATTTCAAAATAACTGCTTTGATGAGGTCAATGTTTATTAGAAAATCTTAAATCTGATACAGTTGAAAATGAGCTACATCATGTAATAATCACAAACTCATGTGAATAGTCTACTCCTTTCTCCATTTATTCTGGACATTGTAGATTTCAAATTCCTTGTTACAGTCTGGAAGATCTGACCTCTGTTTTCTTCTCTGACCTCTACTCACTTTCTGTATCCCAGATACAGTGGCCATCTTCAAAACTACATCAAACCCACTGCTTTCTCTGCCTTCTGCTTGCTGTTTCCTCAAACTAGGACACTCTATCAACAGGTGTTCTCAAAACTTGATTTCTCACTACATACACTCATGTCATTAATCATTTGTCACCACATTAAAGAGACCCTCCATGACCACTCCACCTAAATACCTCCACCTCCTTATCTATCTTTATTTTCTTCTTATGACCATGTAAAAATACACTGTGTTTTTATATGTATGTTATCTAATTCTGTCCCAGGAACATAAAGTCCATGAGGACAAGGGGTTTAAATGTTTTGTTCACCACTCAATTCACGATGCCTAGAACCACGCAAGCAAGGCCTTTAGTAAATTCTCAAGAAATATATGTCCAATACTGAGTGATGAACTGAATAATGTACTTAATCAGTGCCTACCTACCCTGTTCTAGTGATGCGGAAAAAGGGAGGTGGAAGGATACTCTTTCTTGAAGGAGCTCACTGTTTATTAGGGGAGATGGACATAAAAACAATATGTAGTTACAATAGGTAGTTTGAAGGGTAATAAGGGTAATATACAGAGGATGGCACTAAAGAATAAAGAAGAACTTTGAATAGTCAATGAAGGTTTCCGAAAGAAGAATAGTTTTCAGTTGAGTCGAGAATCAACTGGGGTTTAACGGTGGAACAAAAATTTTAAAAATTCTAGAAAAAGCAAATAGGTCAATTCACTTTAAAAGGTGTGTAGAGGTATAGAGTACTTACCAGATAGTCGACATTCTGCTAAATGCTCAAACACAATAATAAGAATCAATAATGAATACCAATGATCTTACGATATATTGGGGTAGACAAATAGGTAAATAATTTAATGAATGTAATAACTATTCTGATAGCATTATGCATGGTGAACTCATAAAAGAAAACCAGTTGCTTCTCTGTCAGATGAGAACTAGAAGGGAAAATCTATGTTCACTTTAGGGAAGGCATAGCATTCCCTATTTCAGTAACTGTCTACTTCCACACACCAGAAAGACTCTGTCTTTCATGATATCATCTACTTAAATGACAAAAGAGACAAGTGAGAGAAGAGGCCTCAGGTGCTGGAGAATAAAAAAGAGATTATATAGAAAATTTTGTCCTAAGTTAGCTTTTAGGCTAGACTATGCTAGGTATTAAAAAAATCATTCTTCATTGAGAAATCTGAAGCTTTTAAAAATAAATGCTTTATGTCAACCAGTGATATAAGATATGTTAATAGCCCTCAAGTCTATACTTTCTACACATAATTATTTTTGAGAAAAGCAAAATAGTAAGATATATCCTATTTCTTCTGATTTTGGTCCAAAATACTGATCTCTATTCTTCAATGTTGCTTACATAGATTTGTAGAAAATGCATATCTTGAAATTTAATCATCATTGTATAATATTTAAAATAGGGAACTGCAAAAATCACTTACTCTATCTTTAAAGTTATTATATTTCTTTTGTTAAATACGGAAAACAGAAATGGATTAAAAGACCTCTACATTGGTTTAGTGGTACAATTTTTCTTACAGTAGGAGTATTCCTCACAGCATCCTTGAGTAGTTTTGCAAACATGTAATAGTGTTATACCTGGATCAAGAAAATTAAAACACTGACTAATTAAAAAGCACCTTCAAGATAAATGTGCTCTATATAGAATAATTGGTCATGTCTATTAATTGCAGAAGTAAACTGACTTTTTAACAAACTAGAATCTTTTTCAGGGGGATAGAATGGCAAAACAGACAAAATTATAAGTTTTGTGAATATATTAGTCTCATTGATAAATCCTAAAACATAAATCTATTTTAGCTTTACCTTTGGCAATAGACAATAAAAAAAATTACATGTCTTTAGTTACTCCTCTGATCAGATATCTCATCTATAAAAATTTGATGACACAACTTGTCAACAAAAACTACATAATTGAAACCATTGTTTCATTCCATTAATCTCAATTGTATGCAGCATCAATTGTGCCTAACCTTATGGCTACTTGGCAACTCTGAAAAAAGTGTACTCTCCTTGAAAGCATAAATTGCGCATGTATTTGTGCTGCGTAGTTACCTATAAGTTTTTAAGGGTAGACATATTCAACATATGCAGTGTCTCGCACATGTATGTTTTGTTGTAAATCGTAAAAAAAGTTCATTCTTTGAATAAGTAAATGTAAGTCTATACAATATTACAGAGAAGAAAACTCCTTTAGGAAAATACACTGCTGTAGAGGAATCTATTACAAGAATAGTTTTATCTCATCTTTGGAAAACGGACAGTGAAGACGGCAAAAATGTTAAAAATGTTCAGAAATCATTGACTTTTTGTATAAAAGAAGATCAGGCCGGTCGTGTTGGCTCATGACTGTAATCCCAGCACTTTGAGGCCAAGGTGGGCAGATCACAAGGTCAGGAATTTGAGACCAGCCTGGCCAACATGGTAAAACCTTGTCTCTACTAAAAAAAGAATACAAAAATTAGCTGGGTGTGGTGGCACGTGCCTGTAATCCCAGCTACTCAGGAGGCTGAGGCAGGAGAATCGCTTGAACCAGGGAGTCAGAGGTTGCAGTGAGCCGAGATTGTGCCATTGTACTCAACCTGGCCAACACAGTGAGACTCTGTCTCAAAAAAAAAAAAAAAAAAAAAGATCAAACCCATTTTAATTCTTTGTTTTATTGACAATGCACTGAGCAAAATAAAGCCATTGAACCCACACAAACAAAGCCCCCACTGATAAAGAGTCAGGCTTAGTTATAAATAAGACAAATAGGAATCAGGCTTCACGTCCATAGCAGCTTGAGGAGGATTGGACCAGTGTTGCACAGATTCCTGTCCTAGAAAAAAGAATTAAGAAGAGTAATGATTTGAGGGGAGTCAAGAGGAAACTACTAAAGATTTAAACTTTGTCTCTAGCTAGTACTTCTAGGGTACACATCCTGCTAATTCAGGCAGTGCTTTAAAGCTAGAATGGATCCCTCATCTTTCTTCATGAGCAGGCCTCCGACTTCCAGGCCAGAAATTGTCACATTATTTTTTCAGAGCGGTTACTAATATTATGTCCATTGCCAACCTCATCTGTGACAAGGGAGAAAATTCATTTGGTAGGTATATTCTACCTTGGGATAAATTTTATGTGTGGACACAGACAGATGTTTCTAAGATTTCCTCTGTTCACTGCATATTCTGTTTCTCAGGCTGCTTCTTCAAGATCCTAGGTGACATGAGTACCTAATTGCTTAGTTGAAATGGATAGATTATAGAAGCAGGAATAGAACAGGTCTAGACTTCAGCTGTGATAATATATTAATACTAGCCTTCCTATGAATCTGAGTGAAAACAAGTGACCATGGAATAACCATTGCGTCCCCAAGACACTAGCCTAAGAATACAAGGTTTACTATCCAGACTTGATTTATCTATGCCTTTAGAAAGGCTTCAGATGGAAAGACTCCCTGAGTGCCATCTGTAGCTTGTCTAAGGTCTTTTGGGAAACAGTGTATACCCCGTATGCATTGCCTGGTCCTCAAGGGAAGAGACTGACTCATACTGCACTTGTTAATTTCGGGTCTTTGTGAAAACACAGGTAGGTCCTCGACAGGCTTATGCTTCTCCCATGAATGACAGAAGGAAAAGCAAATGATACTCAGAAAATAAGTGTCCTTTGATAATTTCTTTGATGTTGGAACTGTAGACCTTCTCATGCACTGTTATCTGTATAGAGTTCCTTTCTTTCTGGCTTGGTAACTACCTACCTCGCTCTGCCCCTCATCCTTTGTCAAGGTCTAATTGCTGATGCACAGATTTTAATCCCCTACTTTTTTACTCCCTGGGTAGTTTTTATTATTATTATTATTATTTTTGTCAGAATCTCTAACTCAGTAGTCTCTACGCCATCTTTCTTTTAAAAATAAAACTTTTACTTTAGGTTCAGGTGTACATGTGCATGTTTGTTATATAGTTAAACTTGTGTCATGGGGGTTTGTTGTAAAGGTTAATTTCATCACCCAGGTACCTAACCTAACACCCAATAGTTATTTTTTTCTAATCCTCTCCCTCTTCGCACTCGGCACTCTCAAGTAGACCCCAGTGTCTGTTGTTCCTGTCTTTGTGTCAGTGTGTTTTTATCATTTATCTCCCACTTATAAGTGAGAACATTCAGGATTTGATTCTCTGTCCTTGTGTTAGTTTGCTAAGGATAATGGCCTCCAGCTCCATCCATGTTCCCATAAAGGGCATAATCTTGTTTTTTTTATGGCTGCATAGTATTCCATCATGTATATGTACCAAAGTTTATCCAAACTGCCATTGATGGGCATTTAGGTTGATTCCATGTCTTTGCTATTGTGAATAGTGCCGTAATGAACATACACATGCATGTGTCTTTATAATAGAAGGATTTATATCCCTTTGGGTATATATCCAGTAATGGGATTGCTGGGTTGAATGGTAGTTCTGTTTTTAGCTCTTTAAGGAATCACTACACTGCTTTCCACAACAATGGAATTAATTTACACTCCCACCAACTGTATATAAGTATTCCCTTTTATCCACAACTTTGCCAGCATCTGTTAATTTCTGACTTTCTAATAATAGCCATTCAGACTGATGTGAGATGGTATCTCATTGTGGTTTTGATTTGCATTTATTTCTCTAATGATTAGTGATGTTGAGCTTTTCTTCATATGCTTGTTGGCTGCATGTATTTCTTCTTTTGAAAACTGTCTGTTCATGTCCTTTGCCCACTTTTTAGTGGTTTTTTTTTTTCTCTTGTAAATTTAAGTTTCTTATAGATATGTTGGATATTAAAACTTTACCTTTGTCAGATTCACAGTTTGCAAATACTTTTTCCAATTCTGTAGGTTGTCTGTTTGCTTTGTTGATAGTTTCTTTTTCTGTGTAGAGCTCTTAAGTTTAATTAGATCTCATTTGTCATTTTCTGCTTTTGTTGTAATTGCTTTTGGTGTCTCCATCATGAAATCTTTGCCAGTTCCTATATCCAGAATGGTACTGCCTAGGTTGTCTTGCGGGGTTTTTTATAACTTGGAGTTTTACATTTGAGTGTTTAATCCATCTTGAGTTCGTTTTTGTATATGGTGTAAGGAAGGGATCCAATTTCAATCTTCTGCATATGGCTAGGCAGTTATCGCAAGAACATTTATTGAATAGGAAGTACTTACCCCATGGCTTGTTTTTGTCAGCTTTGTTGAAGAACAAATGGTTGTAGGTTGTGTGGACTTCTTTCTGGGCTCTCTATTCTATTCCATTGGTCTATGTGCCTGATTTTATGCCAATACCATGCTATTTTGGTTACTGTAGTCATGTAGTATAGTTTGAAGTTGGGTAACTTGATGCTTCCATCTTTCTTCTTTTTGCTTAGGATTGCCATGACTAATTGGGCTATTTTTTGGTTCTATATGAATTGTAAAGTAGTTTTTCATAGTTCTATGAAGAATGTAATTGGTAGTTTGATAGGAACTGCATTGAATCTGTAAATTGCTTTGGGCAGTATGGCCATTTTAATGATATTGATTCTTCCTATCCATGAGCATGGAATGCTTTTCCATTGTTTGAGTCATCTCCGAATTCCTTGAGTAGGGTTTTGTAATTCTCATTTTACAGACTTTCACCTCCCTGGTTAGCTGTATTCCTGGGAATTTTATTCTTTATGTGGCAATTGTGAATGGGATTGTGTTCCTGATTTGGCTTTCAGTCGGGCTTTTGTTGTTGTATAGAAATGCTAATCCTTTTTATATATTGATTTTATATCCTAAAATTTTGCTAAAGTTGTTTATCAACAGAAGAATAAACGGGCCAAGACTATGACTTTTTCTATATATATGTATATGTATGTGTGTGTATATACATATATATGCATATATATATATATATAGAGAGAGAGAGAGAGAGAGAGTGTGTGAGTTAGACTTCCTCTGTTCTTATTTTAATTCTCTTCATTTTTTTCTCTTACCTGATTGCTCTGGCCCAGACTTCCAATACTGTGTTGAATAGGAGTGGTAATAAGGACATCCTTGTCTTGTGCCAATTTCAAGGGGAACACTTCTAGCTTTGGTCCATTTAGTATGATGCTGGCTTTAGGTCTGTCATAGGTGGTGCTTATTATTTTGAGGTATGTTCCTTCAATACCTAGTTTATTGAGAATTTTTAACAATTCTTAATATTGAATTTTATCAAAATCCTTTTCTGTATCTATTGAGATAATCATGTGGTTTTTTTCTCTTTAGTTCTGTTTATGTGATGAATCACATTTATTGATTTGTATATGTTGAACCAAACTTGCATCCCAGGGATAAAGCATATTTGATAGTAGTGGATTCGCTTTTTGATGTCCTGTTGGAATTGGTTTGCGAGTATTGTACTGAAGATTTTTACATCAACGTCCATCAGGAATATTGGTCTGAAGTTTTCTTCTTCTGCTGTGTCTTTGCCAGGTTTTCATATCAGTATGATGCTGGTCTCATAGGATTAGCTAGGGAGGAATTCCTCCTCCTCGATTTTTTGGAATAGTTTCAGTAGAAATGATAATAGCTTTTCTTTGTGTATCTGGTAGGATTCAGTTGTGAATATGTCTGGTCCTGGGTTTTTTTTTTTTTTTGGTTGACAGGCTATTACAGATTCAATTTCAGTAACAGAATACTCATTCTTACCATTGGCAGGTACTCAAAAGTCAACCACACAACCAGATACAAAGACCCCTCAGCAAATGCAAAATAACCAAAAGCATACAAAACACACTCTCAGACCACAGCACAATAAAAATATAAATCAGGACTTTAAAAATCACTCAAAATTGAGAGTTACATGGAAATTAAACAACCTGTTCCCAAATGACTTTGGGTAGATAATAAAATTAAGACACAAATCAAGAAGGTCTTTGAAACTAATGAGAACAAAGATACAAAATACCAGAACCTCTGGGATACAGCTAAGGCTGTGTAAGAGGGAAATTTATAGCACTAACTAAATGCCCACATCAAAAAGTTAGGAAGATCTCAAACTAACATCACAACTAAAAGAACTAGAGAAGCATGAGCAAACCAACCCCAAACCTAACAGAAGACAAAAAATAACCAAAATCATAGCTGAACGGAAGGAGATGGAGACACAAAAAAAAATTCAAAAGATCAATAAATCCAGAAGTTGTTTTTTCAAAATAATTAATAAGATAAATAGGCCATTAGCTAGGCTAATAAAGAAGAAAAGAGAGAATATCCAAATAAACACAATTAGAAATGATAAAGGGAATGTTACCACTGACCCCACAGTAATACAAATAATCAGAGACTACTATGAACATCTTTATGCACAAAAATTAGAAAACCTAGAAGAGATGATTAAATTCCTGGATACATACATTCTTCCAAGACTAAACCAGGAAGAAATTGATTCCCTGAACAGTTCACAATTTTTCTTATCTAATCCTTTTAACTACCATAGCCCATGAAATAGGGCTTAATGAGTATTGTTCAATATGATATCAAACTCGGTTAGTAAATAATCAATTAGCAAACACACCTGATATAAAACACAAAACTCGTCATCTAGCATTAGGCAGTGGGTGCAGCGCACCAGCATGGCACATGTATACATATGTAACTAATCTGCACAATGTGCACATGTACCCTGAAACTTAAAGTATAATAATAATAAAATAAATAAATAAATAAATAAACACAAAACTCAAAAGTAACACTTATTTAAGGGACTAATACATTTAATTTTTTAAAATATTTTCCAGGGATCTTTTGGTGCTTAAACTCTCCTAAATGAACCTGTTCCATCAACAGAGTGCTGATGCCAAATGGCTATGTTATCTAACATATTATCCCCACCACATGGGTGCCTGACCCAAGGGTAACCATTTTTAAGCTGGCTGCTCACTTATGATGGGTCCAAATATGTGACCCCAAAACTGATGGTTGTTTAATTTTTAATAGATGAGAATAAATAAATAAATGTGTGGATGTAGCTAATTCACATTAATGATTGGACATTAGAGGAAAAATTCACTAAACCCTTCCTTTGAAATTTATGGAGCTGAAGTTCTGCCTAGTTTCACAGTGATCCTTCTCTATTGTTTAGATTTTCCTGAGATCCCATAGTCCCTGTCCTTTCTCATGTATCATTTTCCAAAATCCTCTTTTCACTGAGCTTGCTTGATGTGTTTCTACCCCTTGAAAGCAAACAAGACTAAATAAACATTTCTAAAATGAGGATTATATTACATTAACTACACCATTGTGGATTAAAATGAAAAGAAAAGTTTAAGTTAACAACTCTGGTTTTGATGTCCATGAATAGGGACACTAGTGAAGCTGATGATAATAACTTGTTTTAGATTATGTGACACTGGATTAAAAATATGATTTTCTTAATTATACCAGAGTAAAAATGGATCCTTAATTCTATTCTTAAACTGTCTAGTTTGTGTGTGAGTTTCCTATGCTTTGCTTTTACTTTTATGATAAAAAAATGTCAAATTGCTCTGATGGTAAAAGTACCATCTATGTTACCATACAACAGCTTTTGCTCCCATGCAAATAATGCTGAATAAGAAGAATTCATCTAGACAGTATTGATGGTCACAAGCATTTTTTAGAACTAATCTGTCACAGACTCTATGAGTGTTACTCTCCAGTGGTGACTCTGACTTCTTGGCGTCTGAATGAAGATGTCTGGCTTGACGTATTTACTCATGTCACTCTTCTTCAGTTTGACATCATGTGTCACTTTCTTCTCTGGTCTAGTCTTCTCTTAATCTGAACTCTGCCATTTCTTTAGGTTTATTGCGATATGTCACTTGGGGAAAAAGAACCTCTCATTCTGGCCACCATGGTACTAAGGTACTTTCTCAGACCAAACTAGCTCCTAATTCCCCCAACAGTAGGCGCATCAATTTGGTAATTTTCGACTTAGTAAACAAACCGTGTGAAAATGTCTATTAATATAATGAGCAAATAAATCGTGGTATTGTATGTAATAAAACACTACTAGTTGTAATATGCAATAGAATACTAATCAGCAATAAAAAATAGATTACTGCTATATACAGCAACATAGATAAATGTCAAAAGTAATACGCTGAGCTAAAGAAACCAATACAAATGATTCCATTTACATAAAAGTCTAGATCAGATTAAACAAATCAATGGTCATAGAAATCAAGTTGATTTTAGTGTGGAGGGAGGAGGAGGGACTAGAATGGACTGAATATGGCAGGAAGAAACATAGTGGAATGAAGAAATGTTCTACATCTTCACAGGAGGGTGAGTTACCTATAACTCATAAAATAAAATAGTATATGACCAGTTTCTGGTAACTCACACTATTAAAATACAGTGACCAGAAGGGAGATGTGTTTACCCCAAATACCCCAATTTTAGCACTTATCATACTGTATCATAAGTATGTGTATTTATTCATAAAAATTCATAAAATAATATATGTAAAATCTATGAATTTTATTGATTCTAAGTTGCATCACAATAATACAAGAGCAAATTGTAACAAGAAATCTATGTGAGTATACTTTGATGTTTTATTTGTTTTTTAAAGTAATGTCTAGCCTGGTTTACCAAAATAGGAAAGTACCAGCGTATTTCTATGTGCAATCATATAAGAATATTTTGCCAGATGTATCTAGGGACACATATCTTTTTACGTAAGATTTTTTGCAGTAATATCTTAGGGTATATATTTACCAAAATTCTCTATTCTTAACTTTATATTACTGTCTATTTATTATTAAATCATCAGTTTTGTAGTTATTAGGCAATGGTTTATTCCAGTCAATAGGCATACCATATCTTGTTTAAAATTTCATTTGGAAACTTCTTTAAAGGCTTTCTTTTTTTAAAGGAGGAATAACTTGATCTTAGGAATTTTATACTGAGAGATTTATTGAGACAGATCAGACTACAAAATAATGTTTTAATTTAGAACACGGAGACTTTTTAAACCAGGCACTTCAAAGTAGACCATTTTCATGCTTCAAAGCAGTGTTAATAAGGGATGTATCAAAGCAGGTTGGGAGCAGTAATAGGCATGTTTTCAAATGGCATCTTTAATTCCTGCATATGACTTACTTTAGCCATTGGAGGAATTACCACAGTACTAAGCTGTAACTCAATAGATAGTTGCATTGGATGTCTTAATCCAGTCCTTTTTTAAAAAGAAATAATGAATAATTATTTCCCTTTCCCCTGTGCATATAGTAAGTCACTAACTACATATGGATGACTGGTCATGGTGTGAAATAGTCACATGATATAAGAAGATAAATTTTACAGCATTGCAAGGCAAAAATAGCTTTTAAAACTGCCTTCTTGTTCTACAATAATTAAAAAAGAGGCCCCATATTGCTCTCCAGGGTATTAATGCATGACATTCATCTTTAGGTAATTAGCAGCATATATCATTAGCCATTAAGCAGGCAATACCAGGGTTTTTCACATGTCAGGATGAGATTTGCAGTTTGGTCTTTCTCCTCTAACAGACTGGGTCCAGCACAAACACTAGGCTTTTACAAGTTTAAGCAGAAAATGGCTTGGCTGTCTTTACTCAAATCCTTTAGTCAATAGTTCTTTTATGGACATTTTGTACTTAGGTAGAAATTTTTAATTGGGACTGAATTATAGAAAGGAGGCAAGTGAACATGAGGATGTGAGTTGTTGGAGGTACATGCTCACACTTCCCAGTCCTAAATGACCTCAGTAAAGAAAATAGAATGACCAGTTTCTCTGGTTTTCCTTCTTCTGTAACTACTCAGGGAGATATATTTACTCCAATTTTAGCACTTATACTGTATTATAATTACCTGCTTGTGGGACTTTTCTTGGTTAGACTGTAAACTTTTTGAGATCAGTGTCAGCCTCTCATTTTTATTGAATACCCCTGAGTAGTCTTCCTTTCTTGGCCCCACTTAAGGACCATGAATGAGATTAGAAAACATTCCAATTACTTTTTACTGAAATCAACATTTATAAAAAAGCTACGTCCACAAAGGGAGACATGACTTACTGATGCTGGTCCTTCAGATGGATCGTGGATAGCTGGGGCTGGGCATACCCAAGAAAGGAAAAGGTAGAGCCTGTACTTGTTCCTTGTCCTTGCTGAAGGGAGACTACTCAGATCTAAAAATAATAAGCAAGTTTCTTCTTCCTCCTTCTGCCTTCACTGTCCTTCATTGGCTCTCAATTTGCAGAACCTCACCAAAAGCCAGCTGATATTAAAATATAGGAAATATAGATTAAAAGTCTTATCTAAGGTATATGTTTCCAAAGACATTAAAAATGTGGGCTTGAAGTTCAAAGAAAGTAGGTAAATAATTAGCATAGTGACAAGAGCCAACAGGGACATTTGAGGAACTACCAAAAGATAGTGAGCAAAAATGATTCCAAACAAAAAAATATTGTTTGCAAAAATGGCCCAGATTTTTTATTCTTTCCCTTGTCGTTGCAACATGACCTTGCTGCTGCCCTCATCAAGATGGGAAGCCTATTTCTTTATCTATTTAATTTAATCTGGTCTTGTGATTTACAATGACCAAAAGAATATGCTGGAATATGCTGGTAGTGTGCTTATTTTAAGCTTAGGTTTCAAACACTCTTAGGTGTTTCTGCTTTTTCTCTTAGAATACTCTTTTCCTGTAAGAACAGTTCCAGAATCTCCTACTGGAGGATGAGATACCACAAGGAAGAGAGACAAGTCATCCTCATTGAGGCCATACTTGATCAGCCAGCTCCCGACTTACTTTAAAATATCTGTCTTAAACACTAAAAGAGAAAAGAAAGCTATACCCAGGAATCACATTTCAATCTTTATATTCGTAGTTCTGTGGTTTCTTGGCCTGACTGCCAGCTTTATGAAAATATGGGTGGGGACGGAGGGAGGGAACAGACAGACTTGGACATTAGACTTTGAAATTCAAGTCTTACCTAATACCTAATAGGTGTTTAAAAGTCATTCAGAATAATTACAATGGAAAAGAAGAAATGAAAATTGATAGAACAAACTAAGCCACAATTTAGCAGAAGGAAGATAAAAATAAAGGCCAGAGCAGAAATAAATGAAATAGAGACTAGAAAAACAATAGAAAAATCAATTAAACTAAAACTTTGTTTTTTGAAAAGATCAACAAAGCTGACAAATCCTTAGCTAGGTTAACTAAAAAAAGAGAGAAAAGACTCAAAAACTGAAAATCAGACATGAAGGGGGGCTATTTAAAACATTGCCACAGAAATAAAAAGCATGCAAAATTAGGTGTGACATAATATTTATATCTAGGCTATATTCCATTTTTCCTATTTGTTCACAAAATGTCTTTTATAAATGTTTTGTTTTGTAAATCCAAAATACAAATCAAGAATCGCACAATGAATGTATTCAGTTATTATTTAACTGAACGTATCCATTTAGTTTATTTTCATGTGAAATAACCTTCCCTCTCCACATTTAATAATAACTTTTTGAAGAATCTAAGCTAACTTTTCTATAGAGCGTTTCAAATTTTGAATCTTATTGTTTCCTCTTGATATTGTTCCTCAACCCCTGCTTTTTCTGAAAACTGAAAGATCTAAAGATGTAATTAGATTCAGATTACACATTTCTGTCAAGAAATCTTCATAGTTATATTGCATATTTCATATTGCCATATAGGGTTGTCCTGTCACAAGTGATAAAACCATTTTTTTACTTAAGCTGTTGACTGCCAGACCTCTCCACTGTAAAAGTTCATGTTTGTGTGTGTAATCAGTAAGTGATTGTGCTGCAATGCAAATACATTATTCTGCAACAACTTTTCAGCCAATAGTTCAACCAGTAGTAAATGAGATTTACTTGCATCAGTGTTTTACACTGGGGATTGGAAAATGGCATATTCTCTTTATCTCATATTTCCTTCTACATTTATTAGCTGTAGTTACTGTTTTAAAAGTTTGTCTTCTCACCCAGGCCACACACACCTTCTCTCTCAGAATACTCCACAACTAACAGTTATCAAAGCCTAGCAAAGTAACAAGATACATCATTAATGAAAGGAGGTAGTACAAAGTAGAGAAAGCTAATAATGTCTGCAAATGCCGCATGAAGTGTAAAACGGAGAAAGATGGAAATGGATGGTAGAAAACAGAACAGGTGAAGGGACTAAAAACAAGTCAGGCAGTCATTTGGTAAATATTATCAAAATACATACAAAAGATAACAATAAAGATAACATGGAATAACTACATCCTGTCACACCACAGTCAAACTGCTGAGAGCCAAAGACAGAACATCATAAAGGTGGTTAGAAAAAAAGCAACAAGGGGGAATCCTACACAGGGGAGTATCAATGCAAATCATGGCTAACTTGTCATCAAACACAATAGAAGTCAGAAAGCCATGGGACAGCAGTTTCAAAGTGCCAAAGTACCAATGTCCATCTAGATTCTACAAATGGAAAAAATGTCTATCAGAAACGATGGCAAAATAAAGGCATTCAGATGAATGAAAATTGATAATTATTTTTATCCAACATATACACACAAAAAAGCTAAAGGAAGTTATTTAGGCTAAAGGGAAATAACACCAGACTGACACTAGACTGTTCTGGAAGACTGAAGAGTACTGAAAGTAATTAATATAACATTATAGCTCTATATATACTTACATACAGATAAAGAATATTTGCTATATATATGTATTATATATTATAATTTTATATATTACATAAACGTGACAATCCTTTTCATGAGTATTTTTAAAAGAGATTTGGCTGTTGAAAGCAGAAACTAATATTTTGTGGCACTTATGAAATATATAGATGTAAAACATATGTTAAAGTGACACAAAGGATAGGAGTTAGGTAAATGGAAGAAATAACACACAAGATGGGAAATGAAAACTGGTTGCTTTCCTGTGCATGGCGGCACAGCCAATCTATTGTGATGAATGGAAGAATTATTCCTATTAAAATTCTACAACACAGCTGGCAATAGTCTTGCATGTTCTTTCCACTGCAACTATTATGGCCTTCTGGCTTGAGTAGAATCATGCTGTCCCAGCTATACAGTCTCTGCATATGTAGTTAGAAGTCACATGGGCCAATGGATTCAAAGAAGCCTATGTTTGAGACCCAATTATGTTTATGGTTGTGTCCTTGAATAATCACTTAATTCCTTCCATTTCTGCATGTAAGAATGAAACATAACTAACCTGAATGTTTTCTATAACGTTTAGGAAAGATATCCATACATCCCCAGTACAGTGCCTGGAATATAGCAGTTTGGAACATAAGTGATAAACACTAAAAGAATAGATGACATGGAAGTGGAAGAAGGACAATTTCTGTGCCTTTTGGTGATGTCATATCTAAAACTAACGGACCAATTTAAGGTCAAATTGAAGCGTCAATTCACATTTCTTCTCCTTTGATGACTTAGCATCCATCCGGTCAGATGACTTTAGAACAGCTCTGTTTATGGAACAGACTGCATCAGAACCAGCAGAAGACAGACACAGTCGCAGATGTTTTTTTGCTAAAGAGCAATCCAAAAAGACAATAGAGAACAAAGGCTGCCAACTCCCCTTCCTGGTCACTCATACAGGGAAACGAGAAAGGAGAGCTTGGCAAGGCAAGACCCAGGTGCCACTTTGTGTATGTGTGTGCTGGGCGAGTGGGGCTAAACAGCCATCTGAGTCCTTAGACTTCCATGTTCTCACCCTGTGGCATGAGCAGCCAGGTATCCAGGACGAATGCTGATGGGAGAGGAAAGCTGAGGGAAACCATGTGCCTTGGAGTCATCAATAGCAAAGTTCAGTGCCAAATGAGGGATGTGCAGCTGTTCGGATTCTTTTGTTCCTTAAAAATAAAACTTGGATTTACTGAAACCCAAATTTATGTTTACCTGCAGGCACTTATCTTTTTGTAAAACCAGGATGGCTTGTCAAACTAAGATCTTGATTGCTTGGAGGTGAGAATTTTAGTGTTTTTTTTTTTTTTAAGAAAAAAAAAACAGGTAAAATGTTAAAGCAATAGATACATGCCACATTGCATATAAAAAAAATAAGCAAATCCTTACAATGAAGATTTAAAACCAAGAAATATATATTACTTTTCCTAACCTGCCAGCTCTGTGAAATCTGTTTATAATGACAATTTGACTTAAAAATCTCACTTTAAAATGTTCATTATATCAGTTTCTTCTTCCAAAATCAGTATCATCCATACTGCCAACTATGATGTATAAACCACAAATGGCTAAAATTTCTTGTGTTTATCTGCCTTTGCTTTTTCCGTTTACTTCAACAGAACTTTCAGGCAGACCATATCCTTTTGTACAAGTAAAACCTAGAAATTTTAAAACCAGGGCAATACTTATTTTGCATTTTTCTATGATTTTGGTCTCCAAATAGTTGCTTTTAAGATGCATCAAGTTATTTACAAAAGCTTTGTCTGTCACCTCCTCATTGCCAGCTTTAATTATAATATATGCATACTTTAAAGCTTTATATGAATTGGTGAAAAAACGCTTTTAGTTTTCCCTTTCACAAAACACTCATTGTGCAACTCTGAGCTTTCAGAGAATATGCTACAATGTCAGAATTTTATGCAAACATCATCATATTGCACATTTTAGTAAATATCATGTTTTATATTTTGGCAACCACAGTCTTTCTTAAATATTGTGTCCTTTAAAATATCTCTTCATGTCTTCACCTGGGCAGGGTCAGAAATGAGTTGTCAGTTAAAACAGTTCTGAGCCAAAGCATCCTACCAACCAAGCTATTTTCGCAAAGAAAGTTAAGCATTTAAAGAAATCCTCTTGAACCTTTCAGGATCAAAATCTCCAAGTAGAGACTTTCTTTTGCAGACATGGTTTACATAAACTACTTGGAGATTTTAAATCTTTATTATTTTAACCTAACTTTTTATTATTATATTATTATTATTATTATTATTATTATTATTATTATTATACTTTAAGTTCTAAGTATACATCTGCAGAACCTGCAGGTTTGTTACATAGATATACACGTGGCATGGTTTGCTGCAACGATCAAACCATTGTCTATATTAGGCATTTCTCCTAATGCTATCCTTCCCCTAGCCCCGCACCCCTCAACAGGCCCCGATGTGTGATGTTCCCCTCCCTATGTCCATGTGTTCTCATTGTGAAACTCCTACTTATGAGTGAGAACATGTGGTGTTTGTTTTTCTCTTCCTGTGTTTGTTTGCTGAAAATGATGGTTTCCACCTTCATCAATGTCCCTGCAAAGAACATGAACCTATCCTTTTTTATGGCTGCATAGTATTTTATGGTGTATATGTGCCACATTTTCTTTATCCAGTCTATCATTGATGGGCATTTGGGTTGGTTCTAAGTCTTTGCTATTGTGAACAGTGCTGTAGTAAACATACGTGTGCATGTATCTTTATAGCAGAAAGGTTTATAATCCTTTGGGTATATGCTCAGTAATGGGATGGCTGGGTCAAATGGTATTTCTGGTTCTACATCCTTGAGGAATCGCCACACTGTCTTCCACAGTGGTTGAACTAATTTACACTCCCACCAACAGTGTAAAAGCCTTCCTAATTCTCCTCATCCTCTTCAGCATCTTTTGTTTCCTGACTTTTTAATGATCGCCATTCTCAATGGTGTGAGATGGTATCTCATTGTGGTTTTGATTTGCATTTCTCTAATGACCAGTGATGTTGAGCTTTTTTTCATATGTTTGTTGGCCGCATAAATGTCTTCTTTTGAGAAGTGTCTGTTCATATCCTTTGCCCACTTTTTGACGGGGTTGATTTTTTCTTGTAAATTTGTTTTGGGTCTTTGTAGATTCTGGATATTAGCCCTTTGTCAGATGGCCAGATTGCAACAATTTTCTCCCATTCTGTAGGTTGCCTGTTCACTCTGATGATAGTTTCTTTTTTGCTATGGTTTCTTTTTTGCATAGCAAAAAATTAGATCCCATTTCTCAATTTTGGCTTTTGTTGCCATAGCTTTTGGTGTTTTAGCCATGAAGTATTTGTCCATGCCTATTTCCTGAATGGTATTGCTTAGGTTTTTTTCTAGGGTTTTTTATGGTTTTAGGTCTTATGTTTAAGTCTTCGATAAAAGTCAACGCCCCTTCATGCTAAAAACTCTCAATAAACTAGATATTGATGGAACATATCTCAAAATAATAAGAGCTGTTTATGACAAACCCACAGCCAATATCATACTGAATGGGGAAAAGCTGGAAGCATTCCCTTTGAGAACTGGCACAAGACAAGGATGCCTCCTCTCACTACTCCTATTCAACATAGTATTGGAAGTTCTGGCCAGGGCAATCAGGCAAGAGAAGGAAATACAGCGTATTCAAATAGGAAGAAAGGAAGTCAAACTGTCTCTGTTTGCAGATGACATGATTGTATATTTAGAAAACCCCACCGTCTCAGCCCAAAATCTCCTTAAGCTAACAAGCAACTTCAGCAAAGTCTGAGGATACAAAATCAATGTGCAAAAAATCACAAGCATTCCTATACACCAATAATAAGAGAGCCAAATCATGAGTGAACTCACATTCACAATTGCTAAAAAGAGAATAAAATGCCTAGGAATACAACTTACAAGGGATATGAAGGACCTCTTCAAGGAGAACTACAAACCACTGCTCAAGGAAATAAGAGAGGACACAAACAAATGGAAAAACATTCCATGCTCATGAATAGGAAGAATCAATATCGTGAAAATGGCCATACTGCCCAAAGTAATTTGTAGATTCAATGCTATCTCCATCAAGCTACCATTGACTTTCTTCAAAGAATTAGGAAAAACTACTTTAAATTTCATATGGAACCAAAAAAGCTCCCATACAGCTAAGACAACCCTAAGCAAAAAGAACAAAGCTGGAGGCATCACACTACTGAATTCAAACTATACTACAAGGCTACAGTAACCAAAACAGCATGGTACTGGTACCAAAACAGATATATAGACCAATGGAACAGAACAGAGGCCTCAGAAATAGTGCCACACATCTACAACCATCTGATCTTTGACAAACCTGACAAAAACAAGCAATGGGGAAAGGATTCCCTATTTAATAAATGGTGTTGAGAAAACTGGCTAGCCATATGCAGAAAACCTCACACCTTATACAAAAATTAACTCAAGATGGATTTACCTAACTTTTTTTGAAGGCACATATACCTAAAGAATACATCTACAAGAGCTAAGATAACTTAATTTTAAGTCATTAAAAAGAGGAAGCCCTTCACCTATATTAAAATCAAGAGAATCTCAAAGCTTAAACTTTCCTTTCTTTCACTAAACATTTCTGAACTCCTCCCTCTGCCATGTACAACTTGAGTACAAAATCATTTGTTTAATCCAATGTTTTCTTTCCTAAATAAAAGTGACACCTACTTTGCAGACACTCACCTTGAGGACGGAAGAGCACATTTCACTTTATTCTTGGATCTTTCAAGTAATAAACACAGGCTATGTCAATACAAGGCATCTCTTAAGAGAATAGCATTTTAAAGGAACTTGATTGCAAATGTACCAGTCTAGTGAGGAAAAGCATAGGGCATACATGCTTGTTACCTAAGATCAGAAATACAAACACTACCTGTCTTCAGTTTCTTTGAAAAATATTTTATTTTTGGCTTATGTCATCATTCTGTCTCCACACTACCCCTCAAATTTACACTTTTTTCCTTTCAGTGCTAAAGGCTAATGGCATTTCACTTCCACTAAAGTGAAAGGGGGCTGCACAGGGGTTATTGCAATTCTTCCCAATGTAATGTTCAACATCTCCTCTCACTCCTTAGACCAAAGTAATGTTGGTATTTTCTGTGAAAAGGCGCAAACCTTCAAGATCTTTTCTCATAAAATCAATTACAGAGCTCCATATCATAGTCACCAAGCATTTTTTTTTTCACAATGAGAAAATTTCAAAAAAGGTTTCTTAAGGCTATGCCTACACATACAAACTAAGGTGGAGAACTGAGTAATTAATAAAATATCTTGGATGTTAAAGTAACTTGGTATGGATTATTCAGACAGTGAGTACACAAATATTCTGAGTGTTTTTATCTTGAACATGAATAACTGCTTCCACTTCATTTTATCCAGAAGTCTGAGGACCAAGGCTAGAGCTACCTGATGAAAAGAATCAGACCATTTTTCAACTCAGTAAACTATGTCAGGTTAGGATTTTAGTATTCCAAGTATGAAAATGAGCAAATCAGTCAAAATTGAATGTGTGCTAATCCTCTTTTTCATCTTTAAACAAACACAGTAAAAGCTTTTGGCCCAAGATGGGTGGGTTACCTGAAAAGCATTGCATTACAGATGAAACCTTAGTCTAATTTTTGCCTTACCACTAAAGAACTGTACAAAGTGGACGACATGCTTTAAGTCTCTTTATTATTGTAGAATTTAGTTACTTTTGTTCTAAAGTAGAGATAATGCAGTTTTACCTTTTTATAATATACCTCACAGAAATGGGAGATAAGATTCTAGATCTAGAATTTCATTTTCAATTGCATTCCATAATTATATGAAACAAGATGCAGGGAAAGCATTCTTTTTTCCAGTTCAAATTGCCAAGATACTTCTACAGTACACCTCCTTTCATTCTTCTTGATGCTATGTAATTTAAATATGCTATGTAATTGATTCAGCAAAATAAAGAAAGCTCAATATGTAAATTATACTTTTTGCCATGTTCACATGACTTGAACTAATATGAATACATTTATTTAGCAACTGTGTGTTAGTATTGAGATATTGAAGCCTTATCTGTCTTATACCAACACTTTTCTTGATAATTTTTCTTTCTTTTTTGGACTTAAACATTTTACATTATTTTTCTAGACAAGCAAAGTCATCACTATCAAAGTTAATGACCTTCAAACTAGCAAAATTATAAAACAAACCTCAAAGATAAATGAAAACAAATATAGTTAAGCAGATAATGGTGGAATAACTCAGAAACTTTCAAATTGTCAAATCTTTAAAGTCAGGAAAATTATATTCAAAGTAGTGAGATGAAACATTACTAATATCAGTAAAAAAAATTCTAGTATTTTAAAAATTTATAGAAAATAAAAAAAGTCAAACGAAAATAGTTTTGAAAAAGGAGAAAAGGTAGACTTCAGAACAAGTAAATTGCAACTTATTCCTTTCCCCAGTTATAGCTCAAAATTTTAGACATGCTTTTTGTTATTTAAATAGGAGGTGGTTAAGTCATATCGAAATACTTTTATTTTCATTACAATAGAGAAGTAGTATATATAAGGGACAAACTTATGGAAATATTTTGAGCAAACAGGTTACAGTAATAATGAGTTGATTTACAGTTAGTAGAGTAACTGTAGTCAAAGATTGGCCAGGTGTGGTGGCTCATGCCTGTAATCCTAGTACTTTGGAAGGCCGAGGAGGGCAGATCACCTGAGCTCAGGAGTTCAAGACCAGCCTGGGCAACATGGTGAAACCTTGTCTCTACTAAAAGTACAAAAAATTAGCCAGGTATGGTGGTGCATGCCTGTAATCTCAGCTACTCAGGAGACTGAGACATGAGAATCGCTTGAACCCGGGAGGTGGAGGTTGCAGTGAGCCGAGATCTCACCATTGCACTCCAGCCTGGGTGACAGAGGGAGACTCTGTTTCAAACAAACAAACAAAAAAAGATAATGACTTAAAGATATGATGTCAGCTTAAAGAGATGTTTCCTGAGCATATGTTCTAACCTCTCTATAGAACATTAAAGTCAATGACAGGAATGAATACACAGTTTTCAAACCTACATATAACACATTCAGGATTTTAAAAGATCTTAACACATGGAAACATACGATGAAACTAAGAGCTAAACCTAAGAGGGATATATGTAAATTACCATATTGGTTTTAACAATCTGCTGCACAAGAACTTCATGGAGATTGAACTTAATCATAGTTTATGTAAGTAATATCAAAGTCTTTTAGAAGAAAACTCAGCATGTATTAATCAACAGTGGTATTATGACTATTTTAGTAGCCAACATTTTGTTACTAATCATCAGTACAATTATACTCACCAGAGAAATGGATGTAATAACTTTAATGTACTTTTTATTCAACAAAATTAGTTCTAGGCAGTAGCATAGTTGGAAGGGGGCAAGATAGGAGGAGATCATACGGACAATGGAAAAGATTTTTCAAATGAAACAATTCCTTAAGAACTTTCAAGATAATGTGATGGCATGCTGGTCGCTAGCATTATGAAATAAGGATGTTGGAGAAAACACGGTGAGGCAAGATCATGAAATTGGCTGAGTTCACTCAGAGGTCTACAGTTTTCTATCTGTATGTGCTTTCACCAAGCATAACACAGGCCAAACCAACCTGAGCTGGGCCATTCTCTGTTCCACACTCTATTTCCCCTCTTTTTTTAGTTTGGCCATGCTTCCAGTTCTTGGTGCAATATTGTAAGAATGATGTTGACAAACAACGCATTTTAAGATGAATGAGCGATTAAGGGTCTAAAACCTATATCAGTTGAAGAATGGCTGGCATACCTATGCATATTTAATTTCTCAAGTGAAACCATAGGGAAGAACGATGTGTTCAGTGTTTTAGCACATTTAAGAGACTGCTAAATAGAACAGAGATTAGAATACATCTGTGAAACTTTGATAAGACAGGATGAATGGGTGAACATTAAAACAAAGTAGATTTTGTTTCAATTATAAGGATAGAGTCTAAAAAGAAAAGAAAATAGAAGGAAAAAACAGAGACTGAACCACATTTTTAAAAAATGACATGAATGCTCAAGAAGACATTGTCAAAAATTGTAGAAAAAATTTTTATATTAAGTTGGAAGATATGCTAAATCTCCAAAAGGATCCATCAACCACAAAGATTCTAGAATCCTCAATATATAGGCTAGAATCAGAGTAATAGGAAAAAAAGTTGGACAGTCTTTCATATGCTCCATTGGGTGTTAACATTCTCTGCTCTTCTGTCAATAACACCTACATGATTATATTTTCTAAAATTACTATACCTCATTCTTGGTCATGTCCTACCATACCATAAGGAAATATTATCTGAATATTGTTACTAGATGAAGGGATGTCTTTTTCCATGCAGAATTTCCTGTAAAGTCATATTTTAATTTTTTCAGCATAAATTGTATGTGTGCACATGCACATGAGCATGCTTTAATTCTTTCAAAGTATAGAGAAAGAGATACACAGATGTCACTTTGTGGATTTCTTGTTTTCTTTTTGAATGATGATAAATTGGGTTCAATAAGTTGTATTTTGGGCATGATACCCTCAGCCTAGAAGCATAGTAAATCATTACCTGATTATAACCCATTATACTTGCTCTAAGAATCCCCCATAAACACAGCAATGTTTATATCATAAAGGGACATCTTTATAATGATTCATAGGACAAACTTCTCTCAGGTCTCAATCTTCACAATATGAATGTATTTCATCTTTATTAATATTCTGAATTTTTTAACATATGAATTATAAGAATGTTTGATTCCTCATATTTCTCCTTTTACACTGGATACCAAAAATTCAGAGATAAATTGGTGATCCACTAGTCATAACTTTGATTTTAAATATTATGTTACCCTAGCTTTATCTTACTGCTTTTCAGTTCTTATTTTTCCATTTGCCAATCTCTTTTCACTTTAAAAAAATTCTGTTAGATTTTATTTTATTATCATTAATACTTTTTGGAACAACCTGGACATTTAATAAATAAATATATAGATGAATAAATAAATAAATTACATATCAAATAAATGTGTCATTCACAACTTCTCAATGCTATAGAAACTTTACACAAGCCTACTGTAGCATCTAAAAGAAAGATTAAAAATTAGTATTTTTTTCAGAACAGCTTAGAGTAGTACCATGCTCCTATTTTATATTCATTATTTTCACTATGGAAACTTTGTCTCATAACTCCTCTTTCTCCTCCTTCAATGCCAACAAATTTCTCACTGTGAGGGCAATGATGCTGTCATAGTGAGACTCTGTGGAACTGTTTTCTCCTATGGAGTAGTCTTCATGTGCACCTGAACATGTTACTATGCAAACCCTATCCTTTAAGACAGAAGAAAATAGCCCTTTAAATTAACTCTTTGCATATCGAAAACACTAGGCTCAACAAATCCAACTATAGAATGCCTAAGTTTTCTTCACTCTATAGCTTGTGTAATGAACTTTATAGCCATTATAACTCTATTCCAGGCCATGCATGACCATAACTTAGGAAACAGGATAATGGTGGGAGCTGTGCTGTTTTTGTCTGTACACATTCTAATCAATCAAGGGAAGCCAAGACAATTTTTCAAGAGTTGAAAATAGACAGGAGTCAATTACTTTTATAGGAAAACTGAATTGTTTCTTAAGGCCTCTACATAAAATATTTATTCAGCATGACTAATTGCTGATTGAAAATAATTCTATGGAAAAGAAATTGCTTATTCTGGATGCAAGGAGGATAAAGCCAGTAGCTTATATTTTGTCCATTTCTTTTGCTTACAGGTAAGTGGGTATTTACTTATTTAACAAAGTTAATGTAACTTAGATGAAATATGTTTTCCCCTGAGGTATTATGCTTTGCTATAAAGAAATATCAAAGAAATTTAAATGTGTTCTCAATTAAATGCATTGGCCCAGATTCCAGAGCTGAGCTGAATTTCTCAAATTATAGCTCAAATGCATCAATCTTCCTATGAAGTTTATTGTTCTGTAAGGGAATTGGCTAAGAGAAACTTCAACACTGGTGGGCTTTAAGGATGCAGTAATAGCTCTTGAATGACCATCATCATAGAAAATGGTTTGAGATAGAGATTAAATTTGACTTAAACTCCTTCAATATGCACAGGTCAAAGGACTCTGCACAGGTCAAAGGATTCTGAGATTTTCCTTTAAGAGAAAAATCTCAAACCAAGTGATAATAATAAAACACCTCCATAAGAATGATGTCTGGCTAATTTCACCCAGAAAATATCATGACATTTAAGCCCAAAGTGACTGGTAAAATCTTTCTCTTTTTGATTAAAACAGCAGCCTTCGATAAACAACACATTGGATCTTCAAGTCTCTGGTCACTATTCTTAGTTGGTGTTTTGTTTTGTTTGTTGTTTCTTTAATTCACCTTGGGATCCTTGTGCTGTGGCTTTCTCACTAACATTGTCACTTTTCTAAGCCACAGCATCCAATGCAGCTTCCCTCATTATTCCCGGTATTGCTATTTCGTGTCAGCTTCAAAAATGGAAGCACACAAGGAAAGACATGTTCATGCTGTGTGTGTCTTGGTTCCATAGCCCTTACAGGGTTGATTCGTATGGAAATCCTAACTGTAGGAATAATATTTCAGTGAGAGAAAGATGCAGAAAAATCTTTATTGATGAGTAAAGGGCTAGGTCATTGCATTCACATCTATCCCACTGCAAATGAAATCTACAATTTAAATGGCACACCCTGTAAATTCAGCCATGAGGATGCCAGATAGGCAGATTCTGGCTGCCCCATTGGGTGTGTCAGATACTTGAATTCCTCAGTTGTTTTCTACCCACAGAGATAGCACCATAGTGTTTTATTTAATTGTTTCCCATAATATCAGCTGCCTGAAGGTAACACTTCTACATATTATGATAAATTATGGAGGATACCATATGTGGTTAGGCTAGCCGTGTCTTAACGAGCAGGTATAGGCAGTAGTTATGTTAATACTTCTCTATCTGTCATTTATAGGAAAGAGTCATCAGTGGCAGCAAAATTTCTCTGTGCTACCATTCATGTTGTCTTTTACTCTTCTACATAGCAATTAATATAAATTCTAAGGGCCTTTACCTAAGGTGCTCTATTTTTTTTTTCACTGTGGTAGTGTGTAGGCTAGTTTGTCTGTGATTGTGCAATTTGGTCACAATGTCTCTTTACAATCAACTAAAACACAGCTATGGTCCTTGAGCAAGTATATTAAAACAGCAGACATTTATATAATGCACACAACAGGAAGCATAAAAAGGGAAAAGGAAAACATTCTTTGTTTAGATGTATCTTGAAATGTAAGTAAGAACACAGTGTGTATTTGATCTCTTTAAAACTTCACATTACTTTGTGTAGTTACCAGCTTGAATTGTAAATGTATTTTTATTCTTATGGAAAACGTCTTAGAAAAACAATAAATCATGCTAGACTTGAACATGTCACTTTCTTACCTGTGTTTGTCATTTTGAATATTTGTCATGAGTGAGGCTACAGTTTCCCTTATGGGACTCATATTTATAAAATTCTGTGCTGTTAATGCAGGTCCTCAAATTAAAATGAATTAGTTTTTTTTTTTAAATAAAATGGGGGTTAAAGCAAAATCACCCTAGTATACTCACTAGATACTCACTGTACCTCACTGCAATGTGAAATCTCTGTTTCCCCAAAACACATGTATTTTTCTCATTAGAAAAGATATTTTTCAATGACTTGGAAGCTGAGCATAAGAGGGAAGAAGTAGTGAAACGAAAGTAGTTTCAGGACCAAGGGATGTCACTTGGGGTTTATTATTTGCCTAGGGATCCACCTTATATTTTTCTCATCAGATTGCATGCACACGTAAGTTTAATTGTCTTACAAGGCACCCTTATGAAATTTAGCACGTTACTGTCTCCCTGGGTGGGTAAGTCAATCCACCATGACAAAAGGAGCATTTGAAGAGGCAAGTAACTTTTCAAAATCAATACAATATACCTAATCTTGTTAGGGCAAAAGAAGATCAACTTTATTCAATGCTGGATTGAGTAATTAGACAAGAATAGGACTGCAATTTAATTAACTTAGCATATCTGCCTTGTATCTGACATGGCAATATTTCTTGACATATGGAAATTAGAGACTTTCTTAATTATTCTCCAAGGAGAAAAAACAAAAAAAAATGTGTATTTGCTAGCTACATTTTAATTTTAATTGAAGTTTCTGTGATAATGGAAATGTTTGATATTTGCACGGTCTAATGCTATAGGCATTGACCATATATGGCAACTGAGCACTTAGTGGAATTGAAAAACTAAAATTTTATTTCATTTTAGTTAATTTATATTTAAATAGTCACATGTGGCTAGTGGCTGTCACACTGGATTGTGCAGTTCTAAGTACTAGAGAAGCAGAACAATTTTCATGGAGGGAAGTTTGGGGAGAGTATCAGAGGACAGAGGAAAAACTTATGCAATACCCGAAAGTGAAACAAGGGAAACAGTAAATAGACAATTTGAGTAGAGCAAATACTGCATAAAGGCATGTTTCAAAGGGAGAAGAAAGGAATTAAACCAGGGAGCTGGTATTTTTCAAGCCTGGCCACAGGTTTTTAAGCAGATTATTAATTCCCAAATAAAAGCTTAAGCAGTTCCATCATGCTCCCATCACAAGGTTGTGCTAACTTGACACAACTAATAAGAAATACAGAATTGGTTTTGATAACCCTTAATAAAGCTATATTCTGTGTACATATATATATGTATGCACATACATATGTGTATAACTGCCTCCTAAAAAAATATTGAGAAAGACAAGTTCTATTTGGAGCATTTTGGAGGACTAGGTTAAAGCTCTCCATTTATTTTCAACTGGGTTATCGGATCTTGGCATTCCATGGCCAAGAGCAACAATTGCTTCAAACACAGTCCCAAAATAATGGTTATTTTTTTTTAGAAATTTGCTGAGCAGTTGCATCGCAGAATATTTCTTTTTGGACACAGCATTTTCAGTATTTTGGTATCTCAGTTACTATTGATTGCTCTATCCACAGGAAGTTGATGACTAAAGAGAAGGCTGTGAGGATACAAAATATCACAACAGAAAAGTTTTTGGAGTTCATCTAATAAGTAAGTGCCTAGATTCTAGTCTAAGCCTCTCATTTTCCATCTGGGGACACTGAGGCTCAGTGAAGTCAAGTTGATGGTGGTGGTTTGTCCATTTAACAAATATTTCTTGAATCCTTCAGTGGTCTAAGCATCCTTTTCATTTCTGTAGATGTGATAGAGAGCCAAATCTCCCCCTTGTATTCATGGAGCTTACCTTCTAGTGAGGAGGGACATAATATATACCTAAACATATCCAATAATCAATTTGTTCTTCCAACAATATTTTATTGTTGGAATGCTTATTATGTACCAAACATGGTTCTAAAAACTGGGAATATAGCATCAAAAACAATAGAAAAGAAAGCAAAATAGGCAAATAACTTGTGCCCTACTGGGGTTTCCAATCTGGTAAGGAAAGAGGAAACAAACAAGGTAAATCAGTAAATAATTATCATATGTTCAATAAATTAAAAAATTAAAGAACAAAAAGGAGATTCAGGGAGGAATGAAATTTGGCAGACTGGCCAGGCAAGTTTTACTGAGAAGATGACACCGGAATACAGGCCTTAAAGGAAGGGAGGAAGCACTTCCTTCGATATCTGATGGAAGACTTTTTCTGACAGAGGAGGAAAAGCAAGTGCAAAGACTCTGGGGCTGAAACATGTCCTCCATGTTGAAGGAACCACAGGAAGCCAGCATGGCTGGAGTAAGGGAAACAAGGTGGAGGGAGAGTGGAAATGCACTCAGGAAATTAATAGCCCTGGGAGACCAGGTAACGTCTCATTTTTTATAACAGTGGGATTGCTTTTATTTTGATTAAAAAAGAAAAGTTGTTAGGGGTTTTCATTAGTAGAGTGATGTGATGTATGTTGTATGTAATAAGATCACTCAAACTACTTTATGGTAAACTGACTAAAGAGGATCAGGGACATAAGCAGAGATGTCAGTGAGAATGCAATTGCAATAATCCAGGTAAAACAATGATGGCAGCAAATGTGGTGAGAAGTGGTAACAGCTTACGTAGAGGTATATGTCTACATCTAATTGTCTGTACATCAATATCTTTTTAAAGCAGAACCAATATCATTTGTTGATGGGGTTGAGTGAAGAGTATGAGGGAGAAAAAGATAAATTTTAAAAAATGAACATTTTTGGCCTGAACAACAGAAAAATGGAGCTGTCACAAACTGCTACTGTGTTTGTGCGCATTTGAGTCATGCTGAGTTATAAAAAAGAAGAAAGAAAAAATAAGTGGTGAGTGAAAAAGCTGAGGTGAAGGTATAAGTTTAGGTGGAATAGTCTGTATGAGTTGCCTTTTTATTTTATTATTTTATTTTATTTTGTTGAGACAGAGTCTTGCTCTGTCGCCCAGGCTGGAGTGCAGTGGCGAGATCTCAGCTCACTGCAACCTCTGCCTCCTGGGTTTAAGCGATTCTCTTGCCTCAGCCTCTGGAGTAGCTGGAATTACAGGTGCACACCACTACATCTGGGTAATTTTTATAGTTTTAGTAGAGGCAGGGTTTTGCCATGTTGGCCAGGCTGGTCTCGAATTCCTGACCTCAGGTGATCTGCCTCCCTTGGCCTCCCAAAGTGCTGGGATTACAGAAGTTGCCTTTTAATATAGACCTAAAATAAATTCTCTTCTGGAGAAGGAAGAGTGCTCCAAGGAGAGCATAGAACAAGGGCAAGGGTCATGAGAGAAGAGTTCTCTGGGCATGTTTGAGAAACAATTAGGAGGCCATGGTGGCTACAGAGAAGGAGTCAGAGCATCAGTGAGGTAATAGAGGTAGATTATGTGACCCTGCAGGCCATGGAAAATAACTCTTATATTCCCTGCATGAGACAGGAAGCCTCTGGAGGGTTTTGAGCAGAGAAGCTGATATGACTTGAATATGATTTTTTAAAGGTCACTCTGGATTGCCATCGAGTGTCAAGACAGCAGAAAGACCAGTTTAGAAGGCTACTTTAGCCATACAGGGTGAGAGATAATGGACGTGGTAGGGGTAGAAATGGTAAGAAATATTTCTATTCTGGATGTATTTTGAATATAAATCTAACAGCAATTTCAGAAGAATTGATGGTGAGAAAAAGAATTAAGTCATGGATATCTCCAGGTTTGTAGGTCTAAGCAACTAGAATAATAGGGCTGTTACTTATTGTCATAAGAAGATTGTGGGACAATCAGCCTTGAAGGGAATGATTAATTTGTTTGGTCTTTGACAGATTCTAATTTAGAATCCTATTAGACATCTACTATGCAGTGTGAGAAGGTAGTTGTTTATAGCAGTTTAGAGTTCATAGGGGAAGTTAATGCCGGAGATACACACACACATACACGGGCGCGTGCACAAACACACACACACACACACACACACTTGCCATTGGCGTATAGATAGAACCAGAAGATGTCACTTATGAAACTGATGTATATGGATGTTGATAGAGAAAAAAAGAGGACCAAGATCTAAGCCCTGAGACACTCCAACATTAGATATCAGGAAAATGAAAAGCAAAGTGACTGAAAAGGAACAGCCAGTGAAGCAGGAAAAGAACCACAAGTGGTAAACTGGAATCCAAGGGGAATAACACATTTCAAGCTGAAGAAACAGATCAACAATAGCAAATACTGTTCATAGGTCCAATAAAATGAGCATTGACAATTGACCATTCTAAATGACAACTCAGCAGTCATTGATGACATCTATGAGATCATTTTTGATGTTACAGTAGGTACAAAATTATAATTTGACTGCTTTGAATAAAGCTTGTCAGTTAGTGTCACTGGAAGTCAAGTGAGTCTTATGAATCTTAGTGCTATACAGTTTCTCCAATTCCAGCCTGGTCCCCAATGTTTCTATGAAATATTAATGTGTACCCACAGGCATCTATCTACAGTTGATTCTTACAATAATAATAATCTTAACTAAAATAGGTTTTGAAGTTATGTAAAAATAATACCGAAAACATGTATAGTTATTATAGTTACATAATATGCCATGCACACCAGATACAAAGAAATCACAGTAGAAATTGGCCAATGAATGAATAGCCACTTCTTAACTAAAATTCAATTAACTTTTTTTTTTTTTTTTTTTTTGAGACGGAGTCTCGTTCTTTCACCCAGGCCGGACTGCAGTGGTGCTATCTCGGCTCACTGTAACCTCCGCCTCCTGGGTTCACGCCATTCTCCTGCCTCAGCCTCCTGAGTAGCTGGGACTACTGGTGCCTGCCACTGGATCTGGCTAATTTTTTGTATTTTTAGTAGAGACGGGGTTTCACTGTGTTAGCCAGGGTGGTCTCGATCTCCTGACCTCGTGATCTGCCCGCCTAGGCCTCCCAAAGTGGTGGGATTACAGGCTTGAGCCACTGTGCCTGGCCAATTCAATTAATTTTTAAGCATCATTCATCAAAGAAGCAATTCCTTGATTTGTCTTTGTTTTAATGATTAGCAGTCTATAGTATGTCTTAGTTTGCAATTTTAATATATGTTTGTTATTCAATATTATTCAAAGTCTAATATTTATAAGACACAAAGATCTGTGGGTGAAAAAAGAAGTTTCAGCCAGGTGCAGTGGCTCACACCTGTAACCCCAGCACTTTGGGAGGCCAAGGCAGGTAGATAGCTTGATCCCAGGAGTTCAAGACCAGCCTGAACAATGTAATGAAAGCTCATCTTCACAAAAAATTCCCCCCCAAAAAATTAGCTTGGCATGGTGGTACACAATTGTGGTCTCAACTACCCAGGAGGCTGAAGTGGGAGGACTGCTTGAGTCCAGGAGGCAGAGGTTGCAGTGAGCTGAGATTATGCCACTATGCTCCAGCCTAGCCGACAGAGTGAGATCCTGTCTCAATAAATAAATAAATAAATAAAACTTTTAGATACAAAACAGTTTCTTGGCATTGAATAGAATAAATCAAGGAAAGATTAACAATTAAAGACTGTGTTTTTCAAAATCTCAGAAGCCAAGCGGTCTAATAGAAATTAATAAATAGTTTCTGGAAAACCCTAATTCAAAGGTATTCCATTGCTGAACCATAGTCTGTTTTATTATTTCTGATGCAGCAGATGTCTGCAAACAAGACTGTTATGCAGCATTAAAGTGGAAAGAAATCATCCCCAACAAACACAATGTTTTGTCCAGTATAAAAACATAATTCAATAAAATTATTCATAATATTAACGATAAAGGAAGAAATCACTTAAAAGGACTGGTCTCATTAAAATGTTCTTTGTGTTAGTTTTCATATCAACATATAAAGTGAATTATTTTACTTTACTTTGTTCTTTTTGATCATAATTAATATTACTTAATTGTTCTAAATTATCTTTATAATGTTTCTTAAAAAGCATATAAATGAGAACTCAGTTATTTCTTATAGCAGAGAATTCATCTGTGAGATCATTTATTTCTCCATTTTAATCCAAATGAACCTTACATCTCATGAGCTTTGCTTGATATTCTGCCAATGTTTAAATGTGTTCTGTAGTCAAATAAGCTTAGGAAATAATTCCCCACAGCGAGAAGCCTGAGGCGTAGTAATAGGCTTTTGGCTACATGTTGGTCACCACAAAACAGCACTGGAGGAATTCAGGTTATAGAATTTTGTTAGTATTAAGTGCTTGATTTCTAAAATTTTTTTTAAAAATCAGACATATTGTTGCACTTACATAACGCAGGCAGGTGGGTGAATAAAGATCAAACCAGGGAATTAATAAATATCAAATTATTTTAATAGTACAAGATTATTCAGGGAATGTAGGCAACAGTAAATTTTTAATTGGAAAGAAAAATAGAATTTGTAGTTGTGATAAATCTAGATCTAGAGAAAAACTAAGATTTACTGAAGGTTAGAAACAGAATATACGTATTTAGTTTCTTTTTTTTTTTTGAGTTCCATAAATTTATTTCTTAGCAAGTCTATTAAATTATAACAAAGTTATGTACAAATTATAATAAAGTACCCAATGAGAGTTTGTAAAGTAGGTCACAATGTAGTTGAAATGTCATATAGTTTCCTTGAAAAATACTTGAAAATAATACTTCTATACTTATTTAACAGTATTTAAAGCAAGTCTTTAATTGAGTAGCCATAGTAGGTATAAAAGCACTGTTGGAAATGGCAGACAAAAAGCAAGTAAGTTTCTTTTTAAAAAATATAATTCTGGGCCAGGTAGAGTGGTTTACTTAAGCCTGTAATCCCAGCACTTTGGGAGGCCGAGGCAGGTGGATCACCTGAGGTCAGGAGGTCGAGACCAGCCTGGCCAACATGGCGAAACCCTGTCTCTACTAAAAATACAAAAAAAAAAAAAAAATAGCTGGGCGTGGTGGCACACACTTGTAGTACCAGCTACTTGGAAGGCTGAGGCAAGAGAATCACTTGAACCCAGGCAGTGGAGGTTGCAGTGAGCCAAGATCACGCCAGTGCACTCCAGCCTGGGCGACAGAGTGAGACTCCATCTCAAATAATAATAGTAATAGTAATAATTCTGGACCTGTTAATTTTTAGTCACTAGGCCAGTCACCAGGGATTCTGAGATGAGTCTTCACAAAGAAGATCACCTAGGTCAATGGTTCTCAGTGTGTAGTTCCCAGACCAGCAACATCAGCATTGCCTGGGAACCTGTGAGAAATGCAAACTTTTAACACCCAGATTTACTGAATCAGAAATTCTGAGGTTGGTAACCTATAATTGGTGTTGTAATGAACCTTCCAGGTGGCTCTGATGTATGCTAGAGCATGAGAACCTCCAACCTAGCTAATCATTCTGATCTCATAGGTGAGGAAATTCAGACCCAGATTAGCAGGTGATTTGGGAATATGGATTAAAATTTAGGAATTTTCTAGTCTCCACTGCATCAATAATTCTGCTTAGAACACTTGAGAACACATTAGTTTGCCCACTCAGCATCCATTTGGTTGTTTTTATTTCTATTAGAATAATGGTTCTGTTAAAGGACTTCTTACTCTACATTTTTAGGTTCCAAAGAAAAATGGCCGTATTCTTGGATCATACTTTTTCTAAGCAAATCAGAGTAGTAGCAATGTTTGTGTTATTTATTCATATAGGAAAGAGTATGTGACCCAATTATTGCCAGTGAGAAAAAAGGGAAACTTTTGGGAGATATTTTCTAACTTCTGAGAAGAAATTATGAGAAGATGAAATACCTCTTCTTCCTATGGCATTGCGATTTTTGGGTAGAATGCCTGGGACTCCTACAGCCCTTTTGTTACTAAATGAGTGGTTCTAAGGGCAAATCCAAACTTCTGAGAACATTATGATATTTACATGTAAAGAAATTATAATACCCATGATATGACTGAGCTACTAAAACAACCTGAAACAGTCAGCCAACTATATAAAGTGCCTTTCCTGATATCCATCCTCCCCTGGGGTTTTGAATTATTGACATAATAAAGGCCTTTATGGTTTAAGCCAGTATGAGTCAAAGTTTCTGCTACTTATATTTGAAAACATCTTGGACATAGGAATTTTAACACTATCTTATTGGGGCTCCTTAATATCTGGTTTGCAACTCATATTTGTAAATCATAACAGAAATAAATGCACCATGCTAAAAAAGATAAAGAAATAAAATATTTTGCATCCCTCACCCTACTTCCTCCTCTATTCTTGAAATGTAAACATTTTTAACCCTTTCTGTTTTGATAGTCTTTATCATAATTATAAATAATATTTCTAACTTTACTGACTAGTAAATTTAAAATATACATTTTTTCTGATATGAAATATAATTATTATCCTTCTTACACAACTTTAATTTCCCTTTCTGTCACCTATCTCCAGATTTTAATTTATTATATTATTATTTTAGTTCTGTTAGCAGTTACTTTTATAATTTTAACTAAGAAAATTTATTCTCTAGTTTTGATTCAACAAAATTAAGTAGTACACGTTGATTACCCAGTACATTAGATGAAGAAATAGTAACACTTCTCTGGTACCACTTCTCTCCTTTCTTTCCATATCTGCAAACTCTTTTATCAATGTTCAAAACAGGTACATTATTTTTCTGGAATATTTCTTTTCTTTTCTTTTTTTTTTTTTGGACGCAGAATCTTGCTCTGTCACCCAGGCTAGAGTGCAGTGGTGTGACCTCAGCTCACTGCAACCTCCAACTCCCGGGTTCAAGCAATTATCCTGCCTCAGCCTCCCGAGTAGCTGGGATTACAGGTGCCCGCCACCGCGCCCGGCTAATTTTTGTATTTTTAGTAGACATGGGGTTTCACCATCTTAGCCTTTTTCTGAGCAAATCAGAGTAGTGAATTCCTGACACTGTGATCTACCCGCCTCAGCCTCCCAAAGTGCTGGGATCACAGGCATAAGCCACCATACCTGGGCTCTTCTGGAATATTTCTAAATTTGAAAACACTGAAAATCATTATTCCTTTACATTTGAATGATCCAAATGTTGTTCCACAAAGAATTGAATAGGACTGGAATCAGAAACTGAGGCATAATTCTATCCACATAAATCTATGCCACTTAACATGGAATTTCCAGGCATTAAGATCAAATAGATTCCTTTCCATTTCATCACGTCACATCTTAGTTTGTTTCATATTTGAATCATGACATTCTCGTTTTTCTTTTCCTAGAATATCCAATCACTTTTTCATTACCTTCTGGAAATAAGAGAACTACAGGTTCATCTTATTAAGGCTTCTAACTCTCTCAATTTTTTTCTTCCATAAGTCCAAAATGGTATCTTTTAAAAAGCTCTTTTTACTTCTTGGTCTAAATTGGACAGATAAAAGTCTATGTCAGCTGTACATATGTCTTTCTGAGATTGTTTTTCAAATAAAATGTGGGTTACTTTTACTGCTTGGATCTAATATTTTCTTTTTTGTTGGGTTTCTCTTTTATTGTTTTACTGTATCATGATGTTAAGTAAGTGTTTTAAAGATTTGTATAAAACTAAACATTCTGTCTTCGCAAATCTCAAAAATATGCTTCTTTTGTTCTCATATCTGATTTATACTTTTCAGATTCAAATTCTGAGTATTTGCTTTGCTTCATTAGTTTCTAGCAATTAATAACACTCTTAGAAGTCTGATACCAAGGTGAAAATTTTGTGTTTCTAGATATTCTCATTTCTTCTCCAGAGAATTGAATTTTCTCTTTATATTTGAAGGTCTGAAATTTCAGAATAATGTATCTAATTGTAAATTTTTCTTCATATATTCATGTATTCCCTTCTTCATTTATTCTGTAATGGATGTCAGTGTCTATTATATCAGATTTTCTACTGATTTTTTATGTATTTTGACAATCATATTTTTAATTAGCAAGAAATACTTATTTTGGTTCTACATTTTCTCCTCTTTCATAGTAGCCTTGTCTTGTACTATGAATATGATATTCTCTCACCTTTCTCTAAGAATATTAATTGTAATTGGTAATATATTTCTGTTAGGTTCACTGACTTCCTGTAGTTCCTCTAGTCAATTGTTTTGTTTATTTTTTACATCTATCTCTTCCTACTCTTTACCCAAAATAACTTTCCCTCCAATGGGAGGCATAAGAGAGGGCCATGGGACAAGAGTGATTTTCACTGCGACCTGGGCTTTCTCTTATGGAGCATGGGGAAGCATGAGAGAAGACAGGACACCAGCTCAGGGCTCGCGTAATTTACAAAGTTAAGATGAACTTCACTCCAGGGGGAGCAGTTTTGCTGTACTTTAGCCCTCAGTGGAGCTATGGACCTGCATTTATTGGTTTACTTTTCTATGCTGAATCCTACTAGTCCTCTTTCCAAGCCCAACAGCCACATCATATGTCTTCCACGGTCTTTAGAAAGCAGCTTTCTTGTGTCTTAACACAGGTCAGGCCAAGTGCTGCAGCCAGAGCTCTGTAAACTCGGGTAGTGGAGAGGGAAATTGGGAGGATTTACCTTCCTGGTATTTTCTGTATGATACAGACAACCCTCTGATTAGCTCTGCTGATGGCTGCCCTCTAGACAACTCCACTGGGATGATTAGGACCGGCTCACTCTGAACTTAATGCAGTTTCAGAACCTATGGCTCCTATCTCTGCTTACAGCTTTCTCACCTGTAAGTTTCATCTGTGGTTTCCTGTGTCCCATATATCCATTAATAAAATCTTACCTTTTCTGCCTTTCAGGAATTCTCCAAAATATGTTATCTACTGGTGACAGCCACTAGGGTTTTCACGACTGATATGAATTATTTCATGGCAAACAAAAATTTTTATACTTATATCACTGGTGTGTTGAGAGAACCTATAGATAGATACGTGCTCTCAATACATTATTTTACACTGAATGCATATACACCCACACATATACACATATCGATATGCTCACATATATATCTAATAGAACACATGAAGTAGTTTATGCAAAATTTCCTTAGATAATGATAGCATTGGACTGAAATAAGGACAACATTATTCTGATTGAACAATTATGTCAAGGAAAAAATTTTTAATCCTTGTGAGGCACAGTCACTTATTTTATGTATCACTTTAAACAAGGGAACATGCAAATCAAGGTGATGGGATCAAAGTGATGACAAAACATAAACTATGACAGAAAATAGCATGAAAACAGTAATATTAACAGACGTATCCTGCAAAATTTGAGCAAATTTTTGCAAATTACTCAAAAAATTTTGCAAATTACTCAAAAAATTTTGCAAATTACTCAAAAAAAAATTTGAGTAATCCTGCAAAATTTGAGCAAACTTTAATAACATAAAAAAGAGAAAAAAAAACACCAAGCTGTAGAAAGATCATGTTATTCCATACACATAAAGTTCAATCCCAAGAAATATCAAGGTCTTTCTTATATTTTATTTTTCTCATTTAGCAAGAGAAAACCAGGAGTAGTTGCTGATCTGGGTAATGTCGTACAGAAATTCGCATTCATTTTTTTAGTATCACTGGTTGCTATGCACTTTGTCATAAAAGTTTAATATACTGACTGGCAGCAAATAAAAAATTGCAGGGAGCCAATACCATTCCTTCCTCATCTAGAGACTAAAAGCTAGACTAAGCCATCCAATAAAACTCAGAGCTGTTCCTTTAATTTTCTCATGAGTCCCTTCAGATGACTTAAACAAATGGATGTATTTGCACATGATTATGTAAAGTTAGATAGAACCTACATTAGGCCAGTTACAGTGGCTCACACCTATCCTTTCAACATTTTGGGAGACCAAGGTGGGAGGATTACTTGAGCACAGGAGTTCAAGAGCAGCCTGGGCAACATAGTGAGACCCCATCTCTGCAAAAAATAAAAATTAGCTGGGCATGGTGGCACATGTCTGCAACTTCAGTTACTCCAGAGGCTGAGATGGGAGCATTGCTTGAGCCCAGGAGGTCGAGGCTGCAGTGAGTTGTATTCCTACCACTGCACTCCAGCCACAGAGCAAGAATCTGTCTCAAAACAAAAAACGAACAAATAGAAAAACCCTACATTAATTAGTACCTATTCTAAAGCAATTTTCAATTTCACATACTGTTATTATATACCTTAAGTTGCATTATATTTATTTTGTATTCTTATAAAATGAAATATACTGCCTAAAAAATACTTAAGTAAATATATCTAGTAAAATAAAATAGTTGGTGGGGCAGTAGTATCCCATAATTTAAACTGGCACATATAAATAGTTTAGGATTTATTTTTCTAAAATATTTCCTGGCTGGGCACGGGGGCTCACGCCTGTAATCCTAACACTTTGGGAGGCCGAGGCGGATGGTCACCTGAGGCCGGGAGTTCGAGACCAGCATGACCAATATACGATACTCTGTCTCTACTAAAAATACAAAAATTAGCCAGGCGTGGTGACAGGTGCCTGTAATCCCGGCTACTTGGGAGGCTGAGACAGAGGAATCGCTTGAACCCAGGAGGTGGAGGTTGCAGTGAACAGAGATCACACCACTGCACTCCAGCCTGTGCAACAGAGCGAGACTACATCTCAAAAAGAAATAAAATAATAAAATAAAATATTGCCTGTTTAATTGTTGTATTATTTAAATTGTATGTGAAGTGGGCACACCAGGAGCTAGGTTTCATAGTACACCAAAGGCACATTCCTCAGCTCTTCATGATCTTATACAGCCTATTCATTATAGGCAAGATGAGAGTTATAAGAACTGGGAGAATCCTATTCCCACATTCCTTCCTTGACCTATGAAATAAGAACTTTGCCAATTCTGCCATCGTGTTAGGCAAGTACTGGGGAAGAAGCTTCCGCCATTTTCTCCATCCTATGTACTTCCTCGGCCCCACAGGAAGATGGGTGACTTTTCTAATTAGTATCCTGGGGCAAAGGCTACAGCTTGCAGGTGATCCACATTCTTGGCTTCAGTTTTCTCTTTTTCACTTTCCTTATCATCAGTGTGCCCACCAGGGATTTGTGTTCACTCTCACCACTCCTGCACTTACCGCAGGAAGTCTGCATGAATTAGAATGAGGCAGCATTCTCTCAGCCCTGTCTTGCTAAATTCTAGAGTGGATGAAAGGTTATTCTCTATGTGGTTCAACAGGTAAATCCCTGCTCAAACAAACTCCCAACACTGCTCAACACTCCCAGCAAAAACGCTCCAAGGTCAAGTTGGGAAAGCTAGATGAAATAGGAAGTCTTACTTTGCTGTCAAAGCCCAAACTTTTTCACCTAATATAATACTAACAATATTTAGAACGTATTTTAACATTTAATATTTAAATTCTCACCTCATTTTTTGTAGTTGTTCTCAATTTGGTTAGAGCTCAGAAGACAGGAGTGGAATAAATATTAGCACTTCACCAATCCTTAACAAAAAAATAAGAAAAAACATTTTTAAAAATCTGCCATAACAAAGATATTATGCAAACTCACAAAGGGAATAAAAGTCCCACTCACATAACTAAAAATGTGTCCTAACTACAAGCCCATACAATTAAAAAAAAATAGTCACACACCCCCACTGGATTTTAATTTTCAGAATATAGTATAAAAAAATAAAGTTATTTATGTTTCAAAGCATCATTCTGTGGCAGAATTGTCTCTTATTTGGATTAGTACAAGCAAAACGAGATCATGATCCTTTTTGTAGATTTGTTATAGGCGAAAACTACTTGGTTCAGAAGTACAATTATTTTTCCCCTTTGGCGAATCAAAGACTCTGCATATAAACACTTTGAGGGTTAAAGCTCCAATGCTCATTTTGCTTTGAAAGCTTCAAGAGTCTTTTGCAGACCTTCTGCCCATAGGCCAGTATTTGATAGAAACCTTGTGCTTTAGGGAGTTTTAAATGTGTCCAGTAACTTTCTCCAATTATCCCTTGTTGAATTAGCGGAATCAATAGGGCACCCAAAGAGGCCCTTGTGAATCTCTGCTTGATACCTTGGGGTTTCTTTTTTAAGTTTCTTAAACCTTCCAGACTTGCTTAATCCTGCGATTTTCAAGCTAAAATGGCTGTTGTGTGTAATGCATTGTTGTACAAAGCTTTCAAGGTCTCTGATAACTAACTTTCCGCAATGTCCTTTGTTTTATTAACCAGACCACTGGGGCTATCCCATATTATGCCTGTATTTGCTGTGCTTTCCCTATAGGCTCAAAGGCAGCCATTTAAGTCACCCTTAAATGTTTCAATTATATACAAGATCCACTTTAGCTCTGCGATTGTAGGGCCATCAGCCTTTCCAAGAGTTGACATACCTAGAGACCAACTGGGAAGTTGCAGGAGATAATAGTCATGGGTCTGCTAATTCAGTGAGAAACAACTGTGCAAAACTGAGAGGTATTTTCATTGTATGCTGGTCACCTTTTCTCACTGCCTTGAATTGTACTTTCCTTCTTACCTAATCATGCTTAGTGTAGTGTCCTACTTCAGTTTTCTAACATTAACTTGTAACTTAGTAAACCCCAGGAACCCAAAAATAATCCTAGACCTAATATTTTCACAAAAATGTTCTTCTAGCTTGTAAGAAAAACTTTGAAGCTTCATTTTAAATGTCCATCTTATTAAACCTGTAGATATTTTTGGCTTTCCAGAGAAGTATAGAAAATTCTGATAATTACAAAGTGTGAAGTAAGACCTGAAGCAGAGGCTAATGAGAGAGTGCATTAATAGCATACATTTCTTCCTGGTGTATTTTATTTTTTCTGACCCTAAGAAGCTGCACCTGCGAGTTGGAGGGGCCAAAGAGGGAAATTATTACTTAGATTTTGCTTTCGTAAATGATTTTCTATAGATAAAATACCATGGAGAGCAACTTCCATGATACTTTATACTTATATCTTATGTCAGAGGAGGATATTTGAATGATTAGTTGTTAGAAAAAATATATTGAGGAAAAACTATGGTCCCTTTAGCTCTGTGCACCCATGACAATCTACTGCTTTTCCCAAAAATTATTTACAAACTTTATGAAGAGTAATGTTGTAATTATTTACATAATTTATATAAATTTTAACTTGCATATTAGTGTAGAGAAATAAATTCTGAAATACAACTGTCATATTTTATATTTTTCATACCCTTTGAGAACTTTGGGACTCACTGAATCAACATGTAAAGTATGTGCACGTATTCAGAGTAAGACTGCTTAGCTTTGCTATTCTAAGTGATTATGGATGCTTCTGGTTGTTATAAATTTGCATATGTACCAGTCTGTTTTCACACTGCTAATAAAGACATACGTGAGACTGGGTAATTTATAAAGGAAAGAGGTTTAATGGACTCAGAGGCCTCATTATCATGGCAGAAGAGAAATGAGGCCCAAAGTCACATCTTACATGGCAGCAGGCAAGAGAGCTTGGGTAGGGGAACTCCCCTTTTTAAAACTGTCAGATCTCCTGAGACTTATCCACTATCATGAGAACAGCATGGGGAAGACCTGCCCCTATGATTCAATTACTTCCACCAGGTCCCTCCCACGACACATGGGAATTATGGAAGCTACAATTCAAGATGAGATTTGGGTGGGGACACAGCCAAACCATATCAGCCTCTATGGCATTTTCTTTTTCTTGGTATTACTCCTGATGATTGTATGTGTGTGTGTGTTGATGTCCTGGTCTGAAGTAAACTTGGCAATAGGACATGAGATCAAGTTTATAATTATTCTAATTATTTTGAAATATCCATAAATAAATTATGGGGGGAAAATATTTTTGGAGCAGAAACGATTTTTAATATAAATGTATGTTTTCTAGGGTAATTTTCTCAGGTTTCTTTGCATAAAATGAGCTAATCACTAGAACCAAATCACCATCTGCCAAGTTTTACAATGTGCAAAATCCCAAGTACTATATTAGTTTCTGTGGAATATCTTAAACATGCCCTGGGACCACTGTCATAATAATATATATGCCAATTATAAGCAAATCTACCAGCCAACACAGCAATTTTTCCTACATTTGTTAGCACTTTTTGTTACTTTGCATTATAATTATCTTTTTACATACCTGTCTTCTCCCTTAGACTCAGAAGTCAGATGTAAAAAGGTTTAGCACATAACATGCACTCAATGGTTTCTTTGTTTAATGAATAAATAAAATTATCAAATGAATGTATCATTTTATTTTTACTGAAATAAAATTTGTATTTATTTTCAAATAGTACTTATTTCATGTTGAAATGCAATTTGTATTTTTTCTCCAACAACTCATGGAACGAAGGGAAACACAACCTATTTTCAGAGATGATAAGATTATTTGGCAAAAGCTTTGCCACAGATGTTTCACCCAATCCTTGACTTTTCACTCTTCCCCTAATTCATCTTTATTATTCATCTCAGCATCTGATCACACATTTGACTTCTGCTCTAAAACTTACTCCACAATTCTAAAGTGGTTTTAGAGAGCCTTTTCTGGTTTGTATATTTCACAAGTAACAATTCAATGATTACACCTAAAAAAAATCCAAGAGCTGCTTCCTTGTCCCATTTCAGCAAATTCTTCCTTGCTTCCTAGGTTTGTATGTATGCCATATAAAGTTTGGATTTAAATTTCAAAACTCACCATTTTTAGTTAAAATATTAATAGTCTTTAGTATCCATTTCTTCAGTAATTTTCTAACAACTCTTTCTAACATCATGAGGAAACCACTAAATTTTTATACAGAATAGTATAACTTTGCTGTCCTAAATGATTTATCTGTAACTATGAACATAAGCAATGTCTTTAGCACAGAGAAAATAAGACAAATGCATTTCTAAGGACCAGTTTATATACTGTTAATGTTACTTGTTAATATTATATAAATGTTAATTCTTCATAAATATCTTTCTACACTCTCAAGATTAGGAATTTGATGTATTATATTTTCTTTCATAGAAATTCAGTAAACATGTAAATGCTAAGCTTCAGTAACTATTGTCTTGATTATTAGTCAATATTTTAAGATGTATTAGAAACAGGAAATGCAAATAAATTATTTTTAATTCTATTATCCCACCTATCATAGATATTAAGCTTTGTATGAAATTTTCTTTGTACAATCAGAAGTTTTCATTCTGACAGAAAGCTTTACAGTTCATTTAAATAACCTGGTTTCAGTTTGTTAATCATCATTAATTGATTTTGAAAATAAATTATAATTTATTTTAATTGAAATATTATTTTTATTCAATAGTTTACAAAATCCAGATACTTGTACTGGTGAGATATAGGCACACCTATTTTAGTTTTTTAACAACTAAACAACACAATTACAATAGCAAGTTTGAACTACAGAACTTTTTTCTACAGATGAAGAAGAGCTGCACTCTCGTATACCTTCCAGTGAAGATTTCAACCTGTGGAGGAAAATAATTATAACACCCCCTCAGACAAACACATATATCAATCATTTATTTGCAATGTAATTTATAGGTTGTTTGAGACAATGTATCCCTATAATCATTAAAACAAAAATTGTTTGGGATGTGAACCTTTTATTTCGTAATTTAACTTTCTCTGCTGTTACTTGTTCCTCCATGAAATCCATATTGTAAACAATTTCAGAAAAATATATGCCAAGAAGATGACAAGAATGTTAGAGTTCTCTCCTGCATGAGATTATTTAACCTAAACCACCTCAACTGTGAAAACTGGGGATGCAACTTTGAGAAAACATTTTGAATGTGACAGCAAAATTACTTTCTGATGTTTATACATTTTTCATAATGCTGTTCCCAGTAGAACTGATTTCTGTATTTCTTACAGCAATAGTATGAAGAATCAACCTTTTAAAAGGATTGGGATTTGCTGACACTGCTGATAGAGTGCCTTGTTAGCTGAGAGACAATGATGTGGTTAAATGCAGCAAAGTAATAACTTTGAGAAATGAGGAGGTATCAAGAAAGGGAGTTGTACAGCCCTATATGTCTGCACTTGTGTGAGAGAAAAAAGAGAGGAAAATAGTGAGATAGACAGAAATGAAATAAGACAGTCAGAGCAGAGGATTCAGACAATGTGCCACTGAGGTCGATAAATCTATACTTATTTTTTACATTCTGCAAGGTCATAGATGACGCTGACATTGGTCTCCTAGCAACCAACTCTACTAACCTACTTTTGTCCCTATCACTGGAGAATGGGTTTGGTGCTTTGAGCTGTGTTTCTACATAAAAAAGAAGGAATCAAAGTGATGCTGGGTAACTACTGATGGGTAAAATTTTTAAAAAGGACGCACATATACAGAAACGTAAACACTTCTGGTCTCTTTCTTATCTAAGTTTACAAAGTTCAGAGTGGTCTTTCTACATATTTCTTAGAATTGAGAATAAATGTCCAATTATCACAAAATTTTTGCATTTTTAAATATCTAAAATACATGATGTATAGCACGCGTGATACTTTAATACATCTAAATTCAAGATATAAAAAGTAAAATATACGTCAATTTAGCTAGTGACCAGGATTAGATCCTAGTGACCAGGATCTAATGAGAAAAATAAATTAAGCAAAATAAACTAAATTCTAATATAGCTGTTACTTTTAAGTTTTATTATGTAAACATAATTGTAAAAGCAAAGTTTTATAAATATAATTATAAATTCCCAATATATCATGTTTTGTCCTTCGAGTTCAGAAGCAATATTCTCAGAATTAGTTTTCTGTGACTCTAAATTTTAGGAACTCTGTTATCTCTTAAGTTTTCATTTTTTTCTTTTTTTTAGTTTTATTTATATATAACTTTTTGGTTCTATTAATTCAGGTCTTCATATCAATTTCTTATCTCCACAATTCTATTGTTATCTTTTCTTGAGGGTCTCCTTAGTCTTTATTCTCATAGAGCGGACAATGAAATTATTGTAACCTATTTTGCCCACATAATTCTTAAGAAGGTAAATAATAATGACACGGATTCATATTTCCTAGTGAGAGGTGATCCAGTACATGGTCTTAAATTCAGGAATCTCTTCTCCAAAGTCATAAAACCCTTGACTATTTGCACATTGTGGGACAGCTTAATTACGTGTGCTTCATGTATGGCCCTATGTGTCTGCATTTGTGTGAGAGAAAAAAGAGAGGAAAACAGATTTTTTTGTAGTTACCATTTTAATTACACAAAACATCTTAGTGTTATAGCATTCTATTTTAACCGAATTACAAACTTAATTTTAATCGCATATAAAAATTATACTACTTTATAGTTCCGCATCCCCAATTTATATTACTAAGGTCACTAATTACATTTTATATGTTATATACTCATTAATATAGTTTAATAGTTTATAATTGTTCTTGTCATTTAAATTCTATGCACCAAATTATTATGGTATAATTTATTATATTTGTCTGTATATTTGCCTTTATTGAAGAACATTGTATGTTCATATTGCTTTGTGTTGCTACCTACCATCCTTTTCCTTCTATTTTAAAAGGTCCCTTTAGCATTTCTTGTATAGAAGATACAGTGGTGAAGAATATCCACAGTACATTTTTCATATTTATTAGTTATTTTTATTTCAATTTAATATTGTGTATTCATGTCCTTTGCCTGTCTTCTAGTGGAATGTTAATTTTTAAAACATTTTTCATTTGCTCTTTACATAGGAAGTGTATTACATTTTGATGTATGATTTCTGCCTTTAGTATTAGAGTTGTATGATATGGATTCTAGATACCCCAGTTTTCTTTATGCCCTCTTACCTTCGACTCTTAAAAAGTGACTCAAGAATATTTTCTACAGTATTTCATGGTACACCTTAAAACACAAGTCTCAGAACTGAATGAAATACCCCAAATTGTATACATTATTATCTCCTTGATCAACGCATTACCAATCCACAACTGCCATTATTTCCTTTAGAAATAACCAAACACCATTATAGTAAACAAATATGTGATTGATTTTCCCAGAATTTCACTAATCGGTCACCCCCAATTGTATAATACATTTGTGCAAAAATTGAGCAAATATTTTGGGCCTTCAGGGAAATTGCATTATCCCTTATCTTAAACTGATTTTTTTCACATCTTGGATTATAGTTTCAACTTTTTAAGATATGTTTTCAACTTTGATTTAGTCATAGAATCAGTATCTCCTAGTTTTTTCTTTGGTCATGTGAAAATGCTATGTCTGCCATTAAATACTCTTTCAAAATATTTATAAGCTCTATTAACATGACCTTTAGTTTCAAGATGGTGTACTGAACACATCTATTAGCCTTCCCTGATTTCCAAAACCTAAGTAACATTTCCAAAATAATATTATTTAGGAAAAAAAAATCTATATAAATATTTTTAAATAAGGAAAGATATTATTGTTAAGAAAACAAACAAAAGAGGCAAACTGATGGATATCAGGAACTAGTGTTCTTACATTAATGCAACTGCTTCCCGAGTAGAGTGGGAAGGTAAACATAAAAACTCATTATTTGGAAAAATAATTTAAAATTGTAATAACTCAGGTGCAATATATACAAAGTGTTTTTTGTTTTGTTTTGTTTTGTTTTGTTTTTTGGAGACAGTTTTGCTCTTGTTGCGCAGGCTGGAGTGCAATGGCACGATCTCAGCCCACTGCAACCTCCGCCTCCTGGCTTCAAGTGATTCTCCTGCCTCAGCCTCCTAAATAGCTGGGATTACAGGCATGTACCACCATGCCCAGCTAATTTTGTATTTTTAGTAGAGATGGGGTTTCTCCATGTTGGCCAGGCTGGTCTCGAACTCTTGACCTCAGGTGATCCACCCACCTTGGCCTTCTAAAGTGCTGGAATTACAGGCATGAGCCACCGCACCTGGCCCTTTTTTTTTCTTTTTTTTTTTTTGGTGACAGAGTCTCGCTCAGTCACCAGGCTAGAGTGCAGTGGCGTGATCTCGGCTCACCGCAATCTCCTCCTCCTGGGTTCAAGTGATTCCCCTGCCTCAGCCACTGGAGTAGCTGGGACTACAGGCATGCTCCACCATGCCTGGCTAATTTTTTGTATTTTAGTAGAAACGGGGTTTCACCACGTTGGCCAGGATGGTCTGGATCTCCTGACCTCGTGATCTGCTGGCCTCGGCCTCCCAAAGTGCTGGGATTACAGGCATGAGCCACCATGCCCGGCCTAATATATATAAAGTTTTACATCAAAATTTAATACACTTCCTATGTAAACAGCAAATGAAAAATATTGTTAAAATTAACATTCCACTAGAAGACAGGCAAAGGACATGAATACACAATATTAAATTGAAATAAAAATAACTAATAAATATGAAAAATGTACTGTGGATATTCTTCACCACTGTATCTGCTATACAAGAAATGCTAAAGGGACCTTTTAAAATAGAAGGAAAAGGATGGTAGGTAGCAACACAAAGCAATATGAACATACAATGCTCTTCAATAAAGGCAAATATGCAGACAAATATAATAAATTATACCATAATAATTTGGTGCATAGAATTTAAATGACAAGAACAATTATAAACAATGAAACTATATTAATGAGTATATAATATATAAAAAAGTAATTAGTGACCTTAGTAATATAAATTGGGGATGTGGAACTATAAAGTAGTAGAGTTTTTATATGTGATTAAAATTAAGTTTGTAATTCGGTTAAAATAGAATGCTATAACACTAAGATGTTTTGTGTAATTAAAATGGTAACTACAAAAAAATCTGTAGAATGTACTCAAAAAGGAATGAGAAGAGAATTAAAGTACATAATGTTAAAAATCAATAAAATGAAAAGGAAGGCAATGAGAAGAAATGAAGAACAAAAAACCTATAATCCATTAGAAAATAATATTCACAATGGCAATAATACCTGTACTTTTTTTTATCAGTAATTACTTTAAATATAGATGGATTGAATTCCCAAATTAAAAGTCATAGATTGTCTGAATGGATTAAAAAAGGGGATCCACACCTGAGGTGAGGAGTTCAAGACCAGCCTGGGCAACATGGTGAAACCCTGTCTCTACTAAAAATACAAAAATTAACCAGGTGTGGTGGCACATGCCTGTAATTCCAGCTGCTTGGGAGGCTGAGTCAGGAGAATCATTTGAACCTGGGAGGTGGAGGTTGTGGTGAGCCAAGGTCATGCCACTGCACTCCAGCCTGGACAACAAGAGTGAAACTTCATCCCAAAAAAAAAAGAAAGGAGGGGGGATCCATATCTAGATTGTCTACAAGAGCCTCATGATAGATCTAAGGACACACACAGGTGGAAAGTAAAAGACTGAAAATGGCATTTCTTGCAAGTAGCAGAAAAAAATAGAGAGAGACAGCGAGACGGATGGCTATACTAATATAATCCCAGTACTTTGGGAGGCCAAGGCGGGCAGATCACCTGAGGTCAGGAGTTCGAGACCAGCCTGGCCAACAGGGTGAAACCCTATCTCTACTAAAAATTACCCGGGCATGGTGGTATGCTCCTGTAATCTCAGCTACTTGAGAGGCTGAGGCAGGAGAATCACTTTAACCCAGGAGGCGGAGGTTGCAGTGAGCCGTGATCATACCACTGCACTCCAGCCCGGGCAAGAGAGTGAGACTCTGCCTCAAAAACAAAAAAATGTACTTAATGAAAACCCATTATAGGAGCCAAATAAGAGCAATTAATTAATAATAAAAGTATCAATTAATTAATAAGATGTAAAAATTACAAATCTTTATTCTCCAATACTTAGAGCTCCTAAAGACACGAAGCAAACTTTGACAGAATGGAAGTGAGGAACAGACAACACAGTAACAATAGGAGACTTCAAAACCCCTCTTTTAATAATGAACAAGTAGATAGAAAATCATTATGGCAATAGACAATTTGAACAACACTCTACACCACTTGGACCTAACAGACATATAGAGAATACTTCACTCAACAACCGCAGAATATATATTATTCTGGAGTGTACAAGGAATGTTCTTCAGGATAAAACACATACTAGGACACATAAGTCAACAAATTCAACAAGATTCAAGTCATACAGATAGTCTTTTTAATCACAGTGAAGTGAAACCAGAAATCAATAGCACATAGAAAATTGGAAAATCCACAAATACGTGAAATTAAATGACACATCCTTAAACAATGAATGGTCATAAGGAAAATGAGAACGTATCTGGGGATAAACATAAATAAAAATAAAACATACCAAAAGTTATGGCATAGCAATGGTGGTGCTAAGAAAGAAGCCTATAGCTGTAAATACACATATTAAAAGAGAAGAAAGACCTCAAATCAACAGTCTAACTTTACACCGCAAGAAACCAGATAAAAGAATCACAAATTAAACACAAAGCTAGCAGAAAGAAGGAAATAATAAAAATTAGAGCAGAGGTAAATAAAACAGAAACCATAAAAACCATAGAAAAAAATCAAACTAAGAAATGGTTTTCTTGAAAAGATTAACAAATTGACAAACCCTTATCTAGATTAACCAATAAATAAGAGAGAGTACTCAAATAATTAAAATCAGCAATAAATAAAGAGGACATTAAAACAACACCATAGAAAATAAAAAAGCATTACAGAAGAATACTATGAACAACTGTAGGTCAAACGATTGCATAGTCTAGAAGAAATGGATACATTCCTATAAATACACAACCTACCAATACTGAATCATAAAAAAGAAGAAAATCTGAACCGATCAAATACAAGTAAGAAGATTTAATTGGTAATCAAAAACCTCCAAACAAAGAAAAGGGTAGGACTAGATGTATTTTACCAAGCCTTTAAAGAATTAACTCCCATCTTCCTGAAACTTTTCTGAAATATTGATGAGAAGGGAACATTTCTAGGCTAAGTCTATGAAGCCAACATTGTCCTTATGCCAAAACCAGGCAAAGACACTCCAAGGTAGCTACAGAACAATATCTCTGAAAAGTATTAATGCAAAAATTCTCAACATAATACTAGAAAACCAAATTCAACATTAAAAGGATTATATACCATGAACAGGAGGAATTTAATCCTGAAATGCAAGGATGGCTTAACATAACAAAGTCAATTAATATAATGCATCATATTAACATAATGAGGGCTAAAAACCACCTCAATTAATGCAAATAAAGCATTTGGCAAGATGCAACATTATTTTATGGTTAAAGAAAACACTCAGCAAATTAGGAATAGAAGGAAAATAACTCAATATAATAAAAGCCATTTATAAAAAACCCACAGCTGACATTATACTTAATGGTGAAAGGCTGATGGCTTTTTCTCTAAGATTAGGAACAAGACTAGGATACCCAGTCTTGCCACTTTTATTTAACATAGTATTGGAAGTGCTAGCAAGAACACTTATACAACAAAGAGAAAATAAATTAAAAGTTATCCATTTTGGAAAGAAAGAAGTAAAATTACCTCTCTTTATAGGTGACATGATCTCATATGTAGAAAACCCTAACAATTCTGCACACACAAAAATTGTTAGCATCAATAAACTAATTCAGCAAAGTTCCATGATAGAAAATTGATTTAAAAAATCAGTAGCATTTTTATACACAATGAAACAATAAAAATTCTGAAAGTTAAGAAAACTTTCATTTGCAATAGCATCAAATAAAATATTTAGGAATAAACCTAACCAAGATGTGAAAGACTTTTATACTGAAAACTACAAAACATTGCTGAGATAAATTAAAACACAAATAAATTAAAAGACATCTCATGTTCATGGATTCAAAGTGTTAATATTGTTAATATGTACATACTACCCAAAGTGATCTACAAATTCAACAAAGTCCCTATCAAAATCCCAATGGTATTTTTTGCAGACATAGAAAAATTCATCTTAAGATTCACATGGAATTTCAAAAGATGCCAAACAGCCAAAACAATCCAGGGAAAAATAAGAACAAAGCTATAGAACTCACCTTTCTAATTTCAAAACATATCGCAAAGCTATGGTAACTAAAACACAGTGGTTCCCGTATAAAGACAGACTAACAGGTCAATGTAATAAAAGACAATCCCAAAATAAACCTTTAAGTCTATGGCCAAATGATCATCTAAAAAAGTGCCAAGACCACTCCCTCAACGTAGAAAGGACAGTCTCTTCAACAAAGAGTTCTCAGAAATCTTGAGATCTATATGCAAAAGAATAAAGTTCGATTGGTACCATATATCATATATAAAAATTAACTAAAAAGAAAGACCTAAACATAATACCTGAAACTATAATACTCCTAGAAGAAAACATAGGACAAAATGGCATTGAACTAGACAATTATTTCTTAGATATGATACCAGAAAAAAAATACTGTGTGATATCACTTATGTGAGATATCTAAATTAGTCAAGTTCATAGAAACAGAAGTAGAATAGCGGTTACCAGGGGCTGGAGGCAAGGGTAAAGGATAATTGTTGTTTAATGGGTATAGGGTTTCAGATGTGCAAGATGAAAAATTTCCGGAGATCTCTTTCACAGCAATGTAAATATGTTTAACACTGAAAAACCATACATTTAAAAATGGATAAGGTAAAAAAAAAAGATGAAATCTGCATTTGATATTGTTCCTATGAAGCCCATATTTAAGATTATAAAGCAAAGTGAGACATGATTGTGTTGAAATCTTTGCAGACTGCATTTAAAGCTTTCAATTTTGACTTTATGTTCTCAGTCCTCTGTCAACAAACATCTTTTCCCTGACAGTGTCATCACCCCTTATTTTTCAGTATAATTCATCCTCCAAATTTCCATCCTCTTCTCCACTTAATGATGAAAGAATTCTTATTCCATTCATCTGCAACTTATTTGTATTACATACTAACCTACCTTCCATGTGTACTTTTAAGTTTGTTTCTCTGATAAAGAGAATTTATTTCCTCTTAAATTAATAAATCACATGTCTTAGGGAACCTATAGAAAATACTTATGTGTTGATGATAACCTTCATCTTCCACCTAAAAATCACAGTTCTGGTTTTCTATAAGCAAAACCATTTGATACATAGTGGCTCATTGCTTTGATATTTGTTTAAAAAATAAATACCTTGCAGATGTGATATATTTTTGCCCTCCTCTAGTTTAAACTTTTCTTTATTTGTTTTTATTTATTCAAATGTATGTGTTGAATGACAGCCATTGGCCTTAAAAGCATCTAGGTTTCAGAGGTTAACACCCACTCTCAAGCTCTCTTCTTGCTCTTTCTCTCTGCATCCTCATTGGTCATGACTTGAGTATTTCTAGCATCTGCCCAAAACTGAACATAGTAATTATTCTACTATTACCATGGGGAGTCTATATTCTCATTAAACAGAGTTTCTAGGCTATGACCAATATTGATTTACTTATAGATTATAATAAGAGGCAAAAAATAATGTTCAAATATTCTGTAAGAAAATAGGTGCTTGTTTTCACCTGAGGGGTTTGAACTAGGGACATGGAAGAGACGGACTGAAGGAAGACCATACAGGTGGTCAGTGGAAATGACAGAGCAGAGAAATGGAAGCATGGATACAAAAATTTAAAAGTTAGAGCAAAGTAATAGCAATGTTGGGAGGCAAAGTCAGAATCTCCGACTTGTTTTTTTTTGTTTTTTTTTTTTGAGATGGAGTCTCACTCTGTTGCCAGGCTGAAGTGCAGTGGCACAATCTCTGCTCACTGCAACCTCCACCTCCTGGTTTCAAGATTCTCCCACCTCAGCCTCCAGAGTAGCTTGGATTACAGGTGCCTGCCACCATGCCCAACTAATTTTTGTATTTTTAGTAGAGATGGGGTTTTGCCATGTTGGCCAGGCTGGTCTTGAACTCCTGGCCTCAGGTGATCCACCTGCCTGGACCTCCCACAGTGCTGGGATTACAGGAATGAGCTACTGTGCCCAGCCTAGAATCTCTGACTTCTTATGTAATGTCAGTATGAGTCTGTGATGGTGACAATGGTGCTGTTTCTATTGCTGCTGAGGACAATCATAATGATGATGATAAAAGAGTGAATAATATTAAAAGAAACATTCCATGGTAATATCAGCTTGTGTTTACAGACCTGATCAGTGGAGAAATAAAAACAAATGAGCCATGTAAAAGTCATTATAATAATATAGCCATGAATATTTCAGCTTTATAGTTAGTCAGATGGATTTGCATCCCTTACCAGTCGTATAAATTTAGCAAATTACTTAATTTTGCTAAAGCAAATTTTTTTCACCTATAAAACAGATATATACTAAACACACATTGATGAAAGAAACTGAAGACTAAAAAGCGGAAAAATATACTATATTCATGGATTAAAATAATTAATATTGTTAAAATGTTCATACTACCCAAAGCAATCTATAGATTTAAATGCAAATTCTATCAAAATTACAGGAATTGTTTAAAATTACATGAAGTTTATTTTTAAATCCTAAAATTTATGTGGAACCACAGAAGTCCTTGAATAGCCAAAGAAATCTTGAACAAAAAGAAAAAAAGCATTGGATGTATCACACTACCTGATTTCAAAATTCATTGCAAAGCTATGGTAATCAAAACAACAAGCTACTGGCATAAAAACAGACACTTGTACCAATGGGATGGAACAGAAACCTCAGAAATAAACCTACATATTTACGGCCAATTAATTTTTCACAAAGTTGCCAAAAACACCCAATGGGGAAATGAGAGGTTCTATAATAAAAAGTGTTGGGAAAACTGGATATCCACTTGTAGTAGAATAAAATTGAACCCTTATCTCACACCATATGCAAAAATCAACTCAAAATGGACTAAAAACTTAAATTTAATATCTGAAATTGTAAGAGTACTAGAAGAAAACATAAGGGGAATCTCCATTACATTGGTTTGGGCAATGATTTTTCTGTATAAACAAAAAAAGATGAATGTGATTGTATCAAATTTAAAACTTTTTACACAGCAAAGGTAACAAGGAACAGAGTGAACAGACAATCAACAGATTGGGAGAAAATATTTGCAAACCATACATATGATAAGGGGCTAGTATCTAAAATATATTTTAAAAATTGGCAACTTAATAGAAGGAAACAACCCAATTTTTAAAATGGGCAAAGGACCTGACTACATATTTCTTAAAAAAAGACAAAAGGCCAGTAGACATATGAAAAAATGCTCAACATTAATCAGGGAAATGCAAATTAAAACCACAATGAAACATCACCTCACACTTGTTAAAATAGGTATTTCAGAAAGACAAAATATAACAAAAGTTGGGGAGGATGTGGAGAAAAGGGAACCCTTACACACTGTTGGTGGGAATTTAAATTAGTCATTATGAAAAACAGTATGTAAGGTCCTCAAAAAGTAAAAATAGAATTACCATGATCCAGCAATTCCACTTCCGGGTATAAAAGGAGACTAATTTTTCTCTCTATCCATTCAAGAACAAGGTTGAGAAATCTCTTAATTATCCAAAAAAAAAAAAAGGGGGGGCATTGCAGGCTGAGAGTGGGGGAATTGTGATGGTTCCTGCCTGTAAATCCCAGCACTTTGCAAGGCCAAGGTGGGAGGAAGGTTTGAGTCCAGGAGTAAGGCGGGGCTTAATGGAATTAAAATCAGTATGTCAAAGAAATATCTGCATTGCCCTGTTTACTGTAGTAATATTAACAATAGCCAAGATAGGAAAGCAATGTGAATGTTCATCAGTAGACAAATGGATAAAGAAAATATTGGCTGTATGTTGTATATATGGAATGCAATGGTACACTATTCAGCTTTTAAAAAGGAGGAAATCATACCATCTGTGACAACATGGATGAATCTGAAGAACATTGTGCTAAGTGAAATAAGCCAGGCACAGAAAAATCAATACTATATGATCTCACTTATATGTAGAATCTAAAAAAAGTCAAACTCATAGGAGCAGAGAGTAGAGTGGTGATTTTCAGAGGCTGTAGGGTTTGGAGGAGGAAAAAGATGTTAATGAAAAGGTACGAAGTTTTAATCAGACAGGAGAAATAGATTTTAGTGATATATTACATAGCATGGTTACTATAATTAGTAATCATATATTGAATATTTCAATGCTGCTACAAGATTAGATTTAAATGTTCACATCTTTAAAAAATAAGTAGGTGATGTCATAAATATGTTAATTAGCTTGATTTACTATTTCCACAATGTATACATATATCAAAGCATCATATTGTAATCCATAAATATATACAATTATTGTTTCTATTAAAAATAAAATAATACATAAATAGATGTTATAAATTTACCTAGCTGACAGTGTTATGAGACTTACACAGAAGATATTTGGAGCAGATTAAATGTTTAATAAGAATTAGTTATTGCTGTTAACTAATAAATCACAAACAAATGCTTGACCATTTAGGGTGTTTACTTAATGTTCTGTTGTTATATTCTATTATAAATATAAAAGAATGAGATGAAACATGTGAAGTTGCTTTGTAAAATACAACTGTGCCCCAACATTTCTGTGTGTGTGTGACAGAGTATTGCTCTGTCATCCAGACTGGAGTGTAGTGGCATGATCACAGCTGACTGCTGCCTCAATGTCCCAGGCTCCAGTGATCCTCCCACCTCAGCCCAGTGAGTGATCCCAGATCTCTCATGCTTAAGAGACCTTCTACCTTAGCCTTCTGAGTAGTTGGGACTACAGGTGCAGGTGCATGCCACCACTCCCTGCTATCTTTTTTATTTTTGAAAAATGTGGTTTCACCATGTTGCCAAGGCTGATCTTGAATTCTTGGACTCAAGCGATCCTCCTACTTTGGCTTCCCAAAGTTCTGGGCTTTACAGGCGTGAACCACCCGGCCCCACAGCCTGTAATGCCATTTTTTATTGCACTTTGTATTGGCCAATTAAGAGATTTCCCAACCTGGTCCTTGAATGGATGGAGAGAAAAATTAGCCTCCTTTGCAACTACGGAAGACTTTGTGAGCTTACAAGATGCTATGGAAATCTACTTATGGCTTCTGAAAAAGTTTTTTCTTTTTTCTACCTCTCCCGCAATATAACACAAAAATTAAGTTCTTTCTGCCTTTCTCTTCCTTGCTCTCTGTAGTGTGACAATATAACATTTGAAGCTGCTCCAAACAACTTTGACTGTAAGAAAAAGGCCAAGAGAATACAAGAGGCTCTAACCAAGGACTCTGACTTCACTAAGCCACTGAAACATTCCTGGCACTACCTACCTCCTGCCTTTTCGTTATGGGAGGAAACCCTATTGGTTAGGTCACTGTGAGTATTAATGGCCACTATTAATGGCAACCAAAGCCATTCCTAACAGATATAACATTTTAATTATGAATATAATTGCCTTCATAGCTTACAATTTATATAGGTGTTCTTGGAAATTAATTATGCATTGTTTTAACATTGTAATTATTATTACTCTGGATTAGTCTCTACTGGTTTCAGCAGTAAAACATGTCACCTCTGAGAAAATGGGAAGAGATCAGATGATACTAGAATGAGAATTGTTTAGTAACCATACAGATTTAAAATGTAAACCCAATCTGCTATTGATTGGTTCTGTGATAGTCTGCCATATTACCTAAGCTTCATTTTCCCAGTAACAGTGAAGGCAACATAATATATATCTTACACAGTAGTAGCTAGAATTAAATGAGATAATTATAAAACTGTTTGACAAAGTACATAGGACAAAGTAAACGCCCCAGAAGTTCATTGCTCTCTGGCCTGATAATGGCCCTTAGGAACTCATGTGGCAGTGTCCACCCCTTTTCTGTCTGGAAATATAGCTAGTTGGTGAATTATTTGCTCTCTTACCTTATGTATATCTGGTAGCAAGAGACGTAAATGTGACATTATCATCATTTACAACATGTGGCTGAAATTCTAGTAGTTTTACTGTATAGAGTAATATTGATTTTGAATAAAATGATTGGCAGGTATTAATGTTTTTTATATGAGCTATATTAGACTTTCTCATATTCTATAAAGTGATTATAATAATACCCACCTTAGGTAAAGATTAAATTAGAGGAGGTAAATAGAATATTCCTCATGATACTTTGAACCCTTATTATTGTTAATTTTACTATAGTTAGTCATGCATCTATATCATCTACCTGAATAGACTATAATACAGTGTTTCCCAACCTCAATGATATTGACATTTTGGACTAGATAAATTTTTGTTGGAGAAGGGGGGTGTCCTGCACTTTCTAATATGTAGTAACATCCCATGTTATGCCCACTAGATGCCATTAGCACTTCCATTCCCAGTTGTAACAACCAAAAAAATCTCTAGACATTGCCAAATGTACCCTTGAGGATGAAATTGTCTGCCTAGATGAGAACCACTGCTGGTGAGAAACACAATACCTTGCATAGATACTTTGTGTCTATGAGGATTATAAGAAAAAAAAATTTAATTGAATTGATTTGAATATGTGTACCAATAAGCAATTACATCTACATTAGTGATTCCATTAACACTATTTTCTTTTTTGGCACCTTTAGCAAGTTCTTGTTGATTCATAGATCTCAGAATTGAATAATGAAGTTTTGAACATAGAAATAGACATTAAAATGATAAGCACATACAGGATGTTTAATTGACATTGAAAGCTGAAGATGTAATATTTAAGTAGTACAACTAAAATAGAATAGAACTATTTTAGAAATGATTGTATAACATTCTATAATACAGAGTAAGCAGCTATAGGACAATTTTATGTAAGCTCTATATCTAGTATCTGATTTTGGGGTAGCCAAAAATTTTAAATATCCTTGTAAGTGGGAACACCCATTGTATAATTTGAAAAATTTTAATTTAGCCTTTATTTAGCCTGAAAGCAAAAATAGAAGATCTCTGATAAAAGAGTGTGCAGTTTTACTGAATTGATGTAGATCCATGTCAGAAGTCACATGGGAACATTCTAAAATGAGATGGCTATTGAACATACCTCTAAATGAGACAAATGTGCAATTGATTTAAGCATGGTTTAATTGCTGCATCTAGAAAATATTTTTTATATTCTCATATAAAGAAGTTATTTTTTTCTTTCTGATGTGCTATTTTTATCTGTATAGGGTTTAAAACACGTCCTTTAAAATTGCAGAGGAAGAAAAGGCTTGGAGGTGATAAAGGAATAAATAAGTTCATTCCCTTGATTATGGTGATGGTTTCATAGGCATATGCATATGTCCAAACTCATCAACTTGTATACATCAAATATGTGCAATTTACTGTATATCCACCTTATCTTAATAAAGCTGTTTAAATAATAATAAAATAACATTACGAAGGGAAAAATCAACTTTGGTAACTTTTTCAAATAGACACATTTATCTTTCTCTGGCCTGGCCAGATACATTACACATTTAGATGATCTCCTATTTGTAAATAAACATATATTTGTATGGAGTGTATGTATGTTTGTTTGTGTGTGAGTGTGTGTGTGTGTGTTCCCTTTTATGTCCAATTGGTAATTTAGCCTCTTTGGGTCAGTAATTCCATTTTATGATTTAAGAACTAAAAATCTCATTAAAATAAAAAACTTCTCTTCTAAAAGATATAAACTTCCATATGTGGGGTAAGTGTTCTGCACCAAAAAGTAAATTAAGTTAATCTTTTTTTTTCTCTAATGTGGGAAAAGTTGACAAACATAGAAAAAGAGTTTTTTGAGGAATTAGACATATTGGGAATAGAAAGCTTGGGCAAATCAACTAATGACAGATTTTTTAACCAAATGTTTGAAGTTCTATAGAAGAAAAACAAAAGTAACAGGGTGCTCTTGAAAAGTTATTCTTGTACAGTGATGTGTTGCTTAAACATGGGTTTGTCCTAAGAAATGCATTATTAGGCAATTTCCTCATGATGCAAATATCGCAGAGTGTACTTACACAAACCTAGATGGTATAGCCAATGACACACCTAGGCTATATGGGACAGCCTATTTCCCCTAAGTGTCAGACCTGTATTGTATGTTGCTGTACTGAATACTGTAGGCAATTTTAACACAATGGTAAGTATCTGTGTATCTACATGTATCTAAATATAAAAAGGTACAGTAAAAATACACTGTTAAAGATTAAAATAATGCTCCACCTGTGCAGGGCAAGAACCATGAATGGAGCTTCAGGACTGGAAGTTGCTCGAGGTGAGTCACTGAATGAGTGGGGAGTGAATGTAAAGGCCTAGGACATTATTGTACGGTATTGTAGACATTATAAACACTATGCGCTTAGGCTACACTAAATTTATAAAACATATTTTAACTTTAATAATAAATTAACTTTAGTTTGCTGAATGACTGCCTTCATATATGCAGTCCATCACTGACCGAAATGCCACTATGTGGTACCTGACTATAATTCCTAATTTAGCTAAAGGAAGAAGAAAATGAAACAACATTTAATGAATGTCTAACATGAATGAATTATGCAGTGTAAACCTTCCTGCAACCTAGTTGTTGATGAACTTTTTGATTCTTCAATTAAGGAAACCATAATTTCAATTTCAGATAATTTGAGCAAGGTCATAAACTATCCTATTTATACCATAGCATGACAGTTAAGAATCCTGTGTAAAGACCTCAATGTAGCTCTTTTGAGATGGTGCGAGATTTTCTAAAATGTATTCATAAATTTTTATTTTAGTTGTGGATTTGTTGCTAGATAAATGTGTAGCATTTTTCATCATAATAATAATATTCAGAATTCTGAGAATTTGCCTAATTAAAAGTTGTTCAATAATGTATTAATTTATTAATTAAATAAAAATCACAAAAATACTGGTTAGGTAAGCCCTCTTTGACTCTAATTTGCTTACGAATCACTGAAGATGGTGTATTACTATTAACTGTGGGACCAAATAATAGTTGTTTTTGTAAGCAAAATGTCTGATAATTTACAGTATGTTTTCACTTATACCTGCTCATTTACATCTTATTTACTTTGTATAACACCTGTAAGAGTAAATCAAACATACTTGTTAATGTAATGATTGATAATGTCATAATTCCAAAAAGTATTTAGAGGGACTTATAAAAATATATATGATATAAGATGGAGACCAGGATTATTTCAAGCATAAAGTCAAGGGAATAATAAAGAAACTATATACTAGTAACAGGTAAATTTAATAATTGAAATCCATATCAGAAAGCACAAAACACCTAGTAAAAATTAGGCACACATTTTAGAAAAAAAAATTTAAAAAATAAAGCGGAGGTAAACACAATTAATATATGATTAAGAGAATATAAGAGAAAATAGCAAACCAATTATTCAATATAAATTCATTAGTTTTGAAAACAAAAAAGAAAAAAAATATTCTCCATACCTTCTCAAATAGGAGACCAAGTAAAGCAGTAAACAACAATCTCAAAAGATACCATTCATCAGATCCAAATTGGGTTTCTTAGAGCTATTTCTCATAATGCTCCTCAATGTAAGAAGATTCTGTATCCCTAGTGTATATTTTAGAGGAATCAAGTGCTATAGATGGCAAAAGTCAACTTTAATGTAGTCAATATTTAAATTTGGCTATATAATATTTAAGTGGCAATATACAGAAATCAAACTTTATTTTATAACCCAATTACGAAATATTTCTATATATGCTACTCTGTCTCTGTTTAGAATGAATATATTATCAATGATAGTGCAATGGCATTTGTATTACTCACTTGCATATGCTGAGCACCCACTGAGTGCTGTACCCTGGGGATACGGAGAATATTTTACCCATTACTAAGGATCTCATCATCAGTGAGGCAGAACAAACACAGTGGTATAAAAAATGAATTTGGGCCAGGCATGGTGGCTCACGCCTGTAATACCAGCACTTTGGGAGGCCGAGGCGGGTGGATCACGAGGTCAGGAGATTGAGAGCATCCTGGCTAACACGGTGAAACCCTGTCTCTACTAAAAATACAAAAAAATTAGCCGGATGTGGTAGCCGGCGCCTGTAGTCCCAGCTACTCAGGAGGCTGAGGCAGGAGAATGGCGTGAACCCAAGAGGCGGAGCTTGCAGTGAGCCGAGATCGCGCCACTGCACTCCAGCCTGGGCGACAGAGTGAGACTCCATCTCAAAAAAAAAAAAAAACAAAAAAAAAAACCTGAGTGTATGGAGGAAGAGGGAAGACTATCATTTTTTTTTTATAGAGGGAAATAGATAAGCCTTCACAAAAATGAAAATATTTGGGTAGAATTTTGAAGGTTGAAAAGAACACATCTAATTTTCAACAGAAGGGCCTCATAGACAGAGGAAACAGTAAGAAAAGTAATTGTTGAAAAAATATACCATATTTGTGGAGCCTAAAATGTTCTGGGGCAATCCAGATTCAGGTTATATAGAAAAGTGAAAGTAAATGATGTTGAATAGATAGACTGGACACAGTTGATGAAAGGAATTGAATGTCATGCTGAAGAGCTTGAATTTTATTCTGCAAGAAATGAAAGGCAATATAGATTTTAATTAGTGATGGAAAAAAAATTTTTTTCATTTGCAATCATATGCAAGATATCATCTACTGATGAAAGACCAGTTAAAAATTTAAAAAAAAATGTAGATGATACTTTGAGCTTTTGCAACTTGTACATGACTTGTACAACTTGTACATAAATGGTTATGTTTGCAAGTCTATTAAAAACTATGATCCACAAAAAATAGACTCCCAAATTGATCATACTCTTGGTAACATTGCTGTTCTCACCACACCTCCCAAACCAACGAACAAATAAGAATACCCCAGTCATCATGTGTGGAGTGAGGGGATATGGTTAGCCAGAAACACAGATATTTGCGAATTTAAGTCAAAATAGGAATATCAGGGACAAAAATTCAAATGCATCTCCAGGTGTTAGAGTTTCATTGTTGGAAGCCAGTTTCTAATCAAGTAGAAGCCAAAGGGGCGGTAAATATGACTGGACCAGCAAGCAGCTAATGAGGGAGCTAACAGCTACCTTGGGCCAAAGTTGTAACACATTGACCTTTAAATAGTCAAAGAGAATTCAATAATTTGAAGGACTGAAATGACCTGGGGATACTCACCATATCCCAGGGGCAAAAGCAGTCAAATTCCCTTTTCAAAATTTCCCTGAGTTAGGCCACAAAACTGCTGCTGATTAAAATCATAAAACACACACACAAACACACGCATATACACAGCATCACCAACATGAGGAGAAGGCAACTAGCAGAAGTCAAAATAGACTAACAGGATACTGTTTAAACCTCTAAAGATTTTCCAACATTGTTATTATCAGATACAGAAAACATAAATGTATGAAATGTTAAAATAAATAATGAAAGAAACATAAAGATGGCGAGAATATTAACTATCAAAATATTTTAAAAACTTGAAAACATGCATTTTTATAATTACAAATATAATTGTTGAAATAAAAAGAATCCCAGTAGGTTAGTTAAAGAGAGAATTAGTGACCTGGCAGATAAAGCCAAACAATTTAACAAAAAAGAAGTAAAAACATTGACAAAAAAATTGGTACGTTAAAAGAAATGGAACATAAAATAAGGCTTATTAACCACTTTTTAGAATACATAAATAATTTATGGGTCAAAGAAGAAATACAGAGAAGTTTAAAACATTTTAAACTGAATGAATATAAAAACATGTAACAAATTTTTTGAATGCAGCTAAAGCAATGCTTAGAAATTTACGATATTAAATCTTCACATCAGATAAGAAAGGTCTCAAATTATGTAAGCTTTCATCTCAAGAATCTGTAAATAAGAAGAGCAAATTAAACACAATTAAAGTAGAACAAAGAAAATAATAAAGGCAAACAGAAGTCAATGAAATTATAAGACCAAAAAACAATAAAGTGGATTAAACCAAAAGCTATTTCTCTGAAAAGAATCAATATAATTGATTAATCTCAAAATAGACTAACAAAAAAAGAGAAAATTCAAATTACTAATACCAAGAATAAAAAAGGAGAAAATAATTTTGAATTCTATAGACTTTCAAAAGACTAAATGGAGCGTATAAGGAAAATATATGCCTAGTAATTCAAAACGTACATGAAATAAATTATTTTTTTAAAAAATACAAACTACCAAACTCACTCAAGATAAAATAGAAAACCTGAATAGTACTATATGTGTTAAAGAAATTGCATTTAAAGTTGCTGGGTTTGAGTTTCTTGTATTTCTACATATTTTGGAATAAAGCGCTATTTACACTCTTTTCTGCATAATTTCTGAAGGATGTTTGCACAGCAAATAGCTTTGAAAGATAGAGACAGAGACTATATCTCTCTCCAGACCACTATAAGAATTTGTTTTTAAACTCAGAATTTTTCTCCTGTATTCTCAGAACTGGTTTTTTTCTAGATCTGTTTGTGTCACTCTGTGGAAACTAGGGCTCAAGAAACTGAAGTGAAAATGTTGATAATCTAGCTACTGCTATTGCTATGAGAAATAAAGAATGCCACCCATGAGCCAACATTCTCAAGTATTCTACCAGCATCTATGAAACTGGCAGCATAATTTACTAACCTGCAAGTAGGGTAAAATTTCATGCTTTTCACAAGTCTTGTAACTCAAAATCTGGATAACTTCATTCTTGAATTTGCAAAATATTTAAGGAATAATACTATCAATTCTACACAAAGTTGTCCTACAAATAGAAAAAGAGAGATCACTACTGATGTTATTTTCTGAGGCCAGCATTATCCTGATGTCAAAATCAGTACTAGTAAGGAAAACTACAGACAAATATTCTTCAGAAACATAGACACAAAAGTTACCAGCACAATATAAACAAATAAAATTCAGCAATATATAAAACATCAAGACCAAGAAAAAAATCACCTTTGGAACGCAGTGCTAGTTTGACATTCAGAAATAAAACTATTCTCCATTAACAGACAGATTAAAGGAAACCAAATATATTATCTCAATAGCTGCAAAAACATCCTTTGACAAAATTCAGTATTCATTCAGGATAAACAGTTTAGAAAACTAGAACTAGAAGTAACTTCCTCAATCTGATTAAAAAATCTATAAAAAACCCATCAGCTAACATTATGCCCAATGGCAAAAGACTGAATGTTTTTCTTCTAAGGTAGATAATAATGTCATAATATTTACTCACTGTACTTTGTATTTGAGAACTTATTCAGTACAATAAGTCAAGAAAAAGAAATAAAAGTCATATATGCTGAAAAGAAAGAAATATAACTGTCATTACTTGCAGATGACTCATCATTTATGTAAGGAATCTGCAAAAAAACTACTGGATCTAATTTAGCATAAAGATAAAAGTTTCACATATAAAAACTATATATATTAACAATAAGTAATTAAAAATGTAAATAAAAATACATACCACTCATAATAACACCGTTAGTTATAAACCTAGCAAAATACACGTATGATCTATATTCTGAAAAGTTTAAAACACTAATGCAACAAAATACATACATAAATTTAAAAATATACTATGTTCATTGATTTAAAGAATCAACATTATTAATATTGTCCCCAATTTGATTTATAAACTCAATGAAATTCTATGCAAAATCCCAGCAGAATTTTGTATATGTGTACAAAAAGATACACTAACTGTAGAATTTATATGGAAAGTCAAAAGAACCGGAATAGTCAGAACAACTTTAAAAAGAAAAAATTAAAAGACACACTACCTGACTCAAGACTTGCTACAGAAGTATAATAATCAAGACAGTGTTGTATTCACAAAATATAGAGATGTGAGTAAATGGAACAGAATAGAGGAACCTGGAATCAATTCACTATTACAAAGACAATTCAAAGAAAAAAAATGATATAATCATTCAAAAATGGTGTTGAAACAATTATAAATCCATATATAAAGAAAAAAAACTAAAATAATTACTCATGGCATATAAAATGACCACTAAATGGATGAGAAACCTACATGCAAAGCCAGAAACTATAAAACTTCTAAAAAAAATCTACGAGAAAATCTATGTGAACTTGTAATAGACAAGAATTTCTTAATAGACACCAAAACATAATACATTTTTTAAAATTAACAATTTGGAATCCATTTAAACTAACCACGCTTTGAAAAACACTGAAAGGAGAAAAAAGCTAAGAGGACTTATGGTTTCAGCTGTGACATGTAAAGAGCTTGGAAGTTATCATTCTCATGTTTAAACAAACAAAAAAGGTTGAACAAACTGATAAACCATGACTTTTTTTAGATTCATCAGGTAATCAAGGATAAAGTTACCCTCAAACTGCAGAGATAGGGAAATACAAACAAATACAACTGAGATTAGCTTACCAGATGCAGAAGCTGCTGAAGTCACTGATTAAAGAAGCCCTTAAATGGTAATTGATAAATTGCTTAAAGCTGAAGGTGTATCAGCATGAAAGTTGAAAACACCTGGGTAGTGGCAGTCCTAAGGGAATCCCTATACTCTTGTAGGTTTTACCTCCGTATAATTCATCAGCTTCTCAGGGTGAGGGCTGGAGAAAAATCCCCTTTTGTATCAGGCAGGGAGAGAGAAAAAGAAATCATTTTTAAAATAAGCCCAGATGAAAGTAATCGTAACAATGTTCTGCCTTCCATGGTAAATTATTATGTTACATGAATTTAACTTAGTAGGGCCTTATTTGACCTGGGGGGAAAGGCAATTAGAAAACTTCATTCCACTCTAGCCTTTATGCGTTCGTGTAAGGAGGAAAAAAAAAAGTAAAGTCATAGCCTTAAGACTCAACCATTAAAACAAAGTGATATTTAATCATAAGGTTACAGAATGCATTCTTTCTCCAACACCTTACAGCACATAAATAGAGTCCTATTATTATTACAGTGGATTACAACTGAGAGGGCTGCAGCGCACAAACTCTATTTAAGAAGGAGTATTTGGGGAAACACAAAACGGCGTAAGAGGAAAGAAAATAAAAAAGGAAACTAGAGAAAACAGAAGCTTCTTTGACTTACAGCAACAGGAAACATTAAATATGAAAGAAAATTCCTAATCAGATTAATATAAAACCTTTCACTAAAAGCCTGATTATCTTAGGTCTTATTACCAACTGTATCATAACAACAACAAGAAAAAAATTACAAGGCATACTAAAAGCCAAGAAAAACATAGTCTAAGGAGACTTAGGGCCGGGCATGGTGGCTCACACCTGTAATCCCAGCACTTTGGGAGGCCAAGGTGTGTGGATCACCTGAGGTCAGGAGTTCGAGACCAGCCTAGACAACATGGTGAAATCTCATCTCTACTAAAAATACAAAAATTAGCCAGGCATGAAGGCGGGCACCCGTAATCTCAGCTACTTGGGATGCTGAGGCAGGAGAATTGCTAGAACCTGGGAGGCGGAGGTTACAGTGAACCGAGATTGCGCCATTGCACTTCAGCCCGGGTGACAACAGTGAGACTCTGCCTCAAAAAAAAAAAAAAAAAGAGAGAGAGACTTAGAAAGCATCAGACCAGACTCAGATATGATACAGATTTTTGAATTATCAGATAAGAAATTGAAAATAAGTATGATTAATATATTAAGAACTCTAACAAAAAAAGAAAACAACATGTAAGAACAAATGAATAGTTTATCCAGAGAGATGGAAACTCTAACCAAGAATCAAGAGGAAATACTAGAGGTACATTTTAGTTACTATTGCCTGTGATTTACAGACACAAGCAAAACACTGTTATAGTAATGAAGACTAGAAAGTAGGCTGGACAATCAGCAGGCAGGACATGGGCTTTGAAGGAATCAGTAAGCTTGAAGATTGGTCAATAGAAACTTCCAAAACTGAAATGCAAAGAGAAAATCATAATGGAAAAATTAAATATACTCTCTAAGAAGTGCAGGCCAATTCCAAATATGTAACATACACATGGAAAAAGCAGAGAAAGAAGAAACATGTATGAAATCAGAATAATATTTGAAGAAATAGTGACTAATGGTTTTCCAAAATTAATCACGTATACCAAATGATGGTCCAGGAAATTCAGAAAACACCAAACAGGATAAAAGCCAGAAAAGCCTATATGTAGGCATATCATACCACAGAGATGAAAAACAAAGTCTTGAAACAAGCCAGAGGGAAAACTCACCTTACCTATTGCAAATAATAATAATAACAACAATAATAACAATTATATTGGACTTCTCATCAGAAATCACGCAAACAAGAAGAAAATATAGAAAAATATTTAAAGTGTTGATCAGAGAATAACCACCAACCTAGAATACTGTATTCAGTGAAATTATCCATCTTACGTTAAAGAGAGATAAAGACTCCCTCAGACAAACAAAAACTAAGGGAATCTGTTACCAGTAGACTTGCCTAGCAAAAAAAGTTAAAAGAAGTTCTTCAGAGAGAAAGAAAAGGACCTAGGTGAGGAACTCAAATGTAGATAAGGAAAGAAGAGTATCAGAGAAAGAATAAATAAAAATAAAAGGTTTATATTTCTTATCGATTGAGCTAATACATAACTGTTCAAAGTAATAATAACAATGGATTCAATTAAGCAAAATGAATGCTTTCAATAACCAAAATTAATGACAGCAATATGATAATGAACAGAATAGAGGAACTGGGAGTACCCTATTAAAAGTTACCTGTACTAGATGGTTCATGCCTATAGTCTCAGCTACTCGGGAGGCTGAGGTGAGAGGATCACCTGAGCCAGAGAGTTTGAAGATGCAGTGAGCCAGAATTGCACCACTGCACTCCAGCCTAGGAAACAGAACAAGTCGCTATCTTCAAAAAAATTGTTAATTACCTGTACTACTTGTGAAATGGTAGTTTTTGAAAATGAACTTAGATCAGTTGTAAGTATATATTACAAACTGTAGTGCAACCACTAACATTTTTTAAAAACAAATGTAGTTGATATGAAAATATAGGGGAGAAAAAGAAATCAGATAAAATTCTCCATAAAAACCAAAGACGACAGAAAAAAAGGTGAAGATTAAAAAAAGGAAATAAAACAACAAACATAAAACAATTACAAACATGGTAGTTATTAATCCAACTACATCAATAATCACCTTACATGTGAGTGATCTAAATACACCAACTAAAAGACAGGCTATCAGCGTGGACTAAAAGAAAAAACATTACACATTGCCTACAAGAAAGCCACTTTAAATAGGACACAGATACATTAAAATCAAAGGGATGGAGAAAGGTACACCATGCTAACACTTATTAAAAGGAAGATCATGTAGCTATATAAATTTCAGACAAAGCAGACTTCAAAACAAGGAAAATTACTATCAACAAAGAGGGGCATTACATGAGGATAAATTATTTTTTTTCTTTTTCTTTTTTCTTTTTTTTTTTTTGAGACAGAGTTTTGCTCTTGTTGCCCAGGCTGGAGTGCAATGGCGTGATCTCGGCTCACCGCAACCTCCGCCTCCCAGGTTCAAGTGATTCCCTCACCTCAGCCTCCCAAGTAGCTGGGACTACAGATGTGTGCCACCATGCCCAGCTAATTTTGTATTTTTTTTTTTTTAGTAGAGACGGGGTTTCTCCATATTGGTCAGGCTGGTCTCAAACTCTCGATCTTAGGTGATCCGCCCATCTCCGACTCCCAAAGTGCTGGCATTACAGGCATGAGCCACCACACCCGGCCGAGGATAAATTAATTCTTTAAGAAGACACAACAATGTGTAATGTGTATCACTTAACAATTGATATTAAATTACATGAGGCAAAATGAATAGAATTATAAAAAGAAACAGATGCATCTAGCATTTTAGCTGGAAACTTCAGCACACATCTATCAGTAATTGACAGATCCAGCAGGCAGAAATTCAGTAGAGATATAGTAGATTGGAACAACACCATCAATCAACTGTATCTAATTTACATTTATATAATTTTTATACATCAGAAGAATACACATTCTTCTCTGAATTACATGGAACATTCGCCAAAATAAACAACATTCTGAGCCAGTAAACACACTTTAACAAATTTAAAGCAATAGAATCATTCAGACTAATAGAATTAAAGTAGAAGTCAATAAGAGAAAGATGACTGAGAAATCCAAACTTTGTATATTAAACAACATGTTTTAAAATATTGCATGGGTCAAAACAAGACTCTCAAGAAAAAATTTTAAAAATTTTGAACTAAAATCACATTAAAATAGAAATCAAAACTTTTGTAATGCAATGAAAGTTCTTACAGGGAGATTTGTGGCATTTAATGAATATGTCAGAAGATAAGAAAAATCTAAACTCAATAACCTAAGCTTCTACCTTAGGAAACTAGAGAACAAAAGAGCAATTTGAAACCAAACCAAACAGAATGAAAGAAATAATAAAATTAGCATGTAAATAAATGAAACTGAAAACAAAATCAATTTAAAAACCAATGAAGCAAAAAGTTTGCTTCCTGAAGGGGTCAATAAAAGTTTTAAACCTCTAGCATGGCTAAAGAAAAGAAAAAGAGAGAAGATACAAATTACTGATATCAGAAACGAAAGCATGTTCATGACTACTGTTTCCATGTATATCAAAATGGTAATAATGGAATATTATGAATGATTATATGCACAGAAATTTGATAATTTAGATAAAGTAAAACAATTCCATTAGCAATCTCTAATGATCACATAACTGAATAATAATTATGTAACTAATGAAATAATTAGTTCTAAATCCAACAAAATATACGAAAGAGCTGTATAAGGAAAAATAACATTTTCTGATTATAGATATCAAAAAATATATAAATAGACAGAGAAATGTTCCATGTTCCTGGATAGAAAGACTCACTATTGTTAAGACATCAGTTCTCCCCATCTTGATCTGTAGATTAAAAGAAATCCTGTCAAAATCCCACAAATTTTGTGGTTATCAACACACTTACTCTAAAATTTATATGGCAGGATAAAATCCCAGAACAGTGAATTAAATACTAGAAAAAGAACAAAATTAGATGACTAACAGTAGCCAACTTCAAGACTTGCTATAAAGCTCTAGTAATCAAGATAGCATAGTATTGGTTAAAAAATAGAAAAACAGATCAGTGAAACAGGATAGACAGACAGAAGCAGACCCATAGAAATATAACCAACTGATCTTTGACAAAGGAGCAAAGTCTACTCTATGAACATAGGACAGCCTTTTCTCACAAAATTCTGTATGTGAATATTTATATCAGCTTTATTCAAAATAAAGGTTTGCTGAACAAACACCAAACTATGAGCAACACGTTGTAGTTCATAAAAAGAGCCAGAAGGCAGTGGGGCATGATGTTGGGCATCTTCCAACTCCTATTACCCACAGCCTTAGACATTTATTTTGCTTTTCAGAACAGTTAAAGAATTGGAGGAGTAGGAATGAGCACCATTCTAAGTCAGTAATTTGGGAGAAAAGTGGTGTGGTAGATGGATAGATTACCTTACACGTAAGGTATTAATGCTACACTAGATTCTCACCATTCACCACCTCCTTTTTCTGTTTTAGTTTTATTCAGAACACATTTCAATACCTGATATTATATTAATTATCAATCTCACAAATAATGAACATTCAAATATAGGGTGATTGGATCCCCTCTATGAGGAGGAGAAGGCTTAAGTCTTACCCTTTCTGAAAGACAGAATATAAGGAGAATCAGACTTCCTTATTTGATACTTTCTGACTTCCAGGTACAGCACACATTTTGTTTGTAATAATCTATTGTTTTAAAAAGTGAAAACACAAGAATTTATTTTTTGGTTGAAATGGCCCATTCAACAAATATCCCCAAAAGAACAAATTCAACAAATATCCCCAAAAAGAAATTTTAATGGCCACATGTTCCTAAAATTTTGTAACAACATAACTTCTACTTTCCACTTCAATTAAGTGGGCATCAAAAATGTGCAAGCTGTTAACAGATAATTTCCCACAAAAAAAGGTAAAATCATAACTCTCATACAGTGTAGTGGAGGTAAGTACATTCATACTGTTGAGCAAACATCACCATTATTTATCTCCAGAATTCTTTTCAACTTACAAAACTGAAACTTTATATTCACTAAACAATAACTCCCCAATGCCCCTTCCTTCTAGTCACTGGCAACCATCACTTTACTTTCTGTCTCTAGGATTTAATAATTAGTCTATTCTATATCATTAAAATAAGCAAAGACTTTTCATTTTTAATTAGCATTTTGTTCAATTATTTATTTATTTTCAATTTTTAAATTTTAGATTTGGAGGTACATGTGCAGGTTTGTTACACAAGTGTACTGCGTGATGCTGATGTTTGGGAAATAATAGATTCCCTCACCCAGTTAGTGAGCAGAGCACAAAATAATTTTTCCAACCTCGCTCCCCTCACTATCTTCCCCTTCTAGTAGACCCCCTGTCTATTGTTGTCATCTTTATATTCGTGAGTACCCAGTGATTAGTTCCCACTTATAGGTGAGAACATTCAATATTTGGTTTTCTATTCCTGCATTAACTGCATTCCCGTTTTTCTGCAGCCTTACCAGCACCTGTTGTTTTTTAATAGCCATTCTGACTGGTGTGAGACGGTATCTCATTGTGGTTTAGGTTTTCATTTCTCTGACGATTAGTGATGTGAAACTTTTTTTATGTTTGTCAGTAACCTGTATGTCTTGTTTTGAGAAATGTATGTTCATGCCCTTTGCCCATTTATTAATGCAGTTATTTGGTTTTAGTTTGTTCAATTGTTTAAGTTCCTATAAAATCTAGATATTAGACCTTTGTAGAATGTGCAGTTTGTGAATATTTTCTCCCATTCTGTAGGTTGTGTGTTTACCCTATTGATAGTTTCTTTTGCTGTGAAGTAGCTCCTTAGTTTAAGTAAATCCCATTTGTCAGTTTTTATTTTTGTGGCAATTGCTTTTGAGAACTTAGTCATAAATTGTTTCTCCAGGCTGATATCTAGAATGGTGTTTCTTAGGTTTTCTTCTAGGATTCTTATAGTTTGAGGTCTTATACTTAAATCTTTAATCCATCTTGAGTTATTGTTTGCATATGGTAAAATGTAGGAGTCAAGTTTTATTCTTCTGCATATGGCTAGCCAGCTACCTCAGCTCCATTTATTGAGGAGGGAATCCTTTCCCCATTGCTTATTTTTATTGACTTTGTTGAAGATCAGATGGCTGTAGTTGTGTGACTTTGCTTCTGGGTTCTCTTTCTGTTTCATTGGTCTATGTGTTTGCTTTTGCACCAGTACCAAGCTGTTTTGGTTAGCATAACCTAGCGTAACCTTAATGTAAAGTTAGATATTGGGTAATGTGATGTCTCCAGTTTTGATCTTACTGCTTAGAATTGATTTGGCTATTTGGACTCTTTGGGTTCCACATAAATTTTAGAATATTTTTTGCTAATTCTGTGAAAAATGATGATGGTAGTTTGATAAGCATAACACTGATTCTGTAGATTTCTTTAGGTAGCATGGCAATTTTAATGATATTGATTCTTCCAATCTATGAGCATGGACTGTATTACAGGGAAAGAAAGAAAGAAAAATAAAAAATCCTACCACATGAAAATAATTACAAAAATTAGAAGTGCCAGCATATCCAGCTGAAAAGGAACCAGTGCAAGAATTCTGGCACCATGAAAAATCTGAATGTTGTGATACTACCAGAGGATTACACTAGCTCTTCAGCAATGGCCCTTAACCAAAATGAAAGCTCCAAAATGACAGATAAAAAATTCAAAGCATAGATTGCAAGGAAGCTCAATGAGATCCAAGACAAGGTTGAAAATGAACAGAGAAACTTTTAAAGCAATCCAGAAAATGAAGGAAAAGAAAAACATATTAAAAGAAAATCAAAGCTGGGTGTGGTGGCTCATGCCTTGAAATCCCAGCACTTCAGGAGACCAAGACAGGAGGATCACTTGAGGTCAGGAGTTCGAGAACACCCTGACCAACATGGTGAAACCTCATCTCTCCTAAAAATACAAAAATAAGCCGGGCGTGGTGGCACACGCCTGTAATCCCAGCTACTTGGGAGGCTGAGGCAAGAGAATCACTTGAATCCGGGAGGCGGAGGTTGCAGTGAGCCAAGATCACACCATTGCATTCCAGCCTGAGCAACAAGAGTGAGACTCTGTCTCAAAGAAAAAATAAATAAATAAATAAAATCAGTAAGAGCTTCTGGATTTGGATAAAAACTCATTTAATAAATGCTAGATGACGAGTTAGTGGGTGCAGCGCACCAGCATGGCACATGTATACATATGTAACTAACCTGCACAATGTGCACATGTACCCTAAAACTTAAAGTATAATAAAAAAAAAAAAAAAGAAAAGTAAAAAATAAATTTCAAAATACAATTTAAAGCTTTATCAACAGACTGGACCAAACAGAAAAAAGAATTTCAAAGTTTGAGGACTAATATTTTGAATTAACCCAGACAAAAATAAAGAAAAAAATCCTTAAAAAATAAAGTCTTCAATAAATATGGAATCATGTAAAATGACCAAACTTATGAAATATTAGCATTTCTGAGAGAAGGAGAAAAAAGAAATAACCTGGAAAACATATTTGAGGGAATAATTCAAGAAAATTTCCCTAATCTTGCTAGAGACGTAGACATCCAGATACAAGAAATCCAGAGAAGACCTGTGAGGTACTATACATAAAATGAGCAGAACCAAGGCATGTTGTCACAAGGCTGTCCAATGTCAATGCTAAGGAAAAAATTCTTAAAGGCAACTGGAGAAAGAGGTCAGATCATGTACAGAGGGAACTTCATCAAGCTAACAGTGGACTTCTCAGCGGAATCCTTACAAGCAAGGAGAGAGTGGGCACCAATTTTCAACATCCTTAAAGAAAAGAAATTCCAACTAAGAATTTCATATTCTGCCAAACTAAGCTTCACAAACAAAGGAGAAATTCAGTTATTTCCAGACAAGCAATAACTAATGAAAGTTATTATCACTAGACCAACTTTATAAGAGATCCTTAAGGGAGTTCCTTACATGGAAACATAAGAACATATCTGCTACCACAGAAACATACTTATGTACATTATCTGTAGACCCTATATAGCAACCACATCATAGAAACTATAAAGCAACCAGTTAACAACTTTATGATAGCATAAAAACTTTATATACCAATATTAAACTTTAATCTAAACAGTCTAAACTACCCATTTAAATGGCACAAAGTTGCTAGTTGGATTAAATAAAAGACCCATAATTATGCTGTGTTCAAAAGACCCATCTCATATGTAATGACACCCCTAGGCTCAAAGTAAAGGGTTAGAGAAAGAGCTGTCATGCAAATAAAAAATAAGAAAGAGCAGAGATTGCTATTCTTATATCATATAAAACACTTTAAACAACAACAGTAAAAAATGACAAAGGAAGACATTACATAGTGATGAAAGGTTCAATTCAACAAGGAGACTTAACTATCATAAATATTTACGCACTGTATTAGCCCATTCTCATGCTGCTATAAAGAACTGCCTGAGACTGGGTAATTTATAAAGGAAAGAGTTTTAATTGACTGACAGTCCAGCATGGCTGGAGAGACCTCAGGGAACTTAGAATCACGATGGAAGGCACCTCTTTCCAGGACAGCAAGAGAGGGAATGAGAGAGCCGATTAAAGGGAAAAGCCCCTTATAAAACCATCTAATCTCATGAGAACTTACTATCACGAGAACAGCATGTGAGAAACTGCTTCCATGATTCAGCTACCTCCCACTGAGTACCTCCCACTTAGTCCCTCCCACCACATGTGGGGATTATGAGAACTACAATTTAAGATGAGATTTGGGCAGAAACACAGCCAAACCATATCACACACCCAACATTGGAGCACCCAAATTCATAAAACAAGTACTTCTAGACCTAGGAAAAGACTTAGATAGGCACACGATAATAGTGGTGGACACCAACATCCCACTAACAACATGAGACAGATCATTGAAGCAGAAAATTAAGAAAGAAATTCTGGACTTAAATTCAACACCTGACCAACTGAACCTATTATAGTAGATATCTACAGAATACTCTGCCCATCACCCATGGGATATACATTCTTATCATCTGCAGCAGAACATGCTCTAAGATTTACCACATGCTTGGCAATATAGCAAGTCCCAATAAATTCAACAGAATAGAAATCATAAGAATCATGCTCTTGGACCACAATGGAATGAAAACAGAAATCAACACCAAAAAGATCTCTCAAAACCACACAATTACATGAAAATTTAAAAACTTGCTCCTGAGTGACTTTTCGGTAAAGAGAAAAATTGAGGCAAAAATCAAAATATTCTTTGAAATAAATAAAACAGAGACATAACATACCAAAATCTCTGGGATGCACCAAAAGCAGTATTAAGAGGAAGGCTTTTAGTGCTAAAACTGACCTCAAAAAGTTAAAAAGATCTTAAATTTAACAATCTCACATCACACCTAGAGGAACTAGAAAAACAAGAACAAACTAACCCCAAAGCTAGCGGAAGAAAAGAGATTACTAAAATCAGAGCAGAACTGAACAGAATTGAAACCCCAAAACTCATAAAAGGAATCAACACAACAAAAAGTTGGTTGGTTGAAAGGATAAACAAGAGCGATAGACCAATAGGTAAATTAAGAAACAAAAAAACAGAGAAAAGTCAAATAAGCACAATCAGAAATGACAAAGCTGACATTATATCTTATCCCACAGAAATACAAAAGATCCTCAAAGACTATTATGAACAACTTTATGCATACAAACTAGAATGTCTAGAGGAAATGGATATGTTCCTGGAATCAGACAACCTCCCAAGACTGAATGAGGAAGAAATTGAAATCCTGAACAGATCAATGTTGAGTTATGAAATTGAATTAGTAATAAAAGACCTACCAACTGAGAAAAACCCAAGACCCGATGGATTCACACCAAATCCTACCAGACATACAAAGAAAAGCTTCTACCAATTCTACTGAAAGTATTCCAAAAAATTGAGGGCGAGGGACTCCTCCTTAAATCGTTCTATAAAGCCAGCATCACCCTGATACCAAAACCTGACAAAGACACAACAAAAAAAAGAAAACTGCAGGGCAATATCCCTGATGAACATAGACACAGAAATTCTCAACAAAATACGAGCAAACTGATTCCAGCAGCACATCAAAAAGTTAATTTACCACAATCAAGTGGGCTTCATTCCTAAGATGCAAGGTTATTTCTACATATGCAAATCAATATATGTGATCCACCACATAAACAGAATTAAAGGCAAAAACTAGATGAACATCTTTAAAGATGCAAAAAAAAAAAATAGCCTTCAAGAAAATCCAATATCCTTCATGATAAAAACCCTCAACAAATGAGGCATCAAAGGAACATGCATCAGAATAGTAAGAACCATCTACGACAAACTCACAGCCAACATCATACTGAACAGGCAAAAGCTGGAAGCATTCCCCTTGAGAACTGGAACAAGACAAGGATGCCCACTGTTACCACTCCTATTCAACACAGTACTGGAAGTCCTACCCAGAGCAATTAAGCAGGAGAAATAAATAAAAGGCATCTAAACAGGAAAGAAGCCAATCTTTCTCCCTTTGCTGAAAATAAGATTCTATACCTAGAAAACCCTAAATACACTCACAAAAAGTTCCTGGAACTGATAAACGACCTTGGTAAACTTCAGTATACAAAATCAATGTACAAAAATCAATAGCATTTCTGTACAACAGTAATGTTCAAGCTTAGATCCAAATCAAGAATACAATCCCATTTCCAATAGCCACAAAAACAATAAAATACTTAAGGAATACAACTAACCAAGGAGGTGAAAGATCTCTCCAAGAAGAACTACAAAACACTGCTGAGAGAAATCATAGACGTCATATTCTTTAATTTTTTACACAATAACTTGAGTAAGAACAAAATAAAAGTATTTTTCCTACACTTTGTAATATGATAGTCCTGTAATTTATGTAAAAGAATATTTTTGATGCTTACTGCATCATGGTTTGGTTTTAATGTCTACCATGTGTTTGCTTGTTTGGCGTTCTCCTCACTGGTGTGTAAGCTTCATGAAAAAAGACTTTTCTTTGACACACTTATTCCTAGCACCCGAAAAATGTCTTAAGAAATATTTGCTAAATGAATGAGTGAATGAATGGAACGTTTTTCATTATCAAATTTTTGCTGACACATTTTTAGTGAGGAGAGCTTATTTCTGTGCATAGAAGCATTTGTATAATACAGGTGTCCAGGACTCCCTGCACATACCAAAATCTGCACATAGTCAAGTCCCACAGTTAGCCCTGAAGAGCCTGTGGATATGAAAAGTTGACCCTCTGTATATGTGAGTTTCATATACCAAGGATACCATGTTTTCCATCTACATTTGGTTGAAGAAAAGTCCACATATAAAGGGACTCATGTTGATCAAAGTCAGACTCATGCTGATCAAGGGACAATGGTACTTCTCTAACACTTGTTTTCTGTAAGACAGTCATTGCAAAAATTGTATCTCCCTTTCCTTAATTGTCATCTCTGCCTCATTATACAAGACATTGACGTTGCATACAGATTTTTTAGGGGGGTTACACAATGTCATAAAAGCTTTTTGATAGATGGGAGACATTTAAAAGTCAGAAAATTTAACTGAAAATCCAGATTACTGACTTCTGTTGAATAATCTGATATTCAACACAGGACCTACAATCGTGCATGAGAGCCATCAGCTGTATCTGAAGAGCTTCTCTTCCTATAGAATGGGTATATAATTCTAGCTTGCTTACCTCACATATGTCACCTGCTTGTCCCTTGTGGCCAATTGACTTTTTGACCCCTTCTGTACATCATTTTTGGAAGTTGTAGTTTTTGTTTTTATTTGAGTTGCATTTCTATCAAAATGCATGTAGAAATAAGTATTTCTTATGTAGAAATAAGAAGAAATAAGTATTCTCATGTGGAAATACGTATGAATAACAAGCAATCAGGGTCGTGTGACTACTGATTGAAAACACAAATGAGTCCCTGTTAGTGTATTCCTATTAAGTCCAAGGGATCTCTGGGAAGGCACTTAGCATAAATTTAAGTTAATATTATGTAAAGTCGTATCATAGCCCTTCCACCTTGGAAAAACTTGAATCTTCATTTTTACCTACAGTATTGGAGTCATAATATGATAAGAGGTAAATAGAAAGAAGATATTTTTAAATGTATTTATTACGGTATGGAATGAGACTTCTGAATCATCTGCATTTTTATGCTTTACATTTGAGTGATGCATCCATTTTGCATCACATGTGTGTGAAAGTTCTGAAACATATTTCAATTACAGATTTGCTGTATTTTTTAATTCAGTTAATTTAGTGGTAAGAGAGCTGTTATATAGACCTCATCAATAATTACACAGAAGGGTCTGTTAGACTAACAGATGCTCTAACAGTATAAACAAAATGTTTTGTTTAGAGTTCTGTTTAACTTTACATATTTAATTTTAATAATATTTTAGTTGAGTTATCATAGTTTATAGCACTGCAAATTTAGTTTTAAACACACACAGCATGAAATTTTTATAGTTATAAAATGTATAAGATTTTAGGGCACAGTTATCCATGAATTGATTAGCTGGGGGACAAAAAAATTCCTGCAGTTGGAGCACAATCTAAAATATCAGATAAATATAAAGGCAAATTAGATGTTGAATGATCTAATTTTATAAAGCTGTATCTATATCAGTGACACAAAATTGTTAGAACCCCAGTCATTGTGACAATACATTTTATTTTAAAGGAACTTTCTTTCCAAATTGTAAAGCTTATTGTTTCAAAATAATAATAATTTATTTTATTTGTGTAGCTATTTAAAGTTTTCAAGCCACTTACATCTGGGTTACTGCCTTCTATCAGCATTAAAGAAAAGGTCATTCTCTCAACCTAGTTATATCTCAGATTTGTTTTTTAGTACTCTATGCCATTCTGCATGAAAAACCCATACCATCTTTGGACACTAATTAGAACTAATAGGCCATTTGCTTGAAAATTCTCTGAAGCAAAAGTTTACAAACTATGTCCTGTGGGCTATATTTAGTCCTAAACATTTTATCTTTCATTAACACATTATTTTAAAATTTATTTGAAACATTTGTTGATACTTTAAGATTTAGACATTTCTCAACTTATTGGATTTCTGTCTTCTTTCAAAATAATGTGAAGATCACTACAAGGTCTGCCAACCCCCATAGAAATAATCAGCCAGAACAAAGAATGGTTCCTTACCCCCAGGAGTACTCTACAGTTAGCTTCACTCTTACAGAGCCAGTTCTGTCACTTATATTCCCTGGGTTAGACCTTCTTGTGTTGTCCTTTTGAGTAGCTTTTAAACTTGGTGCACGTGATAAACATGTGAGGTTAAAAAGTGTTGATTCCCTTTATACATCATGACCAATTAAATCATATACTCTGAGGAAGCAGCCTGGGGATGGGTCTTATGTTTCCCAGGTGATTCTAATGTGCATCCAGGTTTAAGAACCACAATTCTAAAGGCTTCTTCCCATGTTCTAATTCACTGGTACTCAAAGTGTGGTTGCTCTCAGCATCTGTACCTCTTAGGATATTGTTAAAAATGCAAATCCCATGGCCCATTCCAGATCTACAGAATCAAACTCTCTGGAGGGGAGGCCTAGGAAACTGTTTAAAAACCTTTCTAGGGAAATACTTCTCTAATTCACTACAGCCATGTATAATTAAGGAAGAATTGCCTGTAAAAGAATCTCATCTCTGACCTTTCCTCTACTCTTCACAATCTTTCCTCAGTGACATTTGCTGCTCTCTGATATTCTGCTATCTCTCAACGTAAGGCCCAACCTAAGTTTGTTTTCTACTCTAGTTCTATACAGTCCCATTTAACCTTTACCACTTCTGACCTTAGGCCATTGAAGGGCCACTTTCTACAAAGTTGTCATAGGAAAAAAACAGTCTGATATTAATTTCATGATTATGATTTCCACCTAGGTTATACTTGCAGAGGGTTTGAATCTTCAAAGAGGAGTTGTTAATATAGCTAAATCTCAAATTTCAAGAATTTCAGCTATTTCAGCAAAAGTTTGTTGGGGTTAGGCAGGAGGTACAACTCATTTTCCCTTCAAGACTAATTGTCTAGTACCTTACTTGACTCTATATTATAAATTTGCACTCAAACACAACTGAAATTTCCTGGACATCAAGACTTCCTAGTCCTGATTCTCTATGCTTTGGGGCCATATTTTTCTTCTTCTTGGGCCATTTTCTCTGAGCCTTATTGTACGTATCTATAAAGTAAGAAGATTAGGCAGAAAGTATGTTTCTCTCCCTTTTTTAAAGAACAACTTCTCTTTTTAAAAATCACATATGAAATTTCATTAAACAAAACATCTGAAAGAAATATTAAGAAACCTAATACGAGGACACAGAGCACCATTAGTTCACTGGTATCCCTCCTTCTGACAAACAGGTAGGGGAAAAAAGAAACAGGAAAAAAAAAGATTATTATTTTTAGAGAATAGATCCCTTGAATTACTTTCTACATATATATAGAATTGATAAAATTTAACTGTGTGTATATTTTCATAAACCCTTTGTGTTTTAGCAGCTAGAGCAATTAGATTAATAGTATAGGAACAACAATATGTGTAATTGAAACAGGTATAATTTTTTTCTAACATATTAAAAGATAGCATTTACTGAAACCATAGTATTGCAGGAACAGTGCTACATGCTTAAAGTGGATTGTTAAAAATTATAAAAACACTGCAATGTAGTTATTACTACCTGAATTACATAATTTTCCTGAGGTCATACAACTTCCAAAAGGCAAAGCCAGTCTCCCAACCAATGTTCATCTTGGTGCAAAGACTATGTTTCATCTATTGCTCCATGATATTGCTCATCAGTAAACACAAAATGCTTCTGGCAAACATTTCAAGATTATTTTGTGTGGTGTTTCTAGTTCCGGGAGGAATTTGGAGTGTGTCTTACTGCTATTGGGATATAGTATACTAAAATAGGCAAGACTACCCATTGGAGTCAGACCACTCTCTGTACTTCCATTTTTTTACTTGCAAAACAGGGGTACAATCCTTTACTTACACCATCGTTCGAAGAAGAAAATACATTTGTAAGTAAAAGGAATACATGGCATACTTAAAAATGTGTTTAAGAATATTGGTTCTTAAAGATGTAAGTCTGTATATTTTCCACTGGCCTGGTACCTTAAGAATATGTAACAATTATGCATTTTATTGGAATTTCAAAGTTTTTAAATGTGGAGAGGTTTAATACAAATATTATATGCCTAATAGAATTACAGAAGCCTTGTTAACTTCACAAAATTATTTCCAGAACTGACACAGATATAACCTAAAATAAGAAGAGGGTGTTTCTTTGTTTTCAGTTATTTGTTGGGTAGTCCATATGACTTAAATGAGAAATAATTTATAAAAAATAATGAAATACTTGTCAAATATAAAAAGATTAATTAATACTGATGTTATTTAATGGTACATCTCTATGAATAAATTTACCCTAAAAGTGGAGCTCAGTGTTTGTGTCTCTGTGTCCTTCAGTTTTCACATTAATTCTTCCCACAGACTGAGCATGCAAGCTCAAAAATGTATCTTTCCGTGTGTTTGAAGAAAACAGGACTAAATATAAACAAGTATATTAGTATTTGAATAACAAATACTCTATGAAAACTTTTTAATAGTCTTTATTATTCTTAATTGAATTTATAATTTTTCAGAGAGATTATGGTGGTTGTACAATTTTATATGTTCCCTCTGTGGCTATAATATACTTGAAAATATCTGTGTTCTACTCTCAAAGCACACGATTGAGTGTCACTCTTCAAAGGATTACTTCTTCAAGAATAAATGTGAAGGAATATTGTCCAAATACAAAAAACAAACAGCATCATTTAAAAATGTAATAGTGATGGACTTGACATTTATTTATCTAATTTAATATTTGTTCATACAAAAGAAAACAAATTAAATTTATTTAATAAAATAAATCATTAGCGTATTCATAATAAAATTCTATGTAACTTAAAATCATAACGTTTTAAAGCTTACAGATTGACGATGATATCCTAATTTCAAGTTTTCCCTTTCTACTGAAAATTTTACAATAGGAAGCCCTTTTATTAAAAGAATTCTCCTGGCACCTGTTGGGCTCCTAGAAACATTAAAGCTATTGCTAACCACATAATCAAGCAGATTAGCATATTTGTAAGAGATGCTGTGTGAAAAAATGTACATTGACAACACCAAATGCTGGCAAGGATGCAGAACAACAGTAACTTTTATTTTTTGCTTGTGCATATGCAAAATATTACCACCAAATATTAGTCAATGTTCTCCAGAGAAGCAGCAGAACTATTTTATATATACATATAATATTTTATATATATATATATATATATATAGTAGTTATCATGGGACCTCTCAGTTTTTATAATTGCTTGAACCAATTCCTAATAATCTCTCTCTGTCTTTCTGTGTGTGTGTGTAAACATTTTGTAATGTTTTGCACAGCACCTCTTACAAATATGCTAATCTGCTTGATTATGTGGTTAGCAATAGCTTTAATGTTTATAGGAGCCCAACAAGAGCCAGGAAAATTCTTGCAATAAGAGGGCTTCCTATTATTGCAAAATTCTCAGTAGAAAGGGAAAATTTGAATTTAGGATATCATTATCAATCTATAGTATAAAATGTTATAGATTGATGATTATATCCTATGTATTATATATATACATAATGTGTATACATATATACATTTTGTGTGTGTGTGTGCGTATATATATATCTACACACATTTTATATGTGTATATATATATACATTTTGTGTATGTTCACACACAGAGAGAGAGAAAGAGTGAGACAGAGGGGACAGAGAGAGAGGAGAGAGAGATTATGAGGAATTGGCTCATGCAATTATAAAATCTGAGAAGTCCCGTGATCTGCCATCTGCCATCTGGAGACCCAGGAAAGCCAGTGGTGTAACTGAGTTCATGTCTGAAAGTCTGAGAACCAGAGGAGCTGATGGTGTAACTCCCATCATGAGAAGAGATGTCCCAGCTCAAGCAGGCAGGAAAGAATCAAAAAGGGCAAATTATTCTTTCTTCTGCCTTTTGTTATATCCAGGCTCTCAATCGATTGAAAGACACTCCTCTCCCCACCATATTAGGGAGGACAATCTACTTTACTATGTAGACTAACTTAAACGTTTATCTCATCAAGACACACCCTCACAGACACTCAGAGATAATGTTTAATCTGGGCACCTCATGGCCAGTCAAGTTGACACATAAAATTAACCATCACATCATTTTGGCCGTTTCTTACAAAACTAAACATAATTTTTCCACATGACCCAACAATCGTGCTTCTTTGTATTTACTCAATGGACATGAACATTTATGTTCACACAAAAACTTACAAATAAATGTTTATAGAAACTTTATTCATAATTGCCAAAACTGGGAAGCAGCCAAAGTGTCCTTTAGTGGGTGACTGGATAAATAAGTGTAGTACATAAAGAAAATAGAATATTTTTCAGCGCTAAAAGGAAATGAGGTATCAAGCTATGAAACGACGTAAAAGAAATGTACAGACATGTTACAAGGTGAAAGAAACCAATCTGAAAGGCTACACGCTGTATAATTCAGCTACAGTATATGACTTTCTGGAAAGCAAAACTATGGAGACAGTAAAAGGATCAGTGGTTGCCAGGGGCCAAAGGGGAGGGAGAGATGAACAGGCAGAACATAGAAAATCTTTAGAAAAGTGAAACTCTTCTGTGTGATACTACAATGGTAGATGTATGTCATTATGTAGTTGCCAAAACCACAGAATGTGCAATACTCTAATTTACAAGAGTTTACAGGAGTGAACCCTAATGTAAACTATGGTATTTGGGTGATGATGATGTGTCAATGTGGGTTCACAGATTATAACAAATGTACCACTCTGATATGTGGTGTTGATCTTGGGGGAGGACATGTATGTGTGAGGTGGGGTGGGCAATGGCTAATTTTGTGTGTCAATTTGACTGGACTAAATAATGCCCATATAGCTGGTAAACATTATTTCTGAGTGTGTCTCTGAGGCTGGGTTTCCAGAAGAAATTAACACTTGATAGGTAGACTGAGTAAAGAAGAGTGCTCTCACCCATTCGGTTGGGCATCGTCCAATCCATTTAGGGCCTAAATAGAACAAAAAGGCAGAGGAAGAGCAAATTTGCTCTTTTCTTGAACTAAGGAATTCATTTTCTCCTGCCCTTGGTCATTGGTGTACCTGATTCTTGGACCTCTAGAATCAGACTGGGACTTACACCACCAGCTCCCCGGGTTCTCAGGCCTTCAGGTCTGGACTGGAACTACACTACTGGCTTTCCTGGGCCTCCAGCTTGCAAATGGAAATTGTGGGACTTCTCAGCCTCCATAATCACGAGTCAATCCTTTATATTAAATCTCTTTATATGTATATATTTATACACACACACACACATACACACTACTGGCTCTGGAGAAACTTCACTAGTATAGGTTTTGGTACTGAAAGTGGTTGTAGAGAAGCACAATTTTAAGTATGAAATTTCTGTTGATTCTGAGGTTTCTGGAATTGGCTCTGTAATCTCATTAGATTTAAAGATGCTAATGGCTGTTTCCAGTAGTGAAGAAAGCACATACCTTTCACTAATACTGTGAAACATAAATTTGTGAAGGGATCTCCAGCATTCTTGAAGAGCTCTGTGATTGCTCTTCTCTGTAGGCCAGACCCCATACAGAAAACAGCAGTCACTGAATTGGGAAATCTAAATGCAATGGGAGAAATTGGATTCTAGGGTGCCAAGGACCACGGGGCAGCATTCATCCACCAATGGCAAGACAGGCACGGCTGCCTTTGTGGACAGCAAAGTCAAAGCTGACATCAGGACTGCATGACTCACACAGACCTATGGTGCTGGCTGGTTAACCCTAATGTTCCTAAAAGTGAAACAGATAGGAAGCCTATTGAATTCTTATTTGATATGTATAAGCAGGTAAGTTCTGGGTCCAGTTAACAAAAGCCTACCTCAGATTATAAAACCAGCCATTAATGGCCCCTCCGTCAATCCCCAGATCTGAACCAGTTTGCAAACCAGAACCCCTCAAATCGAAAAGAGGCTGGGTTCTCTTGAGGAAACACCTTGGTACACTGCCACAAATTTATACTGTTAATCTTTCTTCTGGCCTTACACCAAAGACATCTTTTTACCATAGTGACTGTACACTGAGGAGAGGAAATCATCAGACCTTTCAGGGACTACTTGACACTATCTCTGAACTGACACTAATTTCAGTAGACCCAAAACATCACCATAGCCAGTCAGAGAAGGGACGTACAGAGATCATGTGATCAATGGAGTTTTACTTCGAGTCCATTTCCCAGTGGGTCCTGTGGGTCTCTGAACTGATCCTGTGGTTATTTCCCCAGTACCAGATGCAAAAATAGAATAAACATAGCAGCTGGCAGAGTCTCCACATTGGAGCCCTGATCTCTGGAGTGAAGGCCGTTGTGGTGGGAAAGGCCAAGTGGAAGCCGTCAGAACTTCCATGACTTAGGAAAATAGTAAATCAAAAGCAATACCACATTCCTGGAGAGACTGCAGAGATAGGGCCATCAGCAAAGACTTGAAAGATGCACAGGTAGTTATTCCTACTACATCCCCAATATATTTTCCTTTTAAAAAAGGCATACTGCAGAAAATTTATGGATCCTGGAAAATGACAGTGGATTATCATAGCCTTAACCAGGTGGTGACTCCAATTCCAACTGCTGTACCAGATGGGATTTCATTGCTTGGGCAAATTAAAACATCCCCTGGTGCCTGGTTTACAGCTATTAATCTGGCAAATGCTTTGTTCTCCATCTCCGCACCTAAGACCTACCAGAAGTAGTTTGTTTTAAGCTGGCAAGGCTAGTAATATACATTCACTGTCATACCTCAGGGGTATATCAACTTTCCAGCCTTATGTCATAATTTAGTATTCAAGCATCTTGATTGCCTTTCCTTTCCACAAGACATCACACTGGTCCATTATATTGATGGCATTGTGCTGACTGGACCTTGTGAATAAGATGTAGAAACTACTCCAGAATTACTGGTAATACACGTGCATATCAGAGGGTGGAAAATAAATTTGACTAAAACTCACAGGTCTAGAAAGTACATTTCTAGGGTTCAAGTGGGGGATATGTCAAGATATCCTTTCTAAAGTGAAGAATAAGTTGTTACAGCTGCCCCTCCTGCAAGAAAGAGGCCCAATGCCTAGTAGGCCTCTTTGGATTTTAGAGGCAACATATTCTTCAGTAGGGTGTGTTACTTCAGCACATTTACCAAGTGGCTTAAAACCTGCTAGTTTTGAGTGGGGCTCAGAACAAGAGAAGACTCTGTAGCAGGTTTAGGCTTTTGTTCAAGCTGCTTTGTCCCTTGGGCCATATGATCCAGCAGACCCGATGGTGCTTAAAGTGTCAGTAGCAGATAAGGATGCTATTCGGAGTCTTTGGTAGGCACCTATAGGTGAAGCATAGCCCATTTGGATTTTGAAGAATGGCTCTGCCCTCATCTGCAGATAACTACTCCCTTTTTGAGAAAGAGCTCATGGCTTGATAATGGGATTTAGTAGACACTGAGTTCTTGACCATGAACCACCAAGCTACTGTGCAACCTGAGCTTCCCATCATACACTGAGGGGTATCTGGCTCTAAAGCTCTAAATTTGGGAACACACAACAACAGTCCATCAGCAATTGTAAGTGGTATATACAAGATCATGCCTGAGCTGGTCTTGAACACCCAAGTAAGTTACACAAACAAGTAGACCCAAATGCCCACTTCTTTAAGAAAAGGAATTAGTCCTATTGCTGTTGCAGTGTCTTCTCTCTCCCAGACTGTACCTATGGCTTCATGGGGAGTTCCTTATAATCAGTTGACACAGGAAGAAAAGACACAGGCCTAGTTTGCAGAGACTGCAGTCAATGGTGTGGCTGGATGATCAGTGTTTTGGAAGAAACAAATCATGATTGGCAAATTAGTGACAAAGAAATTTGGGGAAGAGGCATGTAGATAGACCTCTCTGAATACTCAAAAAGCCATAAAGATATTTGTGTCCTATGTGAATGTTTACCAAAGAGTGACTGTAGCAGAGGAAGATTTTAATAATCAAGCAGAGAGAATGATTTGTTCTCTGAATACCAGACAGTCTCTTTCTCCAGCAACCCCTGTCATTGCCCAATAGGATCATGAGCAAAATGGCCATGGTGACCAGGCAGAGGTTATGCATGGGCTCAGCAACATGAATTTCCACCCATCAAGACTGACGTGGATATAGTCATTACTGACTTCGCAGAGACCAGTACTGAGCTCCCCATTTGGCACTATTATCTAGGGTGATCAGCCAGCTAATCTAGTGGCAGTTTGATTACATTGTATCACTTCTATCATTAAGGGGGCAGAGTTTTTCTTTACTAGAATAAACACTTACTCTGGATACAGAATTGCATACAATGTTTCTACCAAAACTACCCTGCATAGACTTACAGAATGCCTTATCCATCATTACGGTTGTCTACATACCATTGCTTCTGATTAAGGAATTCATTTCACAGCAAAAGAAGTACAATAATGGGCCCATATTTATGGAATTCATTGATCTTGCCATGTTTCTCACTATTCTGAAGCAACTGGCTTGATAGAATAGGGAAATAGCCTTTTGAAGTCTCATCTATAGCACCAGCTAGGTGACAATACTTTGCAAGACAGAGGCAAGGTTTTCCAGAAGGCTGTATATGGATTGAAGCAGCATTGAACATATGGTGTTGTTTCCTCCAGAGCTAAGATTTACAGATCTATAAATCAAGGGCTGGGAAATGAAAGTGGTGCCGCTAAATATTACCCCTAGTGACCCACTAGCAAAATTTTTGTTTCTTGTTCCCAAGACCTTCCCCTCTGCTGGCTTACAGGTCTAGTTTTATAAGGAGGAATGTTTCCACCAGGAGATACAATGATGTTATTGAAATGGAAGTGAAGACTGGCATTCATCCACTTTGGACCCTTTATGCCTCTGAATCATGCAGCAAAGAAGGGAGCTATAGTGTTGGCTGGGATAATTGGTCTTTAATACCAAGGGAAAACAATCTATTACTCCACAATGGAGGTAAGGACAAATACATCTGAAACACATGTAATTCTTTAGTGTCTCTTAGCATTAGCCCTGATTAAGGTCCAGTGATTAAGGTCAATGAAAAACCACAACCCAATCCACACAGTAGCATGAATGACCCAGATCCTTTAGGAATAGGAGTTTGGATCACTCTACCAGGAAAAGAAATACTAGATGAGGTTATTGCTAAAGGCAAAGGGAATACATAATGCGTAATAAAATAATATCAACTATGACTATGTTACCAGTTACAGAGACATGGTTTGTAATTATGAGTAGTTCCTTTTTATTTTGTTGTGAATACATGTGTGTGTATACATACATATTAAACAAATATCTTTGCTCTCTTTCCTCTTTTTTCTCTTATGTTATGTACATAACATATATTGACTTTATGTCATTATCTAAGTATTATTGATTTAACATAAAAGTATTTAAAAAATATGAGAAGAGTAAACAGCACTCAAGGACTTTACCATTTCTTCTTAGAAAGGGACTAGTTCAATTTTAGCTGCATGTGGAATACAGTTGTATCATGTTAGGTGATACAACTTGTGACCTTGTTATTGTCTTTACTGAGGATCAAGTATGGTTTAAGGAGATATATGTCTGGGTGCCTAGTTGACAAGTTGGTTGACAAGTTGACAAGTTGTGGAATTGGAATGGATAGTTGTATGTGTCAACTTGATTGGGCTAAGGAATGCCCAGATAGCCATTCAACATTGTTTCTGTAATGGTATGCTTCCAGAAGAGACTCACATTTGATTGGCAGACTGAGTAAGAAGGTTGTTCTCACCAATGCAGGTGGTATCATTATTGATATGGTTTGGATTTGTGTCCCCACCCAAATCTCATGTTGAATTCGAGGAGGCATCTGGTGGAAGATAACTGGATCATGAGGACAGTTTTCCTCCTTGCTAGTCTCATGATAGTGAATGAGTTCTCATGATATCTCATAGCTTAAAAGTGTGTGACACTTCCCCCTTCACTCTCTCCCTCTCTCCTACCATCATGTGAAGAAGGTGCCTGCTTCCTCTTCATTTTCTACCACAATTGTAAGTTTTCTGAGGCCTCCAAGTCATGCTTCCTGTTAAGCCTGTGGAACTGTGAGTCAATTAAACCTCTTTTCTTCATAAATTACTCAATCTCAGGTGTTTTTTGTAGCTGTATGAGAATGGACTAATACAGAAAATTGGCACCAAGAGTGGGGTACTGCTATAAAGATATCTGAAAATGTGGAAGTGACTTTGCAGCTGGATAACTTGCAGAGGTTAGAACAGTTTGGAGCGCTCAGAAGAAGACAGGAAGATGTGGGAGTTTTGAACTTCTTAGAGGCTTGTGGAATAGTTTTGACCAAAATGCTGAGAGAGATACGTAAAATGAAGTCCAGACTGAGGTGATCTCAGATGGGGATGAGAAACTTACTGGGAACAGAGTAAAGGTCACACTTGCTATACTTTAGCAAAGTGACTGGCAGCTTTTTGCCCCTAGCGCAGAGATCTCTGAAACTTTAAGCTTGAGAGAGATGATTTAGGGTATCTGGCTGAACAAATTTCTAAGCAGCAAAGCATTCAAGATTTGACTTGGCTGTTTCTCAGAGCATACATTCATTTGCATGAACAAAGAGATTATCTGAAAATGAAACATATTTATAAGGGAAGCAGAGCATAAAAGTTAGGAAAATTTGCATTCCAGCCATGCAGTAGAAAAGAAAAACCCATTTTCTGGGAGAAACTCAAGCCTACTGCAGAAATCTGCATAAGTAAAAAATAAAAGTGGAATGTTAATACGCAAGACAACGGGAAAAATGTCTCCAGAGCATTTCAGAGAACTTCCTGGCAGCTCCTCAAACCACAGGCCCAGAGGCCTAGGAGAAAAAAATGATTCTGTGGGCCAGATCCAGGGCCCCCTGCTCTATTCAGTCATGGGACATGGCAGCTTGCATCCCAGCTGCTCCAGCTCCAGCTGTGGCTAGAAGGGGCCAAGGTACAACTTGGGCCATGGCTTCAGAGGGTTTAAGCCCCAAGCTTTAGCAGTTTCCATGTGTTTATGGGCCTGCCAGTGTGCAGAAGGCAAGGACTGAGGTTTTGAAGCCTCTGCCTAAATTTCAGAGGATGCGTGGAAATGTCTTGGTGTCCAGGCAAAAGTCTGCTACAGGGGAGGAGCCCTCATGGAGAAACTCTACTAGGGCAGTGCAAAGGGAAAATGTGGTGTTGGAGCTCCCACACAGAATTCCAACTGGGGCACTGCCTAGTGGAACTGTGAGAAGTGGGCCACCATCCTCCAGACCCCAGAATGGTAGATTCATTGACAGCTTGCCATGGTGTAGCTGGGTAAGCCACAGGCACTCAATGCCAGCTTGTGAAAGCAGCCGTGGGAGCTGTGCCCTGCAGAGCCACAGGGGATGGAGCTGTCCAAGGCCTTGGTAGCCCACCTGTTGCATCAGCATGCCCTAGATTTGAGAAATAGAGTCAAAGGAGATTTTTTTGGAGCTTTAGGCTGCAATGTCTGCCCTGCTGGATTTTTGACTTGCATGGGACCTGTAGGCCCTTTGTTTAGGCCAATTTCTCCCTTTTGGAATGGGAGCATTTACCTAACCCCTGTGCTTCCATTGCACCTTGGAATTAACTAACTTGTTTTTGATTTCACAGGTTTATGGGTGGAAGGCACTTACCTTGTCTCAGATATGACTTCGGAATGTGGACTTTTAAGTTAATGCTGAAATCAGTTAAAACTGGGGAACTGTTGAGAAAAGTTAATTGTATTTTGCAATGTGAGAAGGACAAAGGATTTGGGAGGAGCCAGGGACAGAATGATACCATTTGGATTTGTGTCCCTGCTCAAATCTTATTTCAAATTGAAGGAGGTGCCTGATGAGAAGTTATTGGATTATGGGTGCAGTTTTCCCCCTTGCTATTCTCATAATAGTGAATGAGTTCTCATGAGATATGATGGTTTAAAAGTGTGTGGCACTTATCCATGATTTTAAGTTTCCTGAGGCCTCCCAGTCATACTTCCTATTAAGCTTGCAGAACTGTGAGTCAGTGAAACCTGTTTTTTTCATAAATCTTCTAGTCTAAGGTAGCTCACTTTTTTTTTTTTTTTTTTTTGAGATGGAGTCTTGCTCTGTCTCCCAGGCTAGAGTGCAATGGCACAATCTCGGCTCATTGTAACCTCCACCTCCCAGGTTCAAGCAATTCTCCTGCCTCAGCCTCCTGAGTAGCCAGGATTACAGGCATGCACCATCATGCCCCACTAATTTTTGTATTTTTAGTAGAGATGGGGTTTCACCATGTTGGCCAGGCTGGTCGCGAATGCCTGACCTTGGTTGATCCACCCTCCTTGTCCTCCCAAAGTTCTGGGATTACAAGTGTGAGCCACCACACCCTGCCTAAGGTAGATCTTTATAGCTGTGTGAGAATGGACTAATACAATCATCCGATTTGTTGAGGCCCTGAGTAGAATGAAAAGAAAGAGGAAAAATAAATTTAATCTTTTCTAAAGCTGCAACATTCATTTTCTCCTGCCTCTGGAAATCGGTATTTCTTGTTTTGTGCCTTAAGACTCAGATTGGAACTCCGTTCATTAGCTTCCTGGTTCTTGGGCCTTCAGGTTTGGTTTGGAACTACACCACTGGTTTACCTGGGCTTTCAGCTTGCAGACAGCAATTGTGAATCTTCTCAGCCTCCACAGTCACATAAGCCAATCCCTCACTATACATATATATATATATATATATATATATATATATACACACACACACACACACACATGTGTGTGTGTATACACATATATATGTATATGTGTATATATATAGATAGTGTACATGTACATACACACACACACAAATGCTCCTTGACTTATAATGGGGTGATGTTTTGATAAACTCATCATAAGATAAAAAATATGTTGGTCTAAAATGCATTTAATACCCCCAATAAATCCATTGTAATGCCAAAAAATTGTAAATTGAACCATCATAAGTTGAGGACTGTCTGCATGGATGTATGCAAGTGTGTGCGTGTGTGTGTGTGTTGTATTGCTTCTCTTTCTTTGGAAAGCCTTAGTAATACAGGGGACAGAAAATATATGAGAGCTGCCTGTACCTTCTACTCAATTTTGATGTGAACCTAAAACAGTTCTGAAAAATAAAATTTATGAATTTAAAAAAATGCTGTTTGCAAAATTTTCCCAGCCACCTATCTCCATTGTTTGGTAAGAATGAAAGACTAAAGGAACTAACACAGAAATCCAGGTGCTAAAAAAATAATGCCAGTTAGCATTGAATTTGTCCCCAGGCTCTTCCTTACTACACAAATATCCTTTCCAATGGCTGGTTTAGGAAAATTCATTTATTTTCAGAAAGAATTAAAGGAAGAATAAAGGAAAAGAGGAGAAGGAGGAAGAGATATTAAAAGTAAATTCCTAGTAAAGAACTCTCCCAGGCGAATATTGTCATGAAGTAGAGGAAACTTACTACAAATTAAAATAATAATAATAACCTCTAGGGAGCAAGAGCAGAAAGCAGAACATATGTAACAGTCAAAATAACTTAGGAAAGAGACTGAAGACTGTGTAATGATTTAAACTTTAGGAGATGGAGATCTTGGGAAACGATTTTTAATATTGAAATTTCATATTTGTAGGTTAAATTAGGGAAAGCAAAAAATAGTGCTAATAACCCAATGAATGACCCAGAAAACAATTTAAAAATTGGATTTTAGAAATGAAATGAAAATAGAGTTTAGAAATGAAAGAACATGAGTAGGTATGGAAGATGCCAAAGGAGATTTCCAAATGTATAATTAGAATCCATGCTGAAAAAATGGAAACCACAGAAAAGAACAAATATTTAAAATGTAATTCAAGAAAACTGTCTTTAAAAGAAGAATTGATTATATATTGAAAGATTAATCACCATGACCCTGGGATCAATCCAGAATGATCACATGAATGTACAGCATAATAAATTTGCTGTACTTCAAAATAATCTTTTATTTTAAAGATTCTAAATATAATAATACCAAAGCAGTTATAAGAGAAAAATAGCCTGACCTCTTACTTTTCCATAGCGACATTAAAATCAAGAAGTCAGTGAAGCAATATATGCAATTTTAAAGAACAAAAAACTCATTTCTGCTTGGCCAAATCCTCATTAAAATACAAAAGCAACAAACACACTTGAGAGAAGAGAGAACTTGCAGGAACTGAGGAAACGATATTCCCATGAACTATTCTTAAGAGAGAGAATAGAGCCAACGACGAAATAACTCAAAACATGGAGTAAATTTTAGTGAACATCTGTTTACACGTAGGACTAACAAAAAGATAAATTATGGTAAGGAATATTAAAATTAAGAAAATTTGGGAGCTAAAGGAAGAAAAAAACATAGAAGTAGTGACAATATGCTGGCAAAAGTCAAAATAGAATCCACAAACCTAAGAATTAATTAATAAAAGTATAATTTTATATAAGAATGTGAAGTTAAACATTACAACACTGTGAAAGAAACTACTTAACAAGAAATGAATGGTGGGGGAGAAAAAGAAGGTAAGAAGGAAGAAATACATGAATTTTACATTGTTTCTAGTGGAAAAATGAAAGCACAAAATTATACATATATATGCATATATATGTTGTACATGAAATATTTATATAATATTTATACATATGTATGGTGTGTGTGTATATATTCTTAAGGATATAATATAAAGCTAACCATTAGAAGAAAATAAAAACTTTCTAAGTATCAGGAAAAAACAAAGTAAAACATAGTGACCACACATTGAACAATATCTAAAAATTTATTTACAAAAACAAGTCTTTTAACTCTGTAGGGCATTTTTTAAATATGCTCTAAACTCCCTAAACTCTATGCTTTATGGAAGAAAAATATGTAAATCACAGGGCCTAGAAATGAAAGACGGCCAAAGAATACTAGGATATAAAAGCAAAAACAAAAAAAAATGATTTGTTAGAATCCTAATTGAGTTTAAAATTATGCAAGTAACCATTGAGTAAAACAAAAAAAAAAACAGATTTAAAATACTGAATGGTACAATTAATTATGAAGATACAGCAGTTATTAAGACTTAGATGCCAGGTAGTTTAGCATCAACCTTTGCAAAATAAAAACTATATGAGATTCAAATAGAAACCGTCAGAAATACACATCCATAGACAAAGACTCAAGCCAGCCAGCACATGACAAATCAAGTGAGCAAAAATCAGTATGATTATGAAGAATAATTCAATCAATATTGCCTTGGTTTCACTACAATACCAGTTTTCTCAATCCCATTGACTTAAAACAGTAGCTATTTATTCTTGTGTTCAACACATGTTCGTCAAGAGTTGGAAGGGGCCTCTACTCAGCGTAATCACTCAGGGACCCAGAATGGCAGATCAGCCATGGTCTCTAACATTGCCAGTCACTGTAACTAATAGGAAAAAAAGCACCCTGGAGAAACTCATATTAGCAATTAAATAACACATATCATTTTGGCTTACAATTCATTACACTGCACCCACTCAATCACAAAGCCAGGAGAGAAATATGTAATTCTACCCTAGGTCCAGAGGTGGGGCAAGCCAGAACTATTTTGTAAACAAAAATAAAAATTAGAATATAATTAGTAAGATGTTTTGAGTAATAGATACAGATACGCTGTACATATAAATTGATTGATCTTGATTGGGCCATAAAATAAGTATTAAAAATTACTAATGGCCGGGCGCGGTGGGTGGCTCACGCCTGTAATCCCAGCACTTTGGGAGGCCGAGGCGGGTGGATCATGAGGTCAGGAGATCGAGACCATCCTGGCTAACAAGGTGAAACCCCGTCTCTACTAAAAATACAAAAAATTAGCCGGGCGCGGTGGCGGGCGCCTGTAGTCCCAGCTACTCGGGAGGCTGAGGCAGGAGAATGGCGTGAACCCGGGAAGCGGAGCTTGCAGTGAGCCGAGATCGCGCCACTGCAGTCCGCAGTCCGGCCTGGGCGACAGAGCGAGACTCCGTCTCAAAAAAAAAAAAAAAAAAAAAGTTACTAATGACATTATGTGATCACAATCGAGATATTAGAAAATTTCAAAGACTAGAAAATGTTTTAAGGCACTACTTCCAGAAATTTTATTTTTTAATTTAAACTACTTATGTAAAAAATAGCTATGATTGGCCAGGCGTGGTGGATCACGCCTGTAATCCCAGCACTTTGGGTGGCCGAGGCGGGCGGATCACAAGGTCAGGAGATCGAGACCATCCTGGCTAACACGGTGAAACCCCATCTCTACTAAAAATACAAAAAATTAGCTGGGCGTGGTGGCGGGCGCCTGTGGTCCCAGCTACTCGGGAGGCTGAGGCAGGAGAATGGCGTTAACCTGCGAGGCGGAGCTTGCAGTGAGCCGAGATTGCACCACTGCACTCCAGCCTGGGCGACAGAGCAAGACTGTCTCAAAAAAAAAAAAAAAATAGCTATGATTAAAACTCATGGACTGGACATAAGGCAGTGCTCAGTTAAAATTCAGTGTTAAACATTTGCTATTAATTATTAAAAATAAGAGTAAGTTGTATAAACATTTAACTTAAAAAGAAAAAAATGCAGAGATACAATTTAATAATAAAAAACTACTGAAGTGGCAAAAAAAAGTTGAAGTAACAATCTAAAAGGTGATTCTTTAAAAATTGTTTTTCAACTATACTTGACCTTATCAAGTAACCAATCAGAGAGTGAGGGGTGGTGAGAGGGAGAAAGAGATAATAAGAAATACTAAAACAGGAAATAACTATAGAAACCGAGAAAATTAAAAGAGTGTAGAAGGAAATTATTAACTCTATACATATAAATTTGAAAATCTATATAAAACTACTTTCTTTCTTGCAATTCAAAATGCACCAAACAGACTCAAGAAATAGTGAAAGATCTAAACAAACCAATTAACCTAAGAAGCGGCAGTGGTAAAAAGAGGAAATAGTTTTTAAATAACAAATCACAAATCAACAGCTCCAGATAGTTTCACCACATAATTTTACTAAATCATCAAATAAAAGGTAATCGCAATGTTTTAAACTGTTTCAGATAATAGAAACAGAAGACTTTCTCCTAAAACATTCTTATGTATTAAATGCAATATATTACTGAAGGTCAGAAAAAATTATAAAAATCAGATATGCTAACTAATATCACTCATGGAAATCAATAAAAATTTAAACAAAATAAAATATTGACAAAGAGATTTCAGAGCACATTAAAATAATAATTATATTAACTGTAATTCATTGAATTACAGTTAATATAAATTAAAGTGTGAATAGATCTAACTTACAAAATATATCCATTGTTGTTAAATAATTATTTGATGAAAAGATTTTCCACATCTTTTTTATTAAACAATAGGTTCTTAAAAAAACAGAAATGGGTGGATAGTTCTTTTTAGTCTGCTAAACTTCTAAGGCCAGGAACATTCTTTAAATGAAATGGGAAAATACTAGAATTATATCCATTTTGGCATTTTTGTTTTTTTGTTTTTGTTTTTGTTTTCGTTTTTTTTAGACAGAGTCTTGCTCTGTCACCCAGACTGGAGAGCAGTGGCATGATCTCAGCTCACTGCAACCTCCGCCTCCCAGGTTCAAGCAATTCTCTTGCCTTAGCCTCCCAAGCCGCTGGGATTACAGCCATGCACCACCATGCTTGGCTAATTTTTGTATTCTTAGTAGAGATGGGGTTTCACCACATTTGCCAGGAAGGTCTTGAACTCCTGGCCTCATGTGATCTGCCTGCCTGGGCCTCCCAAAGGGCTGGGATTATAGGCATGAGCCACTATGCCTGACCCAAATTATATCTATTAAATATAAGAATAATGCAAAAATTTCCACTGAAATCACTACTGTTTAATGTTGCTCCAAATGTTCTAACCAATGCAATTAGATAAGGCAAAAAAAATAATAAGTAAACTCAGTTGCAAAGAAAGAGAAAAATTAGTTGCTTACAAATAACCTTTCTGCTACCTAGGAAACTCAAGAAAGCTAGCTTAAAAATTATCATAAACAAAAAGGTAACTCAACAGAGTTGGCTGGATACAAAATTATTGCACAGAAAATAATAAACTTCCTATATACACAATTGGTGATAGTAATAATAACATTAGTAGTGACCTCATTTATAAGAGAAAAACAATTATAAATAAAATTCTTAAGAATAAACTTTAAGAAAACTACATAAGTAGAAAGAGGAAGGAAGGAAGGAAGGAAGGAAGGAAGGAAGGAAAGAAGGAAGGAAAAAATTCTAAGAGATAAAAGAAACCTTGAACAAATTGAAAGTCATATCATGTTCCTAAACATAAAACCAAAAAATCATAAAGATGTCAATTCTCCATAATTAAATCAATACATTCAACGTGATCCTAATAAAATAATCTATGACAATTGTTTTAAAACTGCAAAAGATAATTATTCAGATAATGCAAGAATAGCCAGAAGAACGGGAGGAAGGGAGGAAGGGAGGGAGGGAGAAATGAGAGAATTTCACCTATTTATCAAAATATATTTTAAAGCTCCAATAGTTAAAATGTCTAAAGTTTAATTGCCTTAAATACTGTCATAGTTATGCTTATGATGAAGGTAATGTCAATGCAGCGGGGTAAAAGATTTTCAATTACTGATACTTGGAAAAATAAATAGCTCTATGGGTAAGGAAATTTAATTCATAGTTCATACTTACATCAAGAAGAATTCTACATGTTAAATATTTGAATGTCACAAAGGAAAATAAAAGAAACCATAATGGTACTAAAAGAATATCTACAGGAATTTAAAAATTAATCTTGGCATGTAGAAAGCCTTTCTTACTATGGCATAAATCCCGAAGTTTAAAAAAAAATTGACTAATTTTACTACAATTTTTTTAGTTTGAATTAAAAAAATCTTTATAAACAAAGCCAAAAGACAAATAGAACACTAGAAATAATTACTTACAAATCACATCACAATTAGCTAATTTATAAATATAAACAAAACACTTTTTAAAGCTTATCAGAAAAATACAATGAAACATTAGAAAAATAATAATTTTTCTAATAATAAACAATTTGCTTAATGGAAAACATAATGAAATGATCTAAACATTGAAAAGAGAGTCTCACTCAAAATAAGATAGACACAAATTAAAACTCTGGCCAGTTTTCACCTGATTGTCAAAGAACAAAAAGTTTGATCTGTGGCAGCAAATACTTAAAGAATCAGATAATCTCCTTCTATGTGATAACTGGGTTAATTGGAATATCAACCCTAAGGAAATTTAACAAAAAGCACCCATATTATAAATGCAGTTATCATTTTCTGCTTAGATTCTACATCTATAAATTATCTCATAATTATGTTTGCATTCCTCTGAGATGATATATGCTGGGCTGATATTGAATAGTAGATTTAGTTACAGCCAAACTTTCATTTACAGCTGACATCTGCTTGATTGGTCTGTTCTCTGTCTGTCCTCATTGGTTTCTACCCATGCCATACTGGCAGTTGTTAAATATTTTGAGTATTATCCCTGATATTACTTATTGCTGAGTATTGTATATAGAAGCTAGAGAATGGAAATGACATTATTTCATTATTTATTATTAGAAAAATGGAAAATAAAACCCCATTGAAATGCCACTACACATCTAACAGAATAGAGAAAGAAAAAGAAAGAAGAAAAGAAAAGAAAGAAGAAAGAATGAAAGAAAGAAAGAGAAAGAAAACTTCCAAGTTCTGAAGAGATACAGAACAACTAGAACTCTCATAGATTGCTGTAATATGAAACAGCTGCTTTGGAAAACAGCTTGGCACCTCATAGTTTCTTACAAAATTAAACACACACTTACCATACAAAGCAGGCATGCCAGTCCAAGAGAAATTACTCTTATGTTCACACAAAATCTGCATGCAAATGTTGATTGTGACATTATTCATAATTGCCCAAAGAGGGAGCATCTCAAAGGCCTTTCAACTGATGAATGAACTGTGGTACATCTAAGCAATGGAATATTATTAAATTAAAAATCTATGTATATACACATAATATATATTTTAGGCCGGGCGCAGTAGCTCACGCCTGTAATCCCAGCACTTTGGGAGGCTGAGGCGGGTGGATCACGAGGTCAGGAGATCGAGACCATCCTGGCTAACACGGTGAAACCCCGTCTCTACTAAAAATACAAAAAATTAGCCTGGTGTGATGGCGGGCGCATGTAGTCCCAGCTACTCGGGAGGCTGAGGTGGAGAACGACGTGAACGCGGGAGGCGGAGCTTGCAGTGAGCCGAGATCGCGCCACTGCACTCCAGCCTGGGCGACAGAGCGAGACTCTGTCTCAAAAAAAAAAAAAAAAAATTTCTTTTTTGAATATTTTATTTGTTTTCTCATTAAAGAAACTTAGATGGAGACAGACCAGGCTCACAGCACAGCACAGTGCTGTGGCCCACCATGCTACTAACAGGTCAGATTTCTTTTATTTTTTTTCCTCTCACTGTATTTGGCGTGCTCACTACACTTAGCACATAGCTTTTCCTAACATGGTTGCACTAAAGATCCTGCACTTCCAGGTTTCTCATCTGCGTTTCAGCTCAGAGAAAATAGAGTTCAGGAAGTCTTTTGTTTTTCTTAATCATCCTCTTTTAGGTGTAATTTACATGCCATAAAATTCACCCATTTTAGTTGTACAATTCAGTATTTCTGGTGAATTTGCCAGAAATATTGAGCAATCATCACCACAATTATTTTAGAACATTTCTTAACTCCAGAAAGCTCCCTAATGCTCTTTTTCAATCAATTCCATCACCAACCTCAGCCCCAGATAATCACTAATATGATACTTTCTGTATCTACAGATTTGCCTTTTCTGGACACTTCAAATATATGGAATTATGCAATATATAGTCTACTGCTTTTCACTTATTTCACTTAGCATAATGGTTTGAGTTTCATCCATGTTATAACATGTATCACAAAAACAGACAGAACCCAGAGGTCGATTTAAAGATTAAGAAAAACCTGGTGAGCAGAATGAGTAAGACAACAAAGGGTGGGAGTTAACAACAAATGAAATTGGGGCACTGAGCACAGTGCAGTTCTGATAAAGTCAGACATTGAAGGCAAATATATTGAATTCTGAGATCTGCTAGAGATTACCAATTATATAGAACAAACACTTCTTGTAACAAGGGCAGCTGCATAAAGCAGATCACCATGTCATACGGAAATTCTATGCCTTTCTGTGGTGACTGCGTGAGTGCAGAGTGGGTTTATTCACATACAAACAAAATAAAGCAAGAGCTTAGTTACAGAGCCTCCCTGTTTATTTCACTTGATAACCTAAAATAATGTGATAATTAATAACAACCCCCTGAATATGGCAAACACCTAGAAATGACAGCAAAATACAACAAAATTCCCTTTTGCATGCCTAATTGAGCATATTACGAAATTCCGAGGTGTCAGATAATAAAAGGAAAATGACAACCAGAATTGATAAAAGCCTGAATATTCATAGTAAAGAAACATAATTCCTGAAATGGATAAATAAAACTAATACAATGGAGATGCATTGCAGTATTTGGCTGTGACACATTCTGGACTGAAGAAAGAAATCTTAAAAAGCAATTAGAAAAATAAACAGACAATTTATCCAAAAAATCAATTAAATAAATCTGAGCTTTATAACTCAGTTACAAAGAAAAACAATATACCAGGAATAAGAAAAACAATGAAAAAGTGTTTTTCAAAACATAATGATCAAAAGAAAAGAAGGTATAAATTCTAATCTCATAAAATAAAAGCAAAGTGAAAATACAATGAAAGGAAAAATATCTAGTGAAAACTTTACCAATCCAAGACATAAAAGGAAAAGGAAAGAGAGGATAGGAAATGAAAACAGAAAATAAAATGGTAGAAAAAAATATAATTACAATAAATATAAATGGACTAAATGAAATGGTTAAAAATGTGTCTAGATTCCCAATCTGGTATAAAACAAAAAATAAAGTTCAATGACACACTATTTATAAGTGATACAAAATAAAACAAATAACATATAAAATGATCAGAAATGAAAAGGTGAAAACTAAATAAATAAATGAAATAATAAATGGTGTGCAAAGAAAGAAAATAAGACATTTGGTGTAAGCAGAAAACTGAGATAACACAGTAAAAAGAATATCAAGTGAGGTATTTATTTTCTTACTCTTAAGTTTCAAAATGAACATTGTAACATCAGGTCATTTCAAAGTATGTTTTTGTACTCTTGTTTATGCAATTATGTGTTCATAGCATTCTTAACACTTGAATCTCTATGTGTGTTTACCCAAGCTAATTTTTCCTCTGAAAATAGAAAAAATGTTTTTCTTTGTTTTTCAAAATTTTCATCACAGTTTTTTTTTTTGCATATTTTACTTTCAAAATTGTAGACTTTAGTTGTATTTTTTCAGAGATTAGAGTTGAGTTTTCACAGGAGTGGTTTATATCCTGCTGATGCTCCCACACAGAGACTTAATTAGAACATAACAATAACTGACGTATATTTCAAAAAATAGAGAATTATATTTCTCATCTCAATTAATAAACATAAATGCTATTATCATAAATAAATGAGTAATGTAAGGGATTGCACAATTTTGAGCACTCATTTGCTCATAAATCTTTTTATTCAAAATTTGCATTCTGTCCAGCTACTTTTTTTGTGGAGATGGGTTTTTGCCATGTTGCTCAGTCTCGTCTTGAACTCTTAGGCTCAAACAATTCACCCGCCTCAGCCTTCCAAAGTGCTGGGATTGTGTGAGCCACTGCGTCTGGCCTTTTCCTCTTTTCAACACTTTAAATATTTCACTATCTACTCATTTGCAAGGTTTTTAACGAGAAGTACCTGTAATATAAAATTTTCTTTTTTCTTTGATATTCTGAATGTTTTCTCAATTCATGGCTTAGCTCTTCATTTTCTCAATGGAATTTTTAATGTGCAGAAATTTTTAATTTTGAAATCTAATTTTTACCTTTTTTTCTTACAGGCTTTAGGGGTTTTGTGTCTTGTTTAAGCAATATTTGCTTTTCTAAGTTCATAAGATGTTCTCCAATATTTTCATCTAGAAATTTTAGGATTTGCTTTTGTCTATAATCAAATTTTGAGTTAAATTTTTAATGTGGTATGGTAGGAAATGAGGGCAATGTTTTTCTCCACAGTTACCAGTTGCCATACAGACTATAATTTTGTCATTTAATTACCTTGGCGCATTCATTGCGAATCAGTTGTCTTCATACATGTGAGTTTATTTCTGGACCCTCTATTCTGTTCAAGAGATTAATATATTGATCCTTATATTACTACAAACCTCTTTAGTTACTATTGCTTTAGCAAAAGACTTGAAATCAAGTAGTATAAGTCCTTCAAACTTGTTCATCCTTTTCAACAGTGTTTTGGCTATTCTAGGAACTTTAAATTTCCTTTTAGATTTTAAAATCTAGGATCATTTTTAGTATTTACATGAAAGCAAAGCCCAGTGTTAATGTGATTGGAATTGCATTGAATCTATCAATAAGCTTAGGAAGAACAAACTCTTTATCAATATTAGGTCTTCTTTTCCATAAATATGGAATATCTCTTTGTTTATATAGATCTTTATCTCAAAAATTTTAAAATGTTTATTGTACAAGTACTATACATCTTTGCGATATTAAGAAGTGTTCAGTGGTTTTAAATGCTGTTAAAATACAAATTTTAAATATTGTTTTTCAGTTGCTGCTTTTGTATATAAGAATATAATACAGTTTTAATATTGACTTTATATCTAATACATTGCTAAATTAGGTTAGCAGTTCTATTGTTTTGTAGGTTCTTTATAATTTTCTCCATACATGCCATTCTGCAAAATAAAAGACAATTGTATTTCTTCATTTCAAGTATTTATTCCCTTTCTTTTTTTGCCTTATTCTCTGTCTCAAAATGAAAGTATTTAAAATTGTGCAATTTAAGTATGATGTTACCAGTAGATTTTTTCTTTTGTAGATGTCTATTACTGATTTAGGAAGTATTATTTTATTCCTAGTTTCTTGAAAGCTTTCTTATCAAGAATAAATGTTGAATTTTTTTGCTAGCTTTTGTGCATATTGATTATAAGTATATGGTTTTCTCCTTTTTATTTTTACATTTGCATTGATTGATTGAATGTATTATAAAAATTAATTATTTCTGAATTACCTTTCCCTAAGTTTGTGGAGGATTTTGTGTCTATATAAATGTAAACATAATTTAATTTCTCATAATGTTAGTTTTGATATCATAGTCAACCTAGTTACATAAAATGAATTGGTAAGAGTTTCTTCTCTATTTTCAGAAAGACCTTGTGTAAAACGGACGTTATTTATTTTTAAAATAATTGATAGAACATACTAGTCAAGCCATATTTGTAGGACACTTTCTCTGTGAGAAGATTGATTAGAAATATTTTTTTATTAATATAAGAAACTTTATACTTTCTTTTTCTATTTTATTTTAGACAGTTGGTGTCTTTCAAAAAACTTTATTAGCCAAGGGAACCTCCCCGACTCAGGGAAGCAGTAAGTCAATATGCAATCCCAGGAACACATGCTTCTCCTGCAGATCTTTGAAACCCTCTAGTCAGGAGATCACCTCATAAACCCACTCCAGCAGGGCCTTCACCCTGACACACAGAGCTTCGTGGAGTCTTGGCAGAGCAGCCACTTAGGCACGTATGGTGACCTCGGAGACTGAGATACTCGGGTTTCCCAGGCTTCCCACAAAAAGTAGCTGCAACTCTGGCAAATTGGGAGGGTAGACACCCTATATACCCCTAGGAAAAAGTATGAATCCAGGGAGCTGAGCTGCAACAGTCTGCAGGCCCCACTTTCATGGTACCTTTCAGGATAAGACCCACTGGCTTGGAATTCCAGCCAGGCACTAGCAGCAGTGTTACTTACTGCCTCACCTACCCTTCTACCCCACTAGACAGAGCTCCCAGCAGGAGGGGCAGGCCATCATCTTTGTTGTTTGGGTGACTTAGCTACTCCAGCTTTTAGGCTTTGGAGAGTCCAAGCCAACCAGAGGTGGAAGGGATCCCCCAGCCCAAGACAGCTGCTCTATGCAAATGTAGCCAGAGAACTTTTTTAAGTGGGTCTCTGATCCCGTTGCTTCTCTTGGGCTGAGACCTCCCAGCAAGAGCCTTCAACTACCCCCACCAGTGTTCTCTGGCCAACAGAGATTTGAAACTTCTCTGAGATGGAGCTTTCAGAGAGAGGGCTGGGATGCCACCTTTGCTGTTTGGGCAATGTAGCCATTCCAGCCTGTGGGCTTTGGAGAGTCCAAGCTGACCAGGGGTGGAAGCACAGGGGTGAAAATGTGGCCAGATTACTCTTTTAAGAAGGACCTCAATCCTGTTCCTCATCACCAGGTCAGGCCTCAAAACCAGGGTCTCCAGCTACCCCCACTGGTGTTCTCTGGATGATGGAGGTTTCAAAACTCCTTGAGACAGAGCTCCCAGAGGAAGGGGTGGACCATCATCTTTGCTGTTTGGGTGAATTAGTCATTCCAGCCTTTGGGCTTTGGAGTGTCTGAGGTGACTGACCAGGAGCAGAAGTAGACCCCTAGCAGAGTACACCTGCTCTATGAAAACATGGTCAGACTACTTTTTTAAATGGGTCCCCAATACCATTTCTCTTCACTGGACAGGACTTCCCCACTGAGGTCTCAAGTCACCTCCTACAGGTGTGTTCAGGTCAGCAGCAGGCCCATACCTCCCTGGGACAGAGCTCTCAGAAGGAGGAGCAGGCTGCCATCTTTGCCGTTTTGCAGGCTTCACTCATGATACCTCAAGGTACTGTAAAATCTGAAGTGACTAGGTTCTGGAACAGGCACACAGCAGCCCTACAGAAAGGTGGCCAGACTGTTACATGGGTACGTGTTTCCGTGTAACGGTCTGGCCACTTTTTTATCTCTGCACCAGGCAGGCCCTCCAGGCCTAGGCCTCTTCTCACACCCAAACAAGAGCTATTGAGCATGTAGCAACTCAGCAACTCCCTGGCAGAGCCTCCAAGAGCAACTGAAAGCCTCTCCACCACTGCCTCTTCAGTGGAACTGTCCTTGCTACCTTCAGACTAACAAAGGAGCAAGACCCTAAGTGCCTTATCTACACCTCCAGTAGGGTGCAGTCGACCCAAGGAGAGGACACCAGTCTGTCTCCTGTGTGTCCCACACATCCCCCACTGTTTGTCACCAGACTGGGAATCCCTGGCTTGGGCTCACAGCACAGACCCTCCACACTGGGCTGATTACACTGAGTAATTGCTGACATGCATCTCTCTGGGGTGGAGTCCCCAGGAAACAAGCAAAAGACCATTGGCCACAACTACTACTAAGGTCTCATCCTCAGCTCCCTCTACATTGGGGAAGGAACATAAAAACTGAGATTGCCCCAGAGCTGCAGTGGGCAGCCCAGGAGTGCCAGGCCATGATCTACAGCCAGCACTCAAGGGGGAGAGGAACTCACACTTTCAGAGCATTGAGAGAGAGCATGGTTGCAACTGTGAGGAAACATAAGAGAGCCACACAACTGAGCAAGAGTCTATCAACTCACCGATATCCTAAGTGCCACCTAGCGGATCACACGCCAAAGCTGTAACACCAAAAATACCTCAGTAACATACCACCCTCTGAAACCAAAGACAAGAAGTCATCTTCAAATAAAGACCCTGCACAAAGCCTCAGCCTAGTGAAAACATCCATAAAATAAATCTATTGACTGTACTCCATCTACACTGCAGTTCAAGGAACACACTTATACAGAGATGAGAAAGAATCAGTGCAGGAACTCCAGTAACTCAAATGGCCAGAGTGTCATATGTCCTCCAAACGACTGCACCAGTTCTCCAACAAGAGCTCCTAACCAGGCTTAATCGACTGGAATAACAGAAATAGAATTCAGAATATAGATGGGAATTAAGATCATCAAGATTCAGGAGGATGGCAAAACCCAATCCAAGGAAACTAGGAATCAAAATGAAGTGATGTGGGAGCTGAAAGACAAAATAGTCAGTATAAAAAGGTACCTAACAGGTCTGGCAGAGCTAAATAACAAAACACAGGATTTTCACAATGCAATCATCAGTATTAACAGCAAAATAAACCAAGGTGAGGAAAGAATTGTGGAACTTGAAGGCTGGTTCTCTGAAATAAGACAGTCAGACAAAAATAAAGAAAAAAGGAACAGAGGGATGAACAAAACCTCAGAGAAGTATGGGATTCTATAAAGAGGTCAAATCTGTGAATCACTGGCATCCCCCAAAGGCAGACGAAGAAAGCAAATAACTTGGAAAACATATTTCTGGATTTTTTTAAATAAAAACTTTCCCAACCCTGCTAGAGAGCCCAATAGTGAAATTCAGGAAATACAGAGAACTCCTGCAAGATTCTACACAAGAATATCATCCCCCAAAAATAACTGTCACATTTTCCAAGGTCAAAATGAAAGAAAGAATGCTAAAAGCAGCTGGAAAGGGCGTGTCACCTACACACGGAAAGCCTTCAGGCTAACAGTGGACCTCTCAGCTGAAATGCTTCAAGCCAGAAGAGATTGGGGGCCTGTATTCACTATTCTAAAAAAAAAAGTTCAACCAATAATTTTATATCCAGCCAAACTAAGCTTCCTAAGCAAAAAAGAAATAAGATCATTTTATATCAGCAAATGTTGAGGGTGTTCTTTACTACCGGACTTGCCATACAAGAGATCTTGAAAGGATCACTAAATATAGAAAGGAAAAGCCTGCTACCGGCTAATACAAAAACACAATTAAACACACAGACCAGTGTCACTATAAAGCAAAGAAGCCAACATAATAAGGAGCTAACAAGACAATGACAAAATAAAATCCACACATATCATTACTAACCTTGAATATAAACAAGTTAAATGCCCCCACTTAAAAGGCACAGAGTGGCAAGCTGGATTTAAAAAAAAAAAAAAATCCAAGACGCAATGATATGCTATCTTCAAGAGACTCATCTCACACATAATGACACCCATAGGCTTAAAATAAAAAGATAGAGGAAAGTCTACAAGGCAAATGGAAAATAGCAACAGTTGCAATTTTAATTTCAGACAAAACAAACTTCAAACCAACAAAGATCAAAAAAGACAAAGAAGGGCATTACATAATGCCAATGAGTTCAATTCAGCAAGAAGACCTATCTTAAATATATATTTACCCAACACAGGAGTACCTATTTTCATAAAGCAAGTAGCAAGTTCTTAGACACCACGAAAGAGACAAAAACTCTCACACAATAATAGTGGGAGACATCAACACTCCACAGACAGTATTCAACAGATCTTCAAACAGAAAATTTACAAAGATATTCAGGACCTGAATTCAACATTGGACCAAATGGATCTGATAGACCTTTACAGAACTTTTCACCTAAAGTCAACTGATAATACATTCTCATCACCACATGACATATACTCTAAAATCAACCACATAATTGAATGTAAAACAATCCTCAGCAAATATTGAAGAACCAAAATCATACCAAACACACTGTCAGACCACAGCACAATAAAAATAGAAGTGAAGATTATGAAAATTACTAAAAACCGTGAGATTACATGTAAATTAAACAACATGCTCCTGAATGGCTTTTGGTTAAATAATGAAATTATGGCAGAAATGAAGAAGTTATTTGAAACTAATGAGAACAAATGTACAACATACCAGAATCTCTGAGACACAGGTAAGGCAGTGTTAAGAGGAAAATTCATAGAACTAAATGCCCACACAAAAAGTTAGAAAGATTTCAGATTAACAACTTAACATCACAACTGGAAGAATTAGAGAAACAAGAGCAAATCAACTCCAAAGCTAATGGAAATAACAAAAATCAGAGCTGAACTGAAGAAAATCAACACAGGAAAACTATTCAAAAAATCAACAAATTCAAGGGTTGGTTTTTTGAAAACATTTATAAGATAGGCCACCAGCTAGAATAACAAAGAAGAAAAAGGAAAAGATCCAAATAAACACAATTAGAAATGATGAAGGTAATGTTACCACTGATCACACAGACATAAAAATAACTATCAGAAACTACAAATGCCTCTATGCACATAAACTAAAAAACCTAGAAGAGATTATTAAATTCTTGGACACATACAGTTTCCCAAGACTGGACCAGGAAAAAAAGCAATTACCTGAACAGGACAGTAACAAACTCTAAAATTGAATCAGTAACGAATAGCCTACCAACCAAAAATAGTCCAGGACCTGATGGATTAACCACTGAATTCTATCAGATGTACAAAGAAGAGCTGATATCACTCCTACAGAAATCGTTCCCAAAAAATGAGGAGGAAGGACTCCTCTCTAACCCATTGTATAATGCCAGCAACATCGCAATACCAAAATCTGGCAGAGACACGACAAAAAAATAAAATGTAAGACCAGTATCACTGACAAACATTGATTCAAAAATCCTCAACAAAATAGCCGTAAACCAAATCCAGCAGCACATCAAAAAACTAATCCACCATGATCAAGGAGGTTTCATTCCCAGGATGCAAGGTTGGTTCAACATGCACAAATCAATAAATGATATTCATAATATAAACAAAACTAAAAACAAAAACCACACTATTAACAGGCACAGAAAAGATTTTCAATAAAATTTAACACCCCTTCATGTTAAAAATGCTCAGTAAACTAGGTATTGAAGGAACATAGCTCAAAATAATGAGTGTCATCTATGACAAACAGCCAACATTACACTGGACAGGCATGAGCTAGAATTATTCCCCTTGAAAACTGGCACAAGACAAGGATGCTGTATTAGTCCATTTTCATACTGCTATAAAGAATTGCACAAGACTGGGTAATTTATAAAGGAAAGAAGTTTAATTGACTCACAGTTCTGCATGGCAGGGGAGGCTTCAGGACACTTATGATTATGGTGGAAGGTGAAGGTGAAGCAAAGCACCTTGTTCACAAGGCAACAGGAAGGAGAATGAACACAGTAGGAGCTACCAAAAACTTATAAAACCATCAGATCTTGTGAGAACTCACTCACTATCACAACAACTGCATGGAGGAAACCACTCCCATGAGTCAATTACCTCCACCTGGCCTCTCCCTTGACATGTGGGGATTATAATTCCAGATGAGATTTGGGTGGGAACACAAAGCCTAAATTCCTAGGAGTCTGTAAAATCAAAAGCAGGTTAGTTAGTTCTAAGATACAAATCATTCTGCCCCAGCCCCTCCAAAATCTCATGTTCCTTTCACATTTCAAAACCAATTATGCCTTCCAAACAGTCCCAAAGTCTTAACTCATTCCAGCATTAACCCAAAAGTCTAAGTCTAAAGTCTCATCAGAGACAAGGCAAGTTTCTTCCATCTATGAGTCTGTAAAATCAAAAGCAAGTTAGTTACTTCCAAGATACAAAGAGAATACAGGCATTGGGTAAATGTTCCCATTATAAATGGGAGGAATTAGCCAAAACAAAGGGGCTACATGCCCCATGCAAGTCCAAAATCCAGGTGGATAATCATCAAACCTTAAAGGTCCAAAATGATCTCCTTTGACTCCATGTCTCACATCCAGGTCACACTAATGCAAGACGTAGGCTCCCATGGCCTTGAGCATCAACATCCCTGTGGCTTTGGAGGGTACATCTCCCCTCCTGAGTGCTTTCACAGGCTGACAATGAGTGTCTGTGGCTTTTCCAGACACAGAGTACAAACTGTAAAGGGAGCTAACATTCTGGGATCTGGAGGGTGATGGCCCTCTTCCCACAGCTCCACTAGGCAGTGCCCCAGTGGGGACTCTGTTTTGGGGTTTCAACCCTACATTTCCCTTCCACACTTCCCTAGCAGAGGTTCTCCATGAGGGCTCCACCCTGGCAGCAAACCTCTGCCTGGACACCCAGGCATTTCCATACATCCTCTGAAAGCCAGCTGAAGATTCCCAAACCTCAATTATTGACTTCTGTGCACCCACAGATTTAACACCACATGTAAGCTGCCAAGGCTTGGGGCTTGTATCCTCTGAAGCAACAGCCTGAGGCATACATTGGCCCCTTTTAGCCATGGCTGGAATATAGGGCACCAAGTTCTGCGACTACACAAAGCAGCGAGGCCCTGGGCCCAGACCACAAAACCATTTTCCCCCCTAGGCCTCTGGGCCTATAATGGGAGGGGCTTCTGCAAAGACCTCTGTCATGCCGTTTAGATGTATTTTCCCCATTGTCTTGGTTATTACATTTGTCTCCTCATTAATTCTGCAAATTTTTGCAGCCTGCTTGAATTTCTCCCCAGAAAATGGGTTTTTCTTTTCCTTTGCACCATTAGGCTGCAAATTTTCCAAACTTTTCACATCTTGAATGCTTTGCTCCTTAGAAATTTCTTCTGCCAGATACTCTAAATCATCTCTCTTAAGATCAAAGCTCTGTAGATCTCTAGGGCAGGAGCAAAATTCCACCAGTCTCTTTGTTAAAGCATAGCAAGAATTGCCATTATTCCAGTTCCCAAAAACTTCCTCATCTCCATCCGAGACCACCTCAGCCTGGACTTCATTGTCCATATCTCTGTCAGCATTTTGGTCAAAGCCATTCAACAAGTTTCTAGGATGTAACAAACTTTCCTACATTTTCCTATCTTCTGAGCTCTCCAAATTTTTCCAACCTCTGCCTATTACCCAGTTCCAAAGTCAATTCCACATTTTCAGGTATCTTTATAGCAGTACCCCACCCTACTGGTACCAACTTACTGTATTAGTCCATTTTTATACTGCTATAAAGAATTGCCCAAGACTGGGTTATTTATAAAGGAAAGAGGTTTAATTGAGTCATAGTTCCACATGGCTGGGGAGGCTTCAGAAAACTTACAATGATGGCAGAAGGTGAAGGGCAAGCAAGGCACCTTCTTCACAAGGCAGCAGGAAGGAGAATGAATGCAGGAGGAACTATCATACACTTATAAAACAATCAGATCTCATAAGACCTCACTTTCATAAGAACGGTATGGGAGAAACCACCTCCATGATTAAATTATCTCCACCTAGTCTCCTCGTTAACATGTGGGGATTATAGGGATTATAATTCAAGATGAGATTTGGATAGGGACACAAAGCCTAACCAATTCAGATGCCCACTCTCACCCCTGCTATTTAACATAGTACTGGAAGTCCTAGCAAGAGAAATCAGGCAAGAGAAAGAAGTAAAGAGCACCCAAATAGAAAGAGGGGAAGTCAAAATATCTGTTTGCAGATGACATGATTCTATATCTAGAAAACCCCATAGTCTAGACCCAAAAGCTCCTTCAGCTGACCCACAACTTCAGCAAGGTTGATACAGAATCAATGTGAAAAAGTCACTACCATTTCTATACATCAAAAGCAGCCAAGCTGAAATCAAGTATGCAATTCCATTCATAATTGCCACAAAAACAGTAAAATACTTGTGAATACAGCTAACCAGTGAGATGAAAGCTGTGGACATTAAGAACTACAAAACACTGTGCGAAGAAATCACAGAAAACACAAACAAGTAGAAAAATATCACATGCTCATGGACAGAAAAAAATCAATATCATTAAAATGACCATGCTGCCCAAAGTAATTTACAGCTTCAATGCTATTTTTATTAAACTACCATTGGCATTCTTCACAGAACTAGAAATAACTATTTTGAAATTCATATGGAATGAAAAAATCGTGAATAGCCAAGACAATTCTAAGCAAAATAACAAAGCTGGAGGCATCATGTTACCTGACTTCAAACTATACTACAGGGGTGGAGTAACCAAAGTATGATACTGGTACAAAAACAGGCACCAAGACCAATGGAACAGAATAGAGGACCCTGAAATAACACCACACACTTACAACCATCTGCTCTTGGACAAAGCTGACAAAAACAAGCAATAGGGAAAAGATTCCCTATTCAATGAATGATGCTGGGATAACTGGCTAGCCATATGTAAAAGATTGAAGATGGAACCTTTCCTTACCTCACATACAAAAATCAACTCAAGATGATTAAAGACCTTAATGTGAAACCTAAAACTATAAAAACCCGGGAAGAAAGCCTAGGCAATACCATCCTGGACACCAGAATGAACAAAGATTTCATGACAAAGACACCAAAACCAATTGCAACAAAAGCAACAATTGACAAATGAGATTTAATTAAATGTAAGAGCTATTGCACAGCAAAAGAAACTATCAACAGAGTAAATAGACAACCTACAGAATGGTAAAAAATATTTGCAAACTATGCATCTGACAAAGGTCTAGTATCCAGCATCTATAAGGAACTTAAACAAATTTATGAGAGGAAAACAACCAATCCCATTAAAAAGTAGGCAAAAGGCATGAACAGACACTTTTCAATAGAAGACATACTTGAGGTCACCAAGCATATTTAAAAATATCTTTGATCATTAGAGAGATAAATGTAAATTAGAATCACAATGAGATACCATCTCACACCATTCAGAATGGCTATGATAAAAAGTCCAAAAATAGCAGGTGCTGATGAGGTTGTGGAAAAAAGGAACACTGATACACTGTTGGTGGGAGTGTAAATTTGTTCAACCATTGTGGAAAGCAGTATGGTGATTCCTTAAAGAGCTAAAAGCAGAACTACCATTCAACCTAGTAATCTCATTACTGGGTATATACCCAGACAAATATAAATCATTCTATCATAAAGTCACATGTACGTAAATGTTCATTGCAGCACTGTTCACAATAGCAAAGACATAGAATCAACCTAAATGTCCATCAGTGACAGATTGGATAAAGAAAAAGTGGTGCATATACACCATGAAATACTATGCAGCCACAAAAAGAACAAGATTATGTCTTTGCAGGGACATAGATGGAGCTGTAGGCTATTACCCTTAGCAAACTAACGCAGGAACAGAAAATCAAATACTGCATGTTCCGACTCATAAGTGGAAGCTAAATGATGAGAACTTATGAACACAAAGAGGGAAACAACAGACACTAAGGTCTTCTTGAGGGAGGAGGAGGGAAGAGGAAGAGGAGCAGAAAAAATAATTATCACGTACTAGGCTTAATACCTGGGTGATGAAATAATCTGTACAACAAACCCCCACGACACGAGTTTACCTATGTAACAAACCTCCATATGGAAACCCAAACCTAAAATAATTTTTTAAAAGAAATATAGTTGAATTTTGTTTATTGACTTTGTATCCTATCATCTAGCTAGATTCACTTTTTTGTTATAGATGCTTTTCTTAAATTCTAAAATATTTCCTATGTTCAAAACTTTTCTAAATAAAGACAATTATATTTAATTCTTTCACAAAAAAATAAATTTTTCTCTTATCTTAATTGCCAAAGTTTGCCATAAGCTTGTTTATGATATTTTTGTTTTATCCTGTTAATTTCTGAGAAAGACACAATGACTTACCATATGTCATTTCTGATACTGACAAATTGTGCTTTATCTATTGTGAATGTATTTGGTCTCACTTATGGTGTTATCAATTCTACTAAACCTCTAAAAAAAACAACTTTTGATTTTTTAAGTTGTTTGTATTTTCTATTTCATTAACTTTTTAATTATTCCCACTCTTCTACTTAATTTGGATTTAATTTGCTCATTGTTTTCCACCTGCTTAAGATAAAGTTTTTACTCCTTAATATTTTCTTAATGTGACTTTAAAGCTATAAATATCCTTCTAAGCACTGTTTTAGTTGCACATTACCAATTTTTTTTTTTTTTTTTTTTTTTTTGAGACGGAGTCTGGCTCTGTCACCCAGCCTGGAGTGCAGTGGCGCGATCTCGACTCACTGCAAGCTCTGCTTCCCAGGTTCACGCCATTCTCCTGCCTCAGCCTCCCGAGTAGTTGGGACTACAGGCGCCCACCACCACGCCCAGCTAATTTTTTTTATTTTTAGTAAAGACGAGGTTTCACCGTGTTAGCCAGGATGGTCTCGATCTCCTGACCTCATGATCCACCCGCCTTGGCTTCCCAAAGTTCTGGGATTAACCAATATTTTTATAATTTTATTTTTAATATATTTTCTTATATTAATCATTCCTTCTTCAATCTATTATTTAGAAACTATTTTGTTTAATTCATATATTTTTAGAAATTTTCTATATTTATTACTCTTAGTGATTTCTAACATAATTCCATGTTGTTAGAGAACATACTTTGTCTTTTCAAAGATGCAAATCTTTGAAATTCACTGAGACTTCTTATAGCTCAGAGTATAATCTTTCTTGGAGAGTGTCCCCTCATTACTGGCAAAGAATGTGTATTTTGCAGTTGGTGGATGTGTTGTTCTATAAGTATCAATTATATCAAGGCAGTTGATGATGATGTTCAGATTTTCTACATCCTTCCTGGCTTTTGTCTAGTGATTCCAATAATTTTTAAGAGACTATGGTAAATTTATCAACTCTACGGGTTTTTTTTTTTTTGCCTTGACTGTATCAGATTTGGGTTCATAAATTTTGAGTCTGTATTACTATGCACATGCATGTATATGATTATGTCTTTCTGGTAAATGGATCCTTTTATCATTAAGAAATGTTGTTTTTATCTTGATAGTACTCCTTGACTTAAACTCCATGTTGTGTGATATTTATGTAGCCAAATCAGCTTTCTTATGGTTAACTGTGTGTAGTATTTATTTTCTGTCTTTTTACTTTTGATGTGAGTTTTCATAACTTCAATATATCTCTCAAAGGCAAATATAATACAGACATGCTTTTCATTAAGCAATCTGCCAATCTTGATTTTTATTTGCAGTATTATGTTTATTCATACTTAATGCGATTATTTCTGTGGTTACACAACCATTGTGTATTTGCTATTGTCCGATATGTTTCTCTGTTCCTCCTTCCCTGCCTTTTTTTTGGAGGGTGGGGGGAGGTGAGGGAATATAGATGGGAATACTAATAATCACATTTTTTTGGCATTTTATTTTAATTCCTTAATGGCTTGCTAGCTGTTCTAAGGGTGTTGCTCTAAGGATTACAATATGTATATTCAATTTATCACATTCTACTTGGAGTAAACTTTAAATTATATCACATAAAATGTAAGGAATTGTACAGTTCTGTTTATACACCATATTTTGTGATGTCACAGTCATATATTTTATAAACTTTATACCATTTTTTTGCACTAAACAATGAGTTATCTTTTAAAGAAATTAAGAGAAGGAAAACAGTCTTTTAGCATCAACTACTATTTTAAAAATTAACTTTATTGAGGTATAAATCACATGTAATAACATGCACTTATTCTATATGTAATTAAATGAGTTTTGGCAAATGTATACCACCAGAATCAAGATATGGAATATTACCAGTACTCCAAAAATATTTTTTAATATCCTCTCCCAGTCAATTCTCTAACACTATCCCTGGCTCTAACTTTTTAAAAAAACATACTTATAGTCCATAGGTTACATTATAGTTTGCTCTGTGTTGTACAGTTCCATGGGTATTGAGAAATATAAAATTCCATGGATTCCTTAGAATGTATCATATTTTAGAATAGTTTCACCATCTTAAAAATCCCTAGGTCTTACCTATTTATCCCACTCTACTCACCCTTGGCAACCATTAATTTTTTTGTAGTCTCTACAGTTTTGCCTTTTCCAGAATGACATATGGTAGAAATCATACAATGTGTAGCCTCTTCAGATTGGCTTTTTCTACTTAGCAATGTGCACCAAAGTTTCTTCATGTGTTTTCATAGCTTGACAGCTCATTGCTTTTTAACACAGGTCATATTCCATTGTATAGATACACCACAGATATTATTCACTGGACTACTGACAGACAACTTTATTATTTGCAGTCTTTGGTAATTATGAATAAAGCTGCTATTCATGTGCAGTTTTTGTGTGGATATAAGTTTAAATTCATTTGAGTAAATCTGTAGAGGACAGTTTCTGAATCATATGGTAAGACTGTGTTTAACTTTGTAAGAAACTACCGAACATTCTTCCAAAGTAGCTGTACCAGTTCCTACCAACAATGAATGAGGGCTACTGTTGCTTCATGTCTTCATTAGCATTTGGTGATGTCAGTGGTTTTGATTTTAGTCATTCTAATAGCCATGCAATGATATTTTGTTTTTGTTTTAATTTGCAATTTCATAATGACATATAATATGGGGCATCTTTCTATAAGCTTATTTGTCATCTACGTATCTTTTTGGCAAGGTGTCTTTCAGATCTTTTGCCCATTAATTGAGTTGTTTGTTCTCTTACTGTTGAGTCTGAGGGTTTTTTGTATATTTTGAACATAAGTCCTTTATCAGATAGGTGCTTTGAAAAGGTTTTCTCCCAGTTTGTGGCTTCTTTTCATTCTCTTTGAGCACAGGTCTTTCATCTTAATGTAGGCCAATTTATCCTTTTTTTTTTTTTTTTTTTAATGCAACAGGCTTTGGTGTCGTATCTGAAAACTGAAGTTCACCTAGATTTTCTTCTGTGTTCTCTTCTAGAACTTTTATAGTTTTGTGTTTTACATTTACGTCTGTGATCTATTTTGAGTTAGTTTTTGTGAAAGATGTAAGCTCTGTACCTAGAATTTTTTTTTTTTTTTTTGCATGTGGGATGTCCTGTTATTCCAGCACCACTTGTTGAAAAGACTACCTTTCTGCACTGAATTGTATTTGTTTCTTTGTCAAAGTTTAGTTGACTACATTATGTGTATCTATTTCTGTGTTCTCTATTTTGTTTCACTGATTTATTTGCCTGTACACTTTTTTAGTGTACATTTATAGTAAGTCTTAAAATGAGTTAGTGATAGTCCTCTGAATTTGTTCTGCTTGTTCTCTTTCCAATATTGTGTTTGCTATTCTGGGTCTTTTGTCTTAATTCCTCTCATGAAAGAGTGAATGCCCTGATGGCACCCTCAAGAATTTAATAATCAAGCCAGTGTATAGTCAGCCTTCAGCAATTTGTTAATTTCAATTTAAATGTGTCTAACAGATACTGTCTCCAGTGGCTCTTCTCCAGGTCAGCTGTAATCCTCCATACATACCTGTCTCTCCAGTTTGGGGAGTTAACAGTTTTCCTCATGATCTCATTTCTCTGATGTATCAGAGAAGAGTTGCTTTCATTTTTTCGTGTTTTTCTTGTAAGAATAGGAGTGATGACTTAACAGCTCTTTACATGTCAAAGCAGAAAATGCAAGACCCCTCTTCATTTACTTTTAAAATAATTAATAATTACACACATATAAGAGAAATGCATTTTCTTTGTAATAAATAAAATGTTGCAAGCAAGACATATTTCCTTTTGGCCTTCTCATTCCCAGTGCCAAGTATATCCTTCTGCTCTCTTCTCAGAATTTCCTGCTATTATCAATTTTATGTGTGTTCATTTTGACATTTTCTATGAATTCATATATAAAAGTTCCATAAATATTTACTATAATGTTATATATTTTATGTGATCTGTATGCTGTAAATAATTATTTCTATAACTTCATCTTTTTCTCTGTTGTCTTGGGATGTTAATATAGACAGTCTTTCCTCATTTTGTTAAAGTTTTTTAATTACCGCATTTTCCCATTCTCATATTGAGACATTTAAGTTTATTCCAACTTTTCTCTATCAGAATTAATGCTATAATGAACATTCCCAGTTGAAAACTATGCATTTTCTTAACGAAGTCCATTATATTCTTGTGTTTCGACTTTCTTGTTCTTTCTCAAAATTATAAGTTATTATAAGTTAATGAAACCAAGTTTTCTGTACACAGAAAAGAAAACTGGAAACCATCGATCTCTGTCAGAACTGAGAACTTTTCAAATAATCTGTTTAGATAAATTGTTCATCCTGTTTTTGTTTTGTTGTATTTAACCACAAGTATAAAAGTAATTGCAGGCATTTCCAGGCAAATAAGGAGGGGTAATGTTTGGCTTGACTGGCCAGTTCTCAGGAAAAATGTTTCTGAACTGGAGAACAAGAAATGACACCTTTCTTCTTTAAGATGTAAATGAACATACTGAATGACAACTATTTTCAAAAGTCTATGAAAAGTGACCTCCACAGACTAATTAGTGCCTGTGTTGACACTTCAATTTGCAACCTAATTGTTTATTTAACTTCTAGCTATTTTCTTCCTCAAGGTTGTTAGTACTTTTTAAATCCTGTTTAGAACCTGGCTAATTAATTATGTCATTATTCATTGGTTCCCAAGGACCAAGTTTTAAAAGCCTATTCAAAAAACAATGTAACAACTAAAAATCAATATATATGTTGAAAGAAAGGACACAAAGTAAACTATTATCCCACCAGCTTACTAGAAAAATTATTTTTTCCATATTCCTTTCTAGCCTGTGCCCCACATATAAGTACTTGTCTTTTTTTCTGTCTCTAAGATTTTAGCTGCCTGCAATGGCACTCACAAATGTATGCTTTTGTTGTTGTTTCCTTTTCTTTTGCTTTTCATTTTTTCCTCTTTCTTTCTTAATCTTTTCAGGTTGCTCTCTTCTCCATTTGCCATTAGTCTAAATGTCCTAGAGTTAAGAATTTTGTAGGCAATAAGCCCTTCCTGAAAGTTTGGCTCAAACCTCTCACAAAATGGTTTCCATAGACTTTCTAGCTTCTAAAAAGTGTCATTTCAAACATTATAAGTTTTCATATGAGTTTAGAGTTTAAGTTAGGGTGGTAGTCAGGAGAAGAAGCATAAATAGGCTTCCACCTAGTCTTCCACATCTAAATTTATTTCTCATGAGTGGCACTTTTTATCCTACCCTTTCCACATGGCACATGCTCATTTCTCTCCTTTGGAGTCTGAATATATTCCTTCACAAGGCAGAACAAGGTTTATTTTCTCCCTTCTTACCCTATGCCTTTTTCACATAAATATTACACTCCTCACATCTCCAACCAGCAAAAACAAAATAAAATAAAGCTTAGGGTAGGGGATGGGGCAGAAATATTGACAACCTAGAAGAATAAGACAGACAGGAAGCGGGGGTGTTGCTCACAACAAAGGGATTTAAAGGGTCTAGAAATAATGGAATAAAGAAAAGATAATGGACACCTCAGGGAACTGAGGGCCATGAAGCGTCTGTCAGAAGAACTCTGTGAGTAGCCTCAAGAAGGGAGACGTAGAGCCAGCAGTACCCATGGAGGAACAGTACCTATGGAGGAATACTGATTTGAACAGTGGAAATCTCTAAATCTCACCTTGAAGGAGGCTACTATAGCTCACAAAAGGTAATTGAGCCTGAATTTAGTAAAGACCAATTCTCCACATTTTTGTTGATTCTCATTTTTTAGAATTGGACTTTACTACTCCATTCTTCTGATATTAAAAACTTGGCAAGAGAAATGGCCTTTGCCAAGTCTTCAACATTGCACACAGTTGAGAAGATGTGGGGACTGGAGAAGTGATAGGAAGGACCACTATCTAGTAATGCAAGAATCGTGGAATCAAATCATTCATTAAATGAGGTGAAAAGCACTTTGTAAAGTCTCAAATCTTATCAATATTTTTTGTATTAATATTATTACTCCTTATCCATGCACCTTCACAATCCAGTCATCCATCTGGGGCCTATCAACCTCTAAGTCACTGGCTCTCAAACTTTTTTGACCTCATTACTCTTGTATACGCTGAGAATTAGTGAGGACCCCTAAGAGCGTCTGTGTATGTTGATTATATATATATATTATTATTATATAGATATATTATATAATATATATTTTTTTATATTATATATAATATTAAGTTGTATAATATGTATATATACACATTATACTATGTGTATATTGGTTATATAATATATATTATATGATATGTAATATATAATATATATTGTATTATATATTATATGATATGTAATATATAATATATATTGTATTATATATTATATATAATATATATTGTATTATGTATTATATATAATATATATTATGTTATATATTATATATTATATATAATATTATGTATTATATAATATATATTATATTATATATTATATATTATAGTATGTATTATATATAATATAATATATATTATGTATTATATATATAATTATGTGCCCCACATATAAGTACTTGTCTTTTTTATATTTATATATATACATTTACTATATTTCAAGTAAAAAATTTTATAATCATATTTTTAGCTTCATTTAAAACTGAGTTCATTGCATGTTAGTATAAACAATATATTTTTTTGAAGAATAGTTATTTTCCAATGTCTCATAACAATTTGAAAAATGTGGAATTGCTTTATATTTGTAAAAAGCATTTTGACGACTGAATTAATAGAAGACAGCAGGATTCTCAAACCTCTTCTGCATTCAATCTCTTGTTATATCATATGTCATATAGCCTCTGGAAAATTATGCTATATGCTCATGAGAGAATAAGATTCTAGAACAAATAATGGCTTACCACTATTATGAAAATTGTTTTTATCTCATGAATTTCTGAAAATGCCTGGGGAATCCATACTTTGAGAGTCTCTGCCCAAATTCATTGTAGTTCTGAGATCATCCCAAATTTTCAACAAAAAAGCACATAAATTAGTTGTTCTCCCTAGTGACAACATAGCACAATGAGGAGGTTAATCCTTGAGAGAGAAAATTAAATTATAGTTTTTAAAAATAATATGTCCTCTAAATTTTAAAAATTATTTTGTAACCATTCGAGGAGTATAGCAATAACAACAAACGCAGAGCAACTATAGGTATTTTCATTCACCTTATCTTGTTTCAACGTCATAAGAATCCTGGTCCATAAGTAAAGCAGGCTATATACTTATGCCCATTTTAGTTATGAGAAAAATGAGGCTCTTCAAGGAAAAGTGGTTCCCACAAGTACAATGTATATTTGCATCTAGTTAAATGTAAAGGGCCAAATGGACTTGAATATTGTGCTACCTGTTAGTATTGTTTAACAAATTCATCTGACAAACAAGAGTTAAGAAATCTAGTTTATAACTTGGGCTCTGTCTACAATTTGGCATTGGACTTAACTTCTCAGAATCTCTCCTTATAGGAGTAGAGGGGGGTGTCAAAGTTAAATTTTCTCATGCCAAATTTTACAAAATTTAAAAAATGATAAGATTTTGACTCAGTTATTTTTCCCTCAGCTTTCTATGAAAAAGTAATTAAACCGTCAATAACAGTGAATTTCTTTTTATTCTTTTGCTCGCCTTATTTTCAATCTTTTTTTTAACTTTTATTTTAGGTTCAAGGGTACATGTTCAGGTTCATTATATAGATGAACTAGTGTCATGTGGGTTTGTTGCACAGATGATTTTGTTACCCAGGTACTAAGCCTAGTACCTAATAGTTATTTTTTCTACTTCTCTCCCTCCTCCCTGCCTCTGCCTTCAAGCAAGCCCTGGTGCCTGTTGGTCTCTTTTTTGTGTCCGTGTGTTCTCATCATTTAACTCTCTCTTATAAATGAGAACATGTAGTATTTGGTTTCCTGTTTCTGTGTTAGTTTCCCAAGGATAATGGCCTCCAGCTCCATCAATTTGTGGCTCTTCAGTGCACTCTATGAAGACTGACCCTGCCAGTTTGACTAACTGGGGGAGGAATCACTGATTAGTTGATTAGTCACTTGGTGTTCCTGAGACAGAAGAAAAACAAGCAGTAAAATTTCACACTAACTTCTCTTTGGTGAATACAGAAGTAACTTAGACTAAGCACGTTCAAGCTGGAATTTGTGATGAGGCAAAGTCCATTAGTGCTCCCAGAAACTCACCTGAATTCTCACATGAAGGGTTTTAGGGACTGAACTAAGCCTTTTAATTATTTTTAGACTGAATCATATTAGAAATTGAGCTCTATTCCCCCTTGTACCAGGCTCTCTGGTTGAAAGATGCTTTGGGAGGAGTGTTTAACCCTTCAGGGCCTATAAGGTTCTACTTTGGGTAAATTGACATTTAGCAGCAAAAATCTCACATTTCAGATAAATACCTCTGGGTGTCTTCCTTACACATATAGGCTATATGTGATTGGTCTCCCCACTCCACCAAAAAAATTAGATATAATACTTACGTACTTACAGTAAAACAAGACTGATTGCTACTTTGGCTCTCTCATATTTCCTCTCATCACCTAGCACAGAAAAATTTCAGGTCTTGTTTCATGTTAACTTTTATGTCTAAATCTTAAAAAACCTCTCACTAGCTTAAGTATTTCGGTTCGTAGATTCTAAATGCACAACAAATTCAGCAGGGCAAATACAGAAATCTATATCTTCCAAGAAATCTCGTAAAGCTCTTAGAACATTATTTTTTATCAAAGGCAATATTGAGATCTTCACTGTTCCTAAACCAGAATTCAAGGCCAAGTTCTGATCTGTTTGCTTCCCTAGTCCAATCATTCCCTCCAACGTAAAAAGGCTTATTCTCTTTTCCCACTGCTAAATCTCTTGCTTGAATCTTCAACAATGTCGTTCTGAATGAGAAAACTGCATCTCCTTTTTGACTTGACACATAATTCTTCTGAGTACTACTGATACATTCATTTCCATTGTTGACCTGGTTAGGCCATGATGCTCTGTTATCTGCTGACATTAATGCCTGGTACACGATTACCTTGCAGATCAAATTAATGATTGCAATTTCAGTGTGAAATTACAGTACTCTTCTTCCAGGATTTATTTAAGGTAATAATACTAGGATTTCTTTTTAATTAGTTAGGACACATTTCTAAGTAGTGATATTAAATACTTGAAATATTTTATATAAAATATATAAATATATGTCAAAACATCAAGAAAAACATAATTTGTATTTAAATGCATAAATTTATTTATGTATATTAGCATAAAGGATAACATCTATCCTTATGTTGTAAGGATATACAAATATTAAAGATTCTTTACAATGATAAGATAAATCCTTTTCTGTTCTCTGGTCCTGGTGCTTACTATGACTTTGGTCGTTTCTGCAACCAGGTCATTCTGATGCCATGGTCTCTGATAGAGCTAGTCTTGTTTTTTCGGTAACTTTCTGTTCTGTTCAGGGACCTTAAATGAAGCTTCCAACACCACCACCTATGGGAATCGCAATTTTGATTTTTCTGCTCACCAGTCCAGGAAGAATGGTCCTGCCCACAGTGAAATGAATCACCTCCCTGTAGAGACAAAAGCAGATATCAGAAAGTCCTTTCTGCCTATATCATGGTGGGTGGGGGTCAGGCTACATGAACAGAAAACTGACAGGAGATAGGATAATGAGCTCCAAAAACCAGGAAGTAAAGGGAGCCTGGGAGGGCTGAAGCTGTCAGAGATGCAGGGATGATGCTGCAGATGTATAAGCTGCTGAAGAGTATCTTTCATAAAGCTTCTATCCCCACTACAATGCTCATGTTTTGGTACTTTATAAACCGTGATACACCAGAAGACCCTAAAACGAAAAACAGATATTTAAATCACTAGGTTAAAGCTAAAATAATAATTCAAGTCTTTCCTACCCTACCAGTCTGAGTGAAGTGTAAATTTTGTGAGAATAAAAACACATCACACATTGCCCCCTTTCAGGCAAAAGATGCTCCATTAACTATGAATGAATTCATGCTAGCTAAATCTAGGCAGGAAAATAGGATAATTTTTGTTGTTGTTTCAGGTAGTATGAACCATATATGAGAAAGCACAGGGCCATGAAATAATATATTTAGGGAATTATAAGTAGTCAAAATTGCTGGACCAATGGTTGCTTTTTGATGAGTGGTAATAGAATAACTGGGGAGGTAAAAGAAATTCTAAGCATGATAAATGATGAAGATTAAACTGGGGAAATGATAATACATTTTGAAAGCTTTTGAGATCTAATGAAGAACTTTAATCTGGACAGGAAGATTGGAGGACTGGCATTTTACCAGATTTGGATGATTTTTAAAGTTCATTTTATTAGCAGTATAGGGAACAGAATGGGGCAAAACTGGTGGGAAGGAGGTTATTGCAATATCCAGGAGAAAAGTAGGAAAGGCTCCATGTAAGCCAGCTGTGGTGAAAAGGTAGAGGAGGAGACTCAAAATAAGTATCAACTAGGAGGTAAAAACACCAGGAACTAGTGGGGCAGTGAGAGCAGTAAAGAGAGGATAATAAGGTAAGATGATTTTCAGGCTTCTGATTTGGGAAATAATACTTAGTAATATTTTTCACTATCGTAAGAGCAATCAATAGGGTTACATGTATCTTGAAAGGCAGAATAATTCCTGAACACAATAATAGCTATAATTTAATGAGCACTTATTTGGTACCTGGTAGCATGCTACATACAAAAATGTTTTAGGCAAAATATAAGCACCCATGGAGGTAAGGTGTCCCTCTTCCTTAGCAGGCCCTACAAAATTATTCATTCTTTTTATTTTATTTTATTATGATTTTTTAAAATTATACTTTAAGTTCTAGGGTACATGTGCACAACGCGCAGGTTTGTTACATATGTATACATGTGCCATGTTGGTGTGCTGCACCCGTTAACTCATCATTTACATTAGGCATATCTCCTAATGCTATCCCTCCCCCCTCCCCCCTCCCCACGACAGGCCCCAGTGTGTGATGTTACCCACCCTGTGTCCAAATGTTGTCATTGTTCAATTCCCACCTATGAGTGAGAACATGCGGTGTTTGGCTTTCTGTCCTTGCGATAGTTTGCTCGGAATGATGATTTCTAGCTTCATCCATGTCCCTAAACAGGACATGAACTCATCCTTTTTTATGACTGCATAGCATTCCATGGGGTATATGCACCACATTTTCTTAATCCAGTCTATCATTGATGGACATTTGGGTTGGTTCCAAGTCTTTGCTATTGTGAATAGTGCTGCATTAAACATACATGTGAATGTGTCTTTATAGCAGCATGATTTATAATCCTTTGGGTATATTCCCATTAATAGGATGGCTGGGTCAAATGGTATTTCTAGTTCTAGATCCCTGGGAATGGCCACACTGTCTTCCACACTGGTAGAACTAGTTTACACTCCCACCAACAGTGTAAAAGTGTTCCTATTTCTCCACATCCTCTCCAGCATCTGTTGTTTCCTGACTTTTTAATGATTGCCATTCTAACTGGCGTGAGATGGTATCTCTTTGTGATTTTGATTTGCATTTCTCTGATGGCCAGTGATGATGAGCATTTTTTCATGTGTCTGTTGGCTGCATAAATGTCTTCTTTGAGAAGTGTCTATTCATATCCTTTACCCACTTTTTGATGGGGTTGTTTGTTTTTTTCTTGTAAATTTGTTTAAGTTCTTTGTAGACTGTGGATATTAGCCCTTTGTCAGATGGGTAGATGGTAAAAATTTTCTCCCATTCTGTAGGTTGCCTGTTCACTCTGATGGTAGTTTCTTTTGCCGTGCAGAAGCTCTTTAGTTTAATTAGATCCCATGTCAATTTTGGATTTTGTTGCCATTGCTTTTGCGATAGTTTGCTTAGAATGATGTGTTTTAGTCATGCAGTACTTGCCCATGCCTATGGCCTGAATGGTATTTCCTAGGTTTTCTTCTAGGTTTTTTATGGTTTTAGGTCTAACATTTAAGTCTTTAATCCATCTTGAATTAGTTTTTGTATAAGGTGTAAGGAAGGGATCCAGTTTCAGCTTTCTACCTATGGCTAGCCAGTTTTCCCAGCACCATTCATTAAATAGGGAATCTGTTCCCTATTTCTTGTTTTTGTCAGGTTTGTCAAAGATCAGATGGTTGTAGATGTGTGGTATTATTTCCAAGGGCTCTATTCCGTTCCATTGGTCTATATCTCTATTTTGTTACCAATACTATGCTGTTTTGGTTACTGTAGCCTTATAGTATAGTTTGAAATCAGGTAGTGTGATGCCTCCAGCTTTGTTCTTTTGGCTTAGGATTGTCTTGGCAATGTGGGCTCTTTTTTTCGTTCCATGTGAACTTTAAAGTAGTTTTTTCCAATTCTGTGAAGAAAGTCATTGGTAGCTTGATGGGGATGGCATTGAATCTATAAATTACCTTGGGCAGTATGGCCATTTTCACAATATTGATTCTTCCTATCCATGAGCATGGAATGTTCTTCCATTTGTTTATGTCCTCTTTTACTTCATTGAGCAGTGGTTTGTAGTTCTCCTTGAAGAGGTCCTTCATATCCCTTGTAAGTTGGATTCCTAGGTATTTTATTCTCTTTGAAGCAATTGTGAATGGGAGTTCACTCATGATTTGGCTCTCTGTTTGTCTGTTATTGGTGTATAGGAATCAACATCATCCTGATACCAAAGCCTGGCAGAGATACAACAGAAAAAGACAATTTTAGACCAATATCCCTGATGAACATTGATGCAAAAATCCTCAATAAAATACTGGCAAACCGAATCCAGCAGCACATCAAAAAGTTTATCCACCACGATCAAGTTGGCTTCATCCCCAGGATGCAAGGCTGGTTCAACATATGCAAATCAATAAATGTAATCCATCATATAAACAGAACCAAAGACAAAAACCACATGATTATCTCAATAGATGCAGAAAAGGCCTTCGACAAAATTCAACAGCCCTTCATGCTAAAAACTCTCAATAAACTAGGTATTGATGGGACGTATCTCAAAATAATAAGAGCTATTTATGACAAACCCACAGCCAATATCATACTTAATGGGCAAAAACTGGAAGCATTCCCTTTGAAAACTGGCACAAGACAGGGATGCCTTCTCTCACCACTCCTATTCAACATAGTGTTGGAAGTTCTGGCCAGGGCAATCAGACAAGAGAAAGAAATAAAGGATATTCAATTAGGAAAAGAGGAAGTCAAATTGTCCCTGTTTGCAGATGACATGATTGTATATTTAGAAAACCCCATCGTCTCAGCCCAAAATCTCCTTAAGCTGATAAGCAACTTCAGCAAAGTCTCAGGATACAAAATCAATGTGCAAAAATCACAAGCATTCCTATTCATTCTTTTTAAAAGGCAAATAGCAGAAAGTTCAAAACTCAAGAAAAAGAATATCAGAAATGCCTTTCAACAGAGTTTCTTTACTTTTAAACAAAGATAATATTAAATAATGGTGAATTTTTGAATTGTTGCAAAGGCACAGACAGAATGAAAGATCCCCCATGCCCACAGTCCCCTCAACTCCACCACCCACAGGGTTATTATAAAGAGTGCTTGGAAATACATCCTCCCATAGTCAATTACTGCTCCCTGGTGGTGAGCTCGCCTTCTTTGATAAAGCCTGAGAAGACACTGTTATTAATATCCAATTACAACTTTCCTTTATTCAGTCATTGCTCTTTAAAATTAGGTCTTTCTCTCTCCTATTATAGATGTAACAAAAGGCCTCAAGAACGTAAAAATTTTCCTAACACAGTGGACTCTATAAAGACTATATGAGATCTGGCCAACTTTCTTCTCTGCACTTTTTAATGAGATATCTATATATATATATATATAGATATATATATATATATATAGTCTCATAGGAATCTAACACATATGTTTTGTAGAACAATATTCTCCCAATGAAAGTCACAAGTCCACCTCGTCACAGATCTAGGACAATTGTCATGTGGTTAAGGACCTAGAATTTCTTCTCCTCTTAAGATAGGGCCGAGGCGGGCAGATCACGAGGTCAAGAGATCGAGACCATCCTGGCTAACACGGTGAAACCCCGTCTCTACTAAAAATACAAAAAATTAGCCAGGCGTGATGGCGGGCGCCTGTAGTCGCAGCTACTTGGGAGGCTGAGGCAGGAGAATGGCGTGAACCCGGAGGCGGAGCTTGCAGTGAGCTGAGATCGCGCCACTGCACTCCAGCCTGGGAGATAGCAAGACTCTGCCAAAAAAAAAAAAAAAAAAAAAGATAGATTTATCCAGAGATTTCCTTACACACAAATATAATGTAATCTTCTATGAAGTAGCTATTGACACCTACATTCTGCAAGTCAGAAAGCTAACAAAGACAATACATTGTCCAACCTCGCATAGCTACCAAATATTAGATATAAATTTCAAGCCCAGTCTTAAGACCTTCACAGTATACACCCCACCTCCTATCAGTTCGACATTGAACCTGTTGAAACTGAAAGTTTTGTGAGACGTTAAAGTGGGTATATGCTGTATACAGTTGAATATAAGTCCAGAGCTTCAGATTAAGGCCAAGACTGGTGATACAGGTCTGAGTTTATCAGATCAGAATGTAATGGCTAAAGATGGGGAATTGTACAATATTGCCAGAGACAGTAGGAAATAATATTGTGTTTACAAGTAAATTTGTATGTGCAACGAAATAGTTCATTTTGGTTTCAGATCACAGCCATCACTGAAGGGACAGGGTGAGCAGTTTATCTTCTGTGATGTTCCCTGTACAAACTACATACAGAACCAAATACCTATTTCAATGAAAGCAGCCTACTTTTCTAGTCTTAATTTTGTAATCAAAATGAGTCAATTCTTTCATTCTGCTGCTTTTGAGGGCTCTGAGTTCAGTAGGAAAGTCACATTCTTTTATTCATACAAATTAAACACAAGATTATTATATCTGAAAGGTACTCATACATAAATAAATATTGAAATTTATAGCATTATTTGAGAATTGTAACAAAAAGATAAAAATATCAAAGCAGGAGTAGTTATATAATAGGTTTTAGACAAATGCAAGGTATTAATAGGACATTAATGACAACAGCCTTTCAGGTCACTATATATTTAAATGAAACTCACTTTTTTCTTGTTTTATGATATTCTATATTACCTTAATTATTTGATCTCTATTATTGAAGGACAGTCATAATTTCTACATCTAGCCATAACGCACAATGCTGTGATATGATTTTTGTATGTGTTCTTATATAAAATCATTTTACATTCTGGTGCTATTAACTAGAGACTAATTTCTTCAAAGTGGGATTTCTGGGTCAAAGAGTATGTGAGATTTTCATTTAAATGAAATTGCCACTTTTACTTTCATATAATATTTTAGCTAGTTAGCCTTTAACAAATAATGTAATGGAGTACCAATATCTTTTTCTCTTTTCTTTTTGATCAGAACCCTTTGTTTAAATATTTGTCAACCTAATGAACAGGTGAAAATGGCAACATTATTTTGGTTGCATTGTTATTTTAGTTTTTTTTTTATCATGCAGCCAGAGTACTTGATAATTGCCATTTTGATTTCTTTTTATGTGTATTATACTTTTATGTGATCATTTATCTATGGGAAACTGGATAAAGGAGGTTTCTTTTCCATTTAACATTTATAAGGCTTTTCATATAACTGAAAAGTGTACAATGATCAGTCTCTCATGTGTATTGCAAATATTCTCCCAAATATTTGTCTTTTAGTTTTACATTTTTATTGTATTCTTCTTGTGGATATTTATCTGTGTAAAATATACATGTATTTGCTATGGAAACTAGAAATCCATAGGTATTCTCTTATAAGTAGCCAACTCATGGTAGTACTTATTAAATAAATAATTCTTTTTTTCAAATTACATATATATCACATCAATTTATTTTTAGTAACTGATATATTTTTAAAATTCATATAGAATAATAAAGCAATTTCTCTTAAACTTTTTGCCATTCTCATATTTTCCTCTGAATTTTTTTCTTCCCACTGAATACTAAAAAATTAATTTGTAAGATTTTTGTTATTTTTTTTTCCATTTTGGTTGTCATTAAAATTGTTAATATATGAAGTTTACCTTTGAAATCCAACATAACATTTTGTGATGTGATGTCTATTTACATGTAGTTTTTGTACTTCAGCAAAATCTTAGATCTGAACTTTTCTCTCTAAATTATTCTTTTTCATTTTTCAATGTTTTCAGTATTATACCAGTATTTTAGTTTCAGTTGTATTTTGAACAGATTGTAGCTAAATTTTTACCTTACACTTAGTCAACTATTTAATTCTACCTTGTTTTCCTCAAGTCTCTCATGCTTCTAAGGCAGACAAAAATATACTCTTTAAAATGTAAGTACATTTTCAGTATTTATATGTATAACTTTGTCTTCTTGTCTTGTTTCATTAGTTAGCTCTTCCAAAATGGTGTTAAATGAAAATATTGACAGAAAATTTATATTCAAATTTAGTGGAAATAGCCTACTTAGTGTTGGTATATTAATCTTTTAATGTACTACTGTATTCAATTTATCATTATCTAATTTATAATTCTAGCATTATATTTATGATTACTTAATCTATAATTTTCTTTTTTTCTATTATTATTTCAAATTTTATATAAAGGTAATCTCTTACATAAACAAAATTGATATTTTTTGAAATTCATATGAACTGGGATAGTATTTAGAAAGAAAGTATCTGTTCTTTAAAAGTTAGATAAATTTTGTGTTCAAACCATTTGAACATGGGAGTTTTAAAAATCATGTCTTTTTCTTTCCAACTCCTCTATGATTGCTGCACTCTTTAGGTCCATTTCATTAGTTTATATATTGCCATAAAACTACTATTTACTCTCAATATTAAACTAGTGCTGAAAAATTGCACATAAAATTTTAATCCTTCCTATATTTACAGTTGTTATGTCTTTTATCATCCTTAAGTATTTTAATTTTTTAACTTTATCTCTTCTTTCTTTAATCAGGCTCATCAAAAATTTCTCAATTTTATCAACCTGTTCAAACAACCATCTTTCAGCTTATTACTTTTTGTTTCATAATTTCAACTTTACAGAACTCTTCCTCCTGCCTTGTTTCATTGTGTTTACCTATCCTTTAATCCTCCAGGTTTTAAGTTAATTGCAATCTTAAACAATATATTTTTGTAATTATAAGAGTTCTGAAGAACATGCATTGTCCTCTAGGTACAACTTTAGTGTCACTCCGTAATTGTTCTTCATTATTTCTAAATAATTTTTAGGTTTATTTTGTAACCTCATCTTTGATCCAGAGATTATTTAGAATATATTTTTTCCGAGCTCTTAGTGTTTATTATTTTTATCATCAAGAGCCAATAAGTCACTGAGTTAGTCATTCATTTATTCAACAATAGAATTCAAGACTAATCATTAGGCAATGCTATTTCTACTTTACTTTTTTCTTTCCTTCATACATGATCAATATTTTGAAAACTTCATATGCCATGAAAAGAATGCACAGTTTCTCTTTTAACTTTATAAATTTTTATTTTATTTTTTGTGCATTGCTACATTTCCATTGACTGGAAAGGTATCTGCATATTGTTCATGCTCAAGAAATATTTTTGAATGTGTTAATTCCCGATCTTTATTGTATCAATCAAATGCTTCACCTCCCTCCTTATGCATCATCTTTGGCCTGACAAACTTGAAAACATGGATAGTAAAATTATTCAACATAATTTTTAATCATCAGTTATTCCATGTAACTTCAAAACTTTCCTTTTCTTCATGAATTTGTCTGCTCTCTACATACATTGGGTGCATAAATGTATCTCTTCACATTTTTAAGTTTTTAATTAAATATAACATCATTTTTTATTTTCCTTACCTATGCTGTTATTGAGTCACATTTCAATTTTAATATTGCCACTTTGCTTCTTATTCTGAATATGACAAACATAGGTTTTCTATCCTTTATTTTGAACATTTTTTGGTCAATTTATTTAAATATCCTTCTTGTAAATATATTATAGCTATATTTTTGTTTTTTACTCTCCCACCACTTTCTCACTGCCTTTCTGTTTGGGAATTTGGCAGTTATTCTCATTCTTTTTTAAAAGAATAATTTAAGCTAATGTTTTTACTTACAATATTTGTTTTAAATATTTCACAAAATAGATGCTTTACTGCCAAGTATGTTACAGCACATGGAATAGTGTAGTTCATTAAAAGACTAATTAATTAATCATTCATTCACTCACTCCATAATACATATTCAAGACTAATCACAACACAATGCTACAATGCTAGGTACAGATACTAAAAACATAACATTAAAAAATTAACTCTTAGTGAGGCATGGCAGTGTATACCTGTAGTCCCAGATACTTGGGAGGCTGAGGCAGGAGGATTGCTTTAGCCCAGAAGTCTCAGTCCAACCCTTACAATATAGTGAGACCCCGTTGCTAAAAAACAATTTTTGAAGTCTCTTGCTTACTGTGTAGAAAATAAACAGAATTAACCACAAAGTAAATTTTAGTATATTAAAAATCTAGCTTATCAAAGAATATTTCTAAACATGTTATAGAAGATCTGAGAACAAAGAAATTACTTCTAAGAAATTGTATGCAAAAAAAAAATGACATTAGAATAGATGAACGGGATTTGTCTGTGATAAGCCTCTGGGGTTGATGAGCCAGGTTTTACCAAATATTAGGGATCTAGAAGAAGGTGCAACATTGAGTTTAGAACCAAGTTTGAGTTCATGAAGAGAAGTAGGAGAAAAGGTATAGAATAAAGGGGAGCGAGCTCACAAAGATTTAAACACAAAGGCTGCCTCCATATAAATTTCCTCTTATGTTTTAGATGCCTTTTGAATCTTTTCTAGTCATGTTTTTCTACATCCAGTCCAATGTTTTTCACATACAGGTTTCTTCTACCCTTAAGTATTTTTTACTAGTTTTCTTCTCTTTCTTACTGTTTCTAATGATGTCTCTTTCTAGCTTCCTAAAATATGTTTACCTATGTATATAAATGTTGTAACTAAACCTAATAAGTAATAACTTTCTCTTTGACTTTCCAAATCCATCTTATATCTCTGTGCTTACAAAAATGTCCAACATATGTCTAGTAAATCCAATGGTACAATGAGCCTCCTGGAAACAAGATTACCTGTTTTCTCATATCAATTTTACAACAGCCTATACTAATTTAGAAAGCCCCTTAAATAGTCTATATACTTGCTTTCTCACCCTAAAAATGAAGATACCATTAGCACTTCTTTTTTTTATTTTTATTGTTTTTTTTTGAGACGGAGTCTTGCTCTGTCACCCAGGCTGGAGTACAGTGGCACTATCTCGGCTCACTGCAAGCTCCGCCTCCCGAGTTCACACCGTTCTCCTGCCTCAGCCTCCCGAGTAGCTGGGACTACAGGCGCCCGCCACCACGCCCTGCTAATTTTTTGTATTTTTAGTAGAGACGGGGTTTCATCGTGTTAGCCAGGATGGTCTCGATATGCTGACCTCATGATCCGCCCACCTCGGCCTCCCAAAGTGCTGGGATTACAGGCATGAGCCACTGCGCTTCTTAAATTAGACATAATTAATTAAAATGTTTTGGAAAGTGTAACTTATTAACAAAAGTAATGTAAATGTTTATTCTTAGAAGCCACTGAAATAGTAGATTTCCTAATTTTCTAACAGATCTTTCCAATTCAGTTTTTGAGACAGTATCTATTCTCTCTTCTCACCAACTGCTCCTTCAATAGTTCTTTCAGCTGTTCCTCTTTCAAGTACTAATGCTGCCAATTTTGTTTTCCTTCTAATAATCCGACATCCTATTAATCATGTCAATGTGCCATCAATATTTGCTACTCTTCACACATTATCATAAGATGGTTTATTTTTTCCACCTGTTTCCCTGCATTGCCAACAGAGTATCTCTCTTGAATCCAAAAGATTACACCTGTGCAATTTGGAAAGACTCCAATAAACTCTGTAAAATTTGAAATTACATTATCTCTAATTTAGCTCCTTTTGATATAGTATCATTGGAGTCAAGTATTATATTTCAGTGATTTTTCACTCAATTTTATATTTACTCCCCCATAACATTTTTCTTTCCATGGCTTAATCAATAATGCTAGGTATATCTGTTCCTTTCAAAGTAATGCATACTTTTTGATCTGACGAGTTTTTCCTCTGAGTTCACATTTTTTCAATTTTAAAGCAGCAGTAGACAAATTATTCCAAGTTTTAACAAATGTTAACCAATTGCATGAGGTTGTTGGTCAATATGTGTGTGTGTATAATTATATACATTTTAATAAGATCTAGTGGGAAATTAAGCAAAACATTGCAGAAAGAAACCTTTATGTATTAAAGTGGTTTTATATATTCCTTTTGAAGAAATGTACTCTTATTAATTATAAATTTGGTTTATATACAATAAAAAAGTATTGCTAACTGGGCACAGTAATATAATACTACAATTTATCTACCCAAATTTATTATTTCCCTCCTTAATATTAGTATTGTACTATCAGATCTTACCTGATAGAATGACATAAATTATGACCTTAAAGTATTAAATATTACAGCTGTAAAAGATCCTAAAGATAATTTACTTTAGTTTTTTTATTCTATAAATTTTGAGATTAATACACAAATTATTCAATATCACATTTCTGGTCACTTTTTGTGCTGTCCAGAGCTCTAGACTGGCACTGTTTAAAATATAGACCTCTAAAGGAATGGAGCAAGATGGCCAAATTAAAGGCTTCACTGATCATCTTCTCATAAGCATACTAATTTAACAATATCTACACAATAAAAAGGAATCTTCATAGAACCAAAAATCATGTGAGCACTCACAGAACCTGTTTTTAACGTCATATCCATAAAAGTCAATGGAAGAGGGTAGAAAAGGCAGTCTTGACTCAATGATGCCACCTCTCCCCCATCCCATGGCAGTGGCCGCAAGGTGTGGAGAGAGAATCTATGTACTTGGGAGAGGAAGAACCCAGCAATCCTGAGACATTGCATTTAATTCAGTGCTGCCCTGTCATAACAGAAAGCAAAATTGAGCTGAGCTCAGCTGACACATGCCCATGGAGAGAGTATTTAAACCAGCCCTAGCCAGAGGAGCTCAACCTTGAGGTTGGAACTTAAGTCCTGGCAAGCTTCATCACTACATACTAAAGTGTTCTGGGGTTCTAAATAAACTTGAAAGGCAGTCTAGGCCACAAGTACTGTAAATTCTAGGTCAGTCCTAGTGCTGAGCTGGGCTCAGAGACAGAGGACTTGGTGGGCACACAACCTATTGAGACACCAGCTGGGGTGGCTAAGGGAGTGCTTGTGCCATCTCTCCCTCAGCTCCAGGCTGCACAGCTTGCAGCTCTAAAAGAGACTCCTTCATTCTGGTTAAAGAGGGGAGACAGAAGAGTAAAGTGGATTTTGTCTTGCGTCTTAGATACCAGCTCAACCATAGCAGGGCAGGGTACCTGTTGGAGTCATAAGCCCCCTTTCTAGGCCCTAGCTCCAAGATGACACAGTCTGGGCAAGAAAGGAACTCAGTACCTTGATGGGAAGGATCAAGCCCCAGCAGAACCCATCACTTGCTGATTAAAGAGCTTTTGGGCCCTGAATAACCAGCAGCTATAAGCAGTTAGTATTCCATGGGCCTTACATAAAATTCTGAAACTAGCCGGCTTCAGGTGAGACTCAGTACTTTCCCAGATGGGGTGTCTATGAGGACACTCCTTCTGCTTGAGAAAAGTGAGTAAAAGGGACTTTGTCTTGCACCATAGCTACCAGCTAAACCACATATTTGTAGAGCACCAAGTGGGCTCTTCGGGTTCCCAATTCCAGGTCATTGCTCTTAGATCATATTACTGAAACTTCCCTGGGCCAGAGAGGAGCCCACTGCCCTGAAGAGTGAGTTCCAGGCAAGGCAGAATTCACCACAAGCTGAATAAAAAGCCTTTGGACCACAAGGAAATGTCTGCAGTAGCCTGGCAGTACTTCCCATGGGTTTATGGTGATGGGGGCTATAGGGTGAGGCTCCTTTGCTTGTGGAAAGGGAAGGGAAGAGTGATAAGGGCTCTGTTGTGTAGTTGGAGTGCCAGCTCAGCTGCAATATAATAGAACAGCAAGTAAACTTCTAAGGTTTTTGACTCTAGTCCCTGGCTCTTGGACAGCACCTCTGGACCCACCCCAGGCAACCATGGGGAACTTGCTGCCCTGAAGGGAAGGACAAAAGCCTGCTGGCTTCATTACTTGCTGATTTTAGAGCCCCAGGGCCTTGAGCAGACACCGGTGGTAGTCAGGTAATGGTTACAATGGGCCTTGGATGAGACTCAGTGCTGTGCTGGCTTCAGGTCTGACCAAGTGTATTTTCAGTGGTGATGGCCACAGGGGAGCATGTATCACTTCATCCCCAGCTTCAGGTGGCTCACAGCAGAAAGTGAGACTCCATTTGTTTGGGAGAAAGTAAAGAAAGAGAACAAAAATAACTCTCTGTCTGGTAATCCAGGTAATTCTCCCAGACTGTATCCATGACCATGAAGGCAGTATCCCTACAAGTCTGCAAGAACCACAGCATGACTGGGCTTGTGGTGCCCCTAATACAGACATGGCTTTGATCACAACACCCAAGTCTTTCTGAATACCTGGAAGGCCTTCCAAATAAGGATGGTTACAAACAAGCCCAGACTGTGAAGACTACAATAAATATTTAACCCTTCAATGCCCAGACACAGATGAACATCTACAAGTATCAAGATAATCCAGGAAAATAAGGCCTCATTAAATGAACTAGATAAGGCACCAGGAACTTATCTAGGGACAGCTCCTGGAGAAACAAAGATATGTTACCTTTCAGACAAAAAATTTAAAAAAAATTGAGGAAACTCAAAGAAATTCAAAATAACACAGAGAGGGTATTCAGAATTTTATCAGAAATATTTAACAAAATTTAAATAATTTAAAATGATCAAGCAGAAATGCTAGAAGTGAAAAATGCAATTGGCATACTGAAGAACACAGCAGAATCTTTTAATAGCAGAAAGAAAGACTCAGTTCAAGCAGAAGAAAGACTCAGTGAGCTTGAAGACAGACTATTTGAAAATACACAGTCAGAAGAAACAAAAGAAAAAAGAATAAAAAACAATGAAGCATACTTACAGGATCTAGAAAATAGCCTCAAAAGGGCAAATCTAAGAGTTATTAGCCTTAAAGAAGAAGTAGAGAAATAAATAGGAATAGAAAGTTTATTCAAAGGGGTAAAAGGAGAATGTCTTAAGCCTAGAAAAAGAAATCAATATTTAAGTACAAGAAGGTTATAAAGCACCAAGCCAATTTAACCTGAAGAAGACTACCTCAAGGCATTTTATAGTCAAACTCCAAAGGTCAAGGTTAAACAAAGGACCCTAAAAGCAGCAAGAGAAAAAAAATACAATGGAGCTCCAATATGTCTGGCAGCTGACTTTTCAGTGGAAATCTTGCAAGCCAGGAGAGAGTGGCATGACATATTTAAATTGCTGTAGGAAAAAAAAACTATAGAATAGTATATCTGGTGAAAATATCCTTCAAACATCAAGGAGATAGACCTTCCTAGACAAACAAAAATTGAGAGATTTCATCAATACCAGACCCATCCTATAAGAAATGCTAAAGGGAGTACTTCAAACAGAAAGAAAAGGAAGATAATGAGTAATAAGATATCATCTGAAGGTACAAAACTCAGTAGTAATCATAAGTAAATAGAAAAACACAGACTATTATAACTCTGTAACTGTGGTGTGTAAACTACTCTTAAGTAGAAAGACTAATTGATAAATCAATCAACAATAATAACTACAACAACTTTTCAAGACATAGTACAATACAATATAAATAGAAACAACAAAAAGTTTAAAAAAATACAGGGACAAAGTTAAGTGTGAAGTTTTTATTGGTTTTCTTTTGGCTTGTTTATGCAGTGTTAAGTTGTTATCAGCTCAAAATAATGGGCTACTAGATAGTATTTGCAAGCCTCATGGTAACCTCAAATCAAAAGACATACAACAGATACATACAAAAAAAGAAAGTCAGAAATGAAATCATACCACCAGAGAAAATCACCTTTACTAAAAGGAAGACAAGAAAGAAGGAAAGAAGGAAGAGAAGAACACAAAACAACCGGTACACAAATACCAAAATGGCAGTAGTCAGGAGGACATTCTTAGTTATCAACAATAACATTGAATGTAAATGGACTCTCCAGTCAAAAGACATAGAGTGACTGAATGGACAAAAAAACAAGAACCACCAATCTGTTGCCTACAAGAAACATACTTCATCTGTGAAAACATACATAGACAGAAAATAAAAAGATGCAAAGGGTATTCCATGCCAACGGAAAACAAAAAAATAAAAACTAAGAAGTCACTATATTTATATCAGACCAAATGGATTTCAAGACAAAAACTATAAGAAGAAAAAAGGAGGTCACTATATAATGATAAAGGAATCAATTCAACAAGAGAATAAAACAACTGCAACTATATATGCACCCAACACTGGAGCATGCAGGTATAAAAAAGAAATCTTATTAAAGCTAAAGAGACAGATAGATAACAATACAAAAATAGCTGGAGACTTCAACCGCCCATGTTCAGCACTGAACAGATCTTTCAGATAGAAAATCAACAAAGAAACATCAGACTTAAACTGTACTACAGAACAAGTGAACTTAATAAATATTTACAGAATATTTTACCCAATGGCTGCAGAATACATATTCTTTTCCTCATCACATGAGAAAAATGAATCATTCTCAAGGGTAGACAATACATTAGGTCACAAAATAACTCTTAAAACATTAAGAAAAATTTGAAATATTATCAAACATCTTCTCTGACCACTATGGAATAAAACTAGAAAGCAATTACAAGAGGAATTTTGGAAACTATACAAACACTTGGAAATTTAACAATATGCCCCTGAATGACCAGTGGGTTAATGAAGAAATCAAAAGAAAGTTGAAGACTATCTTAAAACAAATGATAATGGAAAGAAAACACAACAAAATTTATGGAATCCAGTGAAAGCATTACTAAGAGGGAAGTTTGTAGCTATAAGTCCCTACATCAAAAAAAGAGAAAACCTTCAAATAAATAACATAACAATGCATCTTAAAGAACTGAAAAAGCAAAAGTAAACCAAACTCAAAATTAGTAGAAGAAAATAAATAATAAGGATTAGATCAGAAACAAATGAATTTGAAAAGGAGAAAATAATACAAGAGATCAATGAAATAAAAAGTTGTTTTTTTGAAAAGATAAACAAAATTCACAAACCTTTAGATAGACTACTGAAGAAGAAAAAGAGAGAATATCCAAATAAATAAAATCAGAGATGAAAAAGAAGACATTACAACTGATACCAGAGAAATTGAAAGGATTATCTGTGGCTACTATGAGCAGCTACATGCCAACAAATTAGAAAATCTAGAAGAAATGGATAAATTTCTAGACACATACAACCTACCAAGATTGAACTATGAAGAAATCCAAAACCTAAACAGACCAATAACAATTAAGAACATTGAAGTTGTAATAAAAAGTTTCCCAGCAAAGAAAAGCTTAAGACATAATGGCTTCGCTACTGAAATCTATCAAACATTTAATGAAGAACTAATACCTATCATTTTAGACTATTCCAAAAAAAATAAAAAAGAGGAGAAGGGAATACTTTCCAAACTCATTTGACAAGGCCAGTATTACCCTGATACCAAAATCAGGCAATGACACATCACAAAAAGAAAACTAGAGGCCAATATCACTAATGAAGAGTGAGGCAAAAAATCCTCAATATAATATTAGTACACTGAATTTATCAACACATGAAAAGGATTCTTCATTATGACCAAGTGGGATTTATTCCAGGGATGCAAGGATGGTTCAACATGTGCAAATCAATTACTATGATACATCATATCAACAGAATGAAGGACAAAAACTTTAAGATCATTTTAATGGATTCTGTAAAAGCATTTGTTAAAATTCAACATCCCTTTATGATAAAAACTCTCAGAAAACTGAGTATAGAAGGAACATATCCCAACATAATGAAAGCAACATAAGACAGACTCACGGCTGGTATCATACTGAATAGGGAAAAACTGAAAGCTTTTTCTTTAAGATCTGGAACATGACAAAGATGGTCACTGTCACCGCAGTTATTCAACAGAGTTCTGAAAGTCCAAGCTAGAGCAATCATACAAGAGAAAAATATAAAAGGCATCAAAATTGGAAAAGAATAAGTGAAATTATCCTTGTTTGCCATGATATGATCTTATATTTGGAAAAACCTAAAGATTCCATCAAAAAATTATTAGGACTGGTAAACAAAATTCTGTAATGTTGCAGGATATAAAATCAACATACAAAAATCAGTAGCATTTAGAGTAATCCCATTTACAATAGCTACAAATAAAATTAAGTACTTATGAATTAACTTAACCAAAGAAGTGAAACATTTGTACAGTGAAAACTATAAAACTTCAAGAAATTGAAGGACACATAAAAAATTTTAAAAATACTTTATGTTTATGGATTGGAAGAGTCCATATTGTCAAAATGTCCATACTACCCAAAGCAATTTATGGATTTAATGCAATCCCTATCAAAATACCAATGACATTCTTCACAGAAATAGAGAAAACAATTCTAAAATTTATATGAAACCACAAAAAAAACAAAGAGCCAAAACTATTCTACACAAAAAGAAAAAAAATGGAGGAATCACATTACCTGAGATCAAATTATACTACAAAGTTGTTGTAATCGAAACAGCATTTATGTAACTAGCATAAAAACAGACACATACACCAATTAATAAAGAACCCTGAAAAAAATCCACACACCCACAGTGAACTCATTTTTGACAATGGCACCAAGAGCGTACACTGGAGAAAGGACAGTGTCTTCAATAAATGGTGCTGGGAAAACTAAAAATCCACATGCAAAAGAATGAAACTAAACTCCTATCTCTTGTATTATACAAAAATCAAATCTCAACAGATTAAAGACTTAAATCTAAGACTCAAATTATGAAACAACTACAAGAAAACCCTAGGGAAACTCTCCAGGACATTGACTGGGAAAATGTTCTCAAGTAATACCCTACTCAAGCATAGACAACAAAAGCAAAAATGGACAAATGGAATGACTTCAAGTTAAAAATATTTTGCACAGCAAAGGAAATGATCAACAAAGCAAAGACACAATGCACAGAATGGGAGAAAATATTTGCAAACTACCTGACAATGATTTAATAACCAAAATATATAAGGAGTTCAAACAACTCAATAAGAAAAAAATCTAATAACCCTATTAAAAAATAGGCAAAAGACCTGATTGGACAGTTCTCAAAAGAAGACATACAAATGGCAAACAGATATATGAAAAGGTACTCAACATCACTGATCATCAGAGAAATGCAAATGAAAACTACCGTGAGATATCTCACGCTAGTTAAAATGGCTTTTATCCAAAAGTCAGGCAATAACAAATGCTAGTGAGGATGTAGAGAAAAGGGACCCCTCATACACTATTGGTTGTAATGTAAATTAGCACAACCCCACTGTTCTTTATGGAGAATAGTTTGGAGGTTCCTTAAAACTAAAAGTAGGGCTGCCATATGATCCAGCAATCCCACTACTAGGCATATACCCAAAAGAATGGAAGTCAGTATATCAAAGAGATATCTGTACTCCTATGTTTATTGCAGCACCATTCACCATAGCCAAGACTTGTAAGTAACCTAATTGTCAATCAACATATGAATGGATAAAGAAAATATGGCACATCTACACAATGGAGTATTTCTCAGCCATAAAAAAGAATGAGATCTGATCATTTGCAACAACATGGATAGAACTTGAGGTCATTGTGTTAAGTGAAATAGGTCAGGCACAGAAAGACAAACTTTGCTTGTTCTCACTTATTTGTGGGAGCCAAAAATTAAAACAATTAAACTCATGGAGATAGAGAGTAGAAGAATGGTTACCAGAGGCTGAGAAGGGTACTGGCAGGGGTGGGAGGTGGGGTGGTGAGGGGAAAGTGTGGATAGTTAATGAGTACAAAAAAATAATTAGAAAGAATGAGTAAGACCTAGTATTTGCTAGCACGACAGTGTGACCACAATTAAAAAAAATGTAATTGTACAATTTGAAATAACTAAAAGAGTATAATTTGATTATTTATAAGACAAAGGACACATGCTTGAGATGATACGTACTCTGCTTACCCTGATGTCATTATTATGCATTGCATGCCTGTATAAAAATATATCACATAATCCAGAAATATATACAACTATTTTGCACCCATAAAAATTAAAGTAAAAATAAAAATAAAATAAGACACAGACCTCTTCATCTCTTTCCTCTAAACTTTCCATTGATAGGTAGTCTTAGTTTTGTTCCTCTTGTATGCAATTTTCCTTTCATTGATAATATCAGATAAACCAATTGATCAACATCTGCCAACTTCTATCTGCCTGTTTTGTATATCAGGCACTAATTAGATTTTTCTTTCAACTCACATCAAATATTTTGGGAAACTAGAACTCTAATGAAGAAACAGAAAAATGAAACTTGTTTTTAAGTAAACTATAACAATCATCATATTAATAAGATAAAGTATTGAGAGATCTCAGATTTAGTAATAATGTAGTTTTGATTTATATATGGCTTTCAGAAACTTCCATGAACAAAGTCTTCTTCCTGTTTTATTATTACTAAATTAATTACAATCATTATCTAGTATGTTCATTTGTAGTCATTCTTTCCTTTTCAAAATATAATCAATTTCTCAATAGAGTATTCAGTAGAGAAAAATATCTTCTTTACTGAAATCATGCCTTATCCTTTGACTCCAGTCCCAATGTACAATAGCCCCAAAATGGTGTACACCTGGAGCTCTCAGATTCTCACATTTATACAGGGCCATTTTCTATTGTTGTGACCTCTAAAACTGTGGTTGTGCTTGTGGTTGGAAGAGGATAGTGAAGAGAAAAGAAATAAAACAAGGGTGGACTATACTTGGTGGTTGCTTGGTACAAAAAGGAAAAGGTGGAATTTCTGGCATTTTCAAGGACTAAGATATGTGGGTAGTGCATATAGACACCAGCTCTGTGCTTCCCTCTTCTCTGAGTATGGACAGTTAGCCCTCTCTATCTGTGGGTTCATCATCTGTGGATTCAAACAACTGCAAATCAGAAATATTTGTTTAAAAAAATGCATCTGAATTGAACACATACAGACTTTTTTCTTGCCATTATTCCCTAAATAATAGAGTATAACAACTATGTACACAGCATTTACGTGGTATAAGTTATTTTTAGTAATCTACAGATGATTTAAAGTATAAGGCAAGATGTGTATAGGTTATATGTGGATATGACACTATTTTATATCAAAGGCTTGAATAGTCACAGATTTTGGTATTTGTGAGAGGTCCTGCAATGATCCCCTATGGAGACTGAAGTATTACTGTATTTTCTGTATAGTTCTGGACATTTTTCTTAGGTTTTCTTAAGAGCAGGTATGCCAGGCTGTGAGAGATTTTGTGAGTTCAGGGTGAATTGTGGAGGAAAAAAGGCCAAATATTGAGTTTTCCATGAAGCAAAAATATATTTAATTTAAAGGAATGTAACTTTTCTGAGAAATCATACTTATTACTTTTATAGCAGCAAATTATCAATTTCCAAATATCTTTTCTTAAGGAAGTATAGCTTGCTGTCTGATGTCAGTCACTGGAGTTTTAAATTTTATAGATGACTGTTAAAACAAAAAGATTATAAAACCATGATTCTAGATGATTTTAAAATTGTATGACTTTAAAATTGTATTTCTGAATAGTAATAATAATGCCAATGGGATTTGCAGGGCTGTGGGTATTTTGTGTGGAACCTTGCATATATATATATACATACACAATTTGTGTAACCCAAATCAATGTGCATGCTGCATTTTGACAGCCCACTTTTAAATGATGCCATGAAAGAAATACTGTGCTGGCCAGTGGAAGTGATTTGTTTGCAAGGCTGCCTTCTGGGAACTAAAGTACAGGGCCCAAAGATGACCGTAGGCACGTGTCTTGGAGCTTTGAGGGGCATGTGATAAACTGCGTCTGTGGTGGGTGGTGTGACAGAAGAGAGGAAAGGGGTGGGGCTATAACGAGTTCAGAACAGCCCACCATTGCCATCTCTGTCTGATCCCAGGTGCCAGAAGGTAATTTAGAAAATTTTGTCAATAGCACTTCCAGTGACCAAGATGCACAGGATATTGGTTCTGGGCTCAGGGCACTCTTCAAGGGTGGCACTGTTGGTTGGTCCTAGGCACTAAAGGAAGTCTAGAACATTTCATTAAAGGCACTTCAATGTATAGGGGGCTCAGCTCAACGAGGTGCAGAGATTATAAAGTAATAACTCATTATTTCCATTTTCCAGATAAAATACAATCTCTCAAAGAGTGTTCACTAATCAAGTAGAGATTTCATTGTATACTAAATAGCACTTTCTTCTACTTGTAAGCAGCTGATTACACCCACACAGTATGTTCCTTCTCTGGGTCATCAAATTCTAAAAAGTTGTGACCAATTACTTTTATCCTTTCAAACAGTTTTAATCATCAACAAAGTCTATCCTTTTGAAAGAATTAAATATAATTTCTCCTCATTTGCTGCCTAAAACTTTTGAAAAAAAAATGTCAGAAGGCAGTTGATGAATACTATCTATTCTCTACTTTCAGCAAAATGAGACTTCCAGCAGATGCCTAAGTTTGAAGCCTACTGCTCCTCCACTCCTCATAGCTTTTATGTATTTATACCTTTCCCATAGTATAATCAGTATTGAGAAAAGTCATCCATATCCATATTAGAGATGATCTATAGCATAAATTCACAGTATTATCCAGCAGCTTCTCGAGTCTATTATTCTCATGCATTTGTTTTCAATTGTGTTTTCCTTCTCTGGTTCATGGATTCACTTTTGGAGGTTACTTTCTTTTAAGAAATGCACCTGCACCTTCTCTACCTTTCTGGAAGGCCTATAACGTATAATTCTCAAATATGCCAAAAAATATTTAAAATTATGTACTTTTCAGTAATCAAATTTAGTCAGGCACTGATAAAATGTTTCTGTGTGTGTGTGTGTGTGTGTGTGTGTGTGTGTGTGTATTTCTATATTATTCCTATAGGTCCTCAGAAGAAAAATATGACAAAGATCTGATAAAAATCACATTTTCAAAGATTTTTTTCTTACACAGAAAGTGTTAATAACAGAATTTGCATGTGATTTATCTTCCTGAATAAAAAATAGAATGAAAAGTTTTAGGATGTTAGAACAAATTATTTCCTATTGTTAATTACAGACATTTAATCTATCACCTAGCAAAATGTGCATGCTAAGAAACAGTGTATATTTATTTTACTTTCTATATCTTACATGTTACTGACAACTTTTGTAGAATATCTCTGTAACATATTTTCAGAGACAACCCAGTGAGGACTTTTGCTTGCTATTTGTCTTTGAAATTATGCCTGATCAATCACCAGTTGACCTGAGATATATCACCAATCAATATTAAACATCCATTTTAAGTAATTGATAACAATCAGACTTTTTAAAAATGGTGAAATATGATCATTTAGGCCAGCTTTAATGGGAAGAGAGTAAAAACCGGAAGGAGTTTCTATCTGAAAATAAATGGAATAGAGTCTTGATAATTATGTGGTTACATACCCCACGAAAAAGGCTAATTCCTAATTCCTTAAATATGAAGAAACACCAATTGCAATGAACTTATTATGCCTTCTGCCTTTTATATATTATGCAACGGATGTATTGATCACCATAAGTGCTTACCTACTCAAGGTTCATGTCTTGTCTTACTGAGTTCAAGTAAATATCATTTCAACCGAGATAACAGTCTGCTGGTGGATTTCCAGACTTTAACCTCTCTTTATTTGCAGTTCTTCCTATTTACCACCCTGTTGCAATTCTGCCTATTCAGATTTTACTGTTAAAACATCAGGTTTATCAAGCTGTTTGCCAATGTGAAAATCTTCACTGAGTCACTGTAAGATTAAATGCTAACTTTCTATCCTTCTAACAACAGTTTGCCTTTGAAATTTCAATTCTGAACTCAACATATAAACTTAGCCAAATATACTGGTCATCTGTGGTCTCCTAGACATGCCTTGCTCTTTTCTTCAACCATAGAAATGTGTGTTTACTGCATTCTTGGCCAGCTGAATCATGCTCGCTATTTGAGGCTGAGTTCCACTTTTTCCTTACGAAATACAATGTTCTATTATTGGGGATAAATTTGTGGTTTACAAAGTAATATCACAGATGATCTCAATTCATTTTATGCTCTCATCAAGCTGATATAAATAGATATTTTACAGATAAGCAAACAGGCTCAAATAGGCCTTCTCAAACTTTTTGAATTCATGTTTCTCTCTCTAACACCTATGACACAATTGTGTAATATTTATTGGTGCAACCATTTGCCAATGTTTTATTTATTTATTATTTATCTAAATTATTTTTATTAAATATTCATTCACTAAACACCTGCTTATTAAGATCTTACAATTTGCCAGGCATTTTTCTGGGCAGAGTCTCTGTACCTCAAAGTTTGTTGCTAGTATTTCCAACTAGATGGGCAACTGCTTTATGTCAGGGTTTACAGTTTTGTCTCTTTGACAGGACCCACTTTAGGTGATATGCAATTTACGTTTAAAGAAAGAATAAAGCAAAAATAAACCATTACTTCATTTGGATAATCACATTTTTAAGCAAAAGCTATGCAAACTTGTATTCTAAACTTCTGACACTTTCCTTTAACTATATTACACACAATTTGCTTTATTAACTTTGGTTTCAAAAGTGTACAGTAAATGGGAAAAAAAAAAACCCACCAAACTCTTTCAGGTCTTATCTCCCTAAGTAATTAACCATAGGGTGCCATTACTGTTAAAACTGAAGACAATTTTTGGGGGCCCTAAAATAATTATGCTGAATATTCAGCATCTTTGGGGAAGGCTAATTGAGAAAAAATGAACTACTAAGCTTCTGTGCTGTGCAACTGCAGCTATTAAGATGTGAAACTGTTGTCATTAGAGTCTCGATGAACATTAGTAAAATGAATTTTTGTACAAGCATGTATTCCTGTTACTTAAACACCTTGATTCCAGATACAAAATAAGTTTTGAAATTTAGCTTTGGGATGCACTTTTATCTTTAGGATTCTCTAAGCTCAGCTATAGTGATGTATTTTTCCCAATATAGAACAAAAAAGATGCCTCTGACTGTGCTACTCATAGGAGATCAACAACTTGGTGAACAGAGAAATGTAAATCCTGTCATCTGTTCAGGTGTGAGGAGCAGGACCTTGGCAATGTGCGTCATCAGCCCTGCATTTGAAGATGAAGTCTGTGACCATGCTCTTTCCTCCATGCAAGAGGTTGCTAAAAGAACCAACGTGTGACCTCAGACCTCTCCACAGTGTACACAAGGGGCTTGCTCTTTGGGTAGTGCTTGGGACCACCACTTGCAAGCCTTTGTTGCTTTCAACTTTGTCTGTTTGCTACAGAAAAAGCTTGACCCCTTTTCCTACACTGAGTTAACTTACCTTTGCTGCAAAGCACGGAGGACTAGATACATCACTGTTGTTTCTTCCCCAAAGCTCAAGCTAAAAAAACCTTAGGTAATAAGTTCCACCACAATCTTCCCCCTCTGTGGTTTCTTTCAATACCCAGTGCTTCAGGTTTTCAAGAATCCTATTATATAAGTAACATAATTTGCCATGTTAAACATGTGGTTCATTTTGTGATAGTTCCTCAGAGGCAAATAGGAGAAGTAAAATATGTTCAAAAGCTTGGTTTTTATAAGTGTAAAATAGGGGGCTGAGTGGATTTAGATTTGAATGGACCTCAGGCACAAAACAGAGGTCTCTCTTGATATAAAAGACTATGAAATTTTTGTTCTACTTTTAGGATCTCCTGCTGCATTAGGGACTTCTTTCTTTAAGTGCCCTAGGGTAATGCAGTTAAGTCTAGGAAGGCTCAATAACAGAAATTTCTTCAATTACCATATAAAGGAAGGAGTATCACTTTACCAACTTTGCTCCTCTTAGTGCTAAAGCCTTGCAAGAGGTAGAATTGAGTCTCCCTACTCAATGCAAGTGAAAACGATAGTCTTTCAGGATACTTGTGTTCTAGATTATTTCATAAAAGGATAATCATCATTCCGGGCAGAAGATCCATTAAATCTCTAGTCATATGCATGAAATTATTAGAGGTATATGTATACTGAAAAAATGAATTTAGTGCTGAATTTTCATTTGCCTTTCCTATATATAGTCCTCTGTATTAATGTCAGCAATCAGATTAAAACTGAAAATTTGACTTCCTCTGCTTCCTCTAATAAAATCTCATTTTTAATTCCTTATTAGAGAATTATTTCAGCAATGAAGGATAATCATATTTTAAATAAAAAACTGTCTCTTATCAGAAAGCCTTATTGCTTTAAATCATTCTTAAAGATGCATTTGAATGCCTTGTTCACCAGCGAGAATAGGTACTACAAGGAAATTCAGAAGACCAACAAGTGGGTCGGGCACAGTGGCTCACATCTGTAATCCCAACACTTTGGGAGGCCAAGGCGGATGGATCACCTGAGGTCAGGAGTTCAATACCAGCCTGGCCAACATGGTGAAATCCCACCTCTAGAAAAAATACAAAAATCAGTCAGGTGAGGTGGCAGGTGCCTGTAATCCCAGCTACTCAGGAGCTGAGGCAGGAGAATTGCTTGAACCTGGGAGGTGGGGGTTGTAGTGAGCTGAAACCATGCCACTGCACTCCAGCCTGGGTGACAAAGCAAGACACTGTCTCAAAAAAGAAAAATAATAAAAAAATAAGACCAACAAGTCTTGAAATTATCAGCCAATGGACCTTGAGGAAGCCACTTAACTTTTTGATGTTGTGCTTCCTGTGTGAAAAGTGATGCAAAAATTGTACTGAAAATGTGCACAGAGTTACAGTGAGGACCAAGGAAATTAGTGCAAATGTGTGGGGGTTTGTAAACCTTAATAAATCAATGTACAAATGTACAGTACACAGCAGGATAAAAATGGGTGCTTGTTATTGAAATATAGATGCTATCAAAGATGAATTTATACTTTAAATGGTAATCTTTAATTTTCATTTGAGGTCGTTTTTGTAGATGTCACTTTCTGATATACTGAGTTATTCTGAGTGTCTCTCCTGACCTGTTCTAGAAAATGCATAACTGCAAAGCAAGCAAATGATTGTCCTAAGCTACAGAAAAGAAAAACAGGTTGCATTAATGTGGGGGAGAAAGAGTGGGAGAAGATGAGTACTAGACAAGTGAACTGACGTAATGCTTTTATTCACCAAATAAACTTACAGGATGTAGAACTTCAACGGCAAGAATACATGCAGGCTTTTGACTCAGACAGACAGCCCTGCAAGACCTGCATTCAAATCTCAAGTCCTAATCCTACTGCTAACTAACCATGTAAAACTTGGGTCAAATAACCTAAACCAGCTCTTCCAAAGGTGTGATCTGAGACTAGTAACATCAGCATTACCAGAGAACACAGTGGAAATGCAAAATCTCCAGCCCCACTTCAGACCTACTAAATAAAAATCTCTGGAACTAGATACCAGAAATCTGTTTTAGTAAGCATTTGATATAATTCTGAGGCATGCTCAAGTATGAATTATCTGAATAGATTTCTTCATCTATAAAATAGGAATAATAATACCCTTCTTATGAGTACAATTATAATGATTACAGACAAGATATATGCAGAGCCTCGTGCTTGTTAATTGCTCAGTAAATAGAGCCAATAACAATATTCTTCCAGAAACTTTGCAGATGCCACTCAATCCATAAAGCCGTTCGTGCCCTGCTATGCAGGCATCACCTCTATCCATTTATAAAAACTAAATAACCCCAATTCTGGCTTCAGTATATATTATGAGAGTACTATATTATTGGCTGATTGTGTCTCTGGGATTATAGTTTTTCTGAGGGTAGAAGGAGAGTCTTACTCATTCTGGATCTCTCAGCATATTTAACACATTGTTGCAATGTCTTGCCTTCCCAGCCTATCAAATAGAACTAATAATTATGTCTGTTATATGAGATCATTATGAAATTTTAAATATAAACCTATTAAAACAGTACATGGTAGTCAATAAGTGATGGTTATTATTATAATATTTTTAAAACCATTTTAATACTAGATATCCAATAAACATTTGTTGGATTGATCTGAGTTGACAGATTTCTCTGGAAAGACAGGAGTTGTTCATTTTATTTTATTTTTTAGTTCTTTGACTATAAGACTTTAGAAGATGAAGAAAAGTTAGCAAATGTCAGCCTATTTATGAATGGCCTTTGCTTATGAAAAGCAAAAGTGAGCATGTTATGCTGGTCACTGCTCTCTTCACCATAAGCTTTTTTTCCCTTTAAATTTGTAGCAATAATTAATATTTTCTTTTAAGCAAACTAAGTTTGTATAGTCAATAATAATTGGAGTAGTGCTCATAGGTCTTAAGAAAAAAACACACCAGTGAGCAATCAGCTGCTGCTTCTCATAAGTTTGGCCTAGACAGAGCCTTTCCAAACAACTTCTGGTTCTGTCTAGGAGAGTGGGGGACGAGGAGAGAACGTTACTAGAGGAGAGAGCCTTCCTGCAGGCTGAGCAGTGTGTACGTTGATTACTCAGTTTATACTTTGAGACCCAAATATTCCCCATAGCTTTCAACAGAATCTGTACCCTTAAACAGGACAGTACCCTGATACAGATTAGCTGTTGATATGGTTTGGATGTTTTGTTTCCTTCATATCTCATGTTGAAACGCGACCTCCAATGTTGGAGGTGGAGCCTGGTGGGAGGTGTTTGGCTCATGGGAGTGAAGCCCTCGTGAATGGTTTGGCTTGACTTCCCCATGGTAATGAGTGAGCTCTTATTCTGTGAGTTATAGAGAGCTTGTTGTTTAAAAGAGTCTGGCATCTCTCTTGCTCCCTCTCTTGCCATGTGATGCTGGCTCCCTTTCAACTTCCACTATGACTGTAAGCTTCCTGAGGCCTTCATCAGAAGCAGGTGCTGGCACTATGCTTCATGTACATCCTGCAGAACCATGAGCCAAATAAACCATTTTGCTTTACAAATTACCCAGTCTCAGGTATTCCTGAATAGCAACGCAAATGGACTAACACTGCTGTGGTCCAGGAGAAAATGAAGCTATGGGTCAAGACTTCTTTTTCCATCCAACACATTTAATAAACAAGTATCTTCTCTTCTACCCCACCTCTCACCTCTATTTTTTGAGTCTGGTGTTAAGTATCCAATCATTTTGAAGTAGGTGAGTAGGTTAGTGGATTCATTTTCTTTTGCTGCCATCATATAAACTTCATGGCACAACACAACGTGCATTATTTTCTGTAGGTGAGAAGACAGACATGTGTCTCACCAGGCTAAAACCAAGGTCTCAGCAGGGCTACATTCCCTTCTGGAAGCTCTAGGGGAGAATTGTTTTTCTTGCTTATTCAGGTATTGGCAGAATTTAGTTCCTTGTGATTGTAGGACTAAAATATCTGTCAGATGAGGATCATTTTCAGTTCCTAAAGGCCACTTACATTCCTAGTTTTTGGCCCTCTTTTAAATCTTTAAAGCCAGTAACCAGCTGGTCAAGTTCTTCTCAAGCCACACCCCTCTAACAGGCTTCCCTGCTTTCCTTTTCCACTTACAAGGACTCCTGTGATTACAAGGGGCCCACTCTAACAACCAGGATAATCTCCTTATTTTAAAGTCAGTTGAAGAGCAAGTGTAATACCATCTTGAAAGCCTTCTTTGCCATTTAATGTAGCATAATCAGTGCAGCAACGCCAGTGGACAAAGATCACAGTGAGGGGGCAAAATTATTCCAAAACATACTTGAACAATAGTTAATATTGGGTCATCAATAGTTTAGTTCTATTACAAGCAGTTTATATGTTTCTGCAGTTGCATTACAGCTTAATGATTTAAATATTAATTTAAGAGAAGAGAATAACAAAGGGAGAGGTGAGAATGGGAAGGGAAGGAGGCGAGGAAGCAAGGAGGGAAGAAGAGAGGGAGGGAGGGTCGGAGTCAGGAACTGATAAGTGTATTCATGGACATTATCTCATTCAATTTTTATAACTCATTAAGTAGGGTAAACCAAGACTCAGTCTAAAGAATCACAAAATAAATTTGTGATTGATAAGGTTACTGCACTCCCTATGACAGTAAGCAAATCTGTCACACTCAGAAAATGCTGTCTCAGTCCTGAACCTATGTTGTTCTTCTGTAAGACATGAAATAGTCTATGGCCTGTATTAAAAACAATAACATAAGGAGGAAATGCACTTAAAATACAGAAAAAGTTGGGGAAACACCATACAGTGTCAGCACCAAGTCATTTTTTTTCCTACTGCCTTTAATTATATCTTTAAGTTAAAAGAAACTGGTGAAACATTTTATCCACAGAATATTTCAAAGTATTATGTGAAGTAATTCTACTCTATGTTACTTAAAATAAAAGTCAATAGTAATGTCAGCTCTTAGACTGTTTTTCCCGCTTCTCATTTTGGTGGAATTCACGTACCATTTTGAAAATCTTATCAATCCCTCAAAGTGCCCCCTGATGTTTCAAGAAGGCCCATGCCATTGTGAAATTCAAGTAGTACCAGGCTCTAAACACAACTTTTTGCCTCTGACTTCGGTGTCAATTTCATCAAAAATGGAGATAACATCAGAAGTTCCTGTGCTTATGATGAAATTTATGTGTTGTTTTCTGAAAGCTATTTTGAATGAAAGAAAATATGTACAAATTCAAATTATTTGGTAACTTTCAATGAAGTGATACGAAAACAGAGCAAAGGAGATGCTATCTTTGTCCCTTAACACCTTTGTCATAGCATCACTCTGACTCACTCTCCTGCCTTCTCCTTCCATAGCATTCCCACTCTCGGGTCTAGGGACTTAATCCAATCACAGGAATTCTATGTTGACATAGTGATAGGTTCAGCTAATCAAAGCCTAGGTCAATCATCACATGGCATTAACCTATCTACAGGAATTGGTTCAGAAATGACTCAATTAGTAAAAAGTCCAGTTATTTTGCATGATGACTGCAGGAAAGAACATACCTTCTCTTCATTCTTTATCTCTCTATCTCTCTCTCTGTCTGTCACTCTTTCTCTCTTTCTCTTTGTCCTCTCTCTTTCTGGACATGTATGGAAACAAGGAAACAATTAGAAGTAGTAGTTGCTGTTGATAGCCTGCCACTGCTATGAGAAATGTGTGTTGAAACCAACATCCATAAAAAAATAAAGATTAGAAAACCCTTGAAAAATTGAACGATAACCCTGATCAAACCCTGCCTGAGGTCTTGCATTTTTCAATTCTGTGAACCCCAAATTTGCTTTGATGTTTTAGTTTGATTTAGATTGTTTGTTATTTAGAGCTAAATGCACCATAATTAATACAAACACACTTCGGGGATAAACTTGCCCTTGTGGGTCTTATGCTTTAAAGTTCATAGTCTAGACAAAAAGAGAGTATTACTCGTAAAGTGACTGGCCTACAAACACACCCTTATGTAGAAGAAGAATTGGATACAAGTGTTACAATCCATGCTTCCATATGGCACATATAACACCTTTAATATCTTTAAACCACTGTCATTTTTTAAAGTTTCTTTAAACATCTTGGATTGGATAGTACTAAGTAAGGTGATACCTTTCCTCCCTTGGTAAATTATAATTAAACAGATACCTGAAATATTCCCTTTCCCATGGTGTTTTCCCCTAGTGGCACTCCTGTGTCCTTTCCACTGAATGCCTGGAGCGGTCATTAACCTTATAGCTTGCCTGAGCATTTTGAGAATAGGGATCACGTTTTAATTCTTTATGTACCTTTAGCTTTTAGAAAAATGCCTCAAATTCAGTGGACTATCAACAAATGTATTCTAAAGGAATGATTCAAGGAATTAATAAAAAACATACAAATATATAAAAACAATTATTATATAGATTTAGCTGTATGACCCTTGAAAAATAGCCAATAATTCACAATACTCAGTACCCAAAGGCCCACAATAAATACTCATTCTTGGGAATGACTTATTTTATATTATTTTTGATATTATATTTATATAATACATAAATAATATATAATAATATGTAAGTAATATATTATATTTACATTATTATCCAATAAGCTTGCATTCCTTATTTTTAAGAGAAGAACAAAAACCTTTCAAATAATATTCTGATTATTCTTTCTTCACTGGGCTCTGGAATGTCTTCACCTTAGTAGAAATACAAGAATGAGCATTTTCTTTCCATCTTTCTCTGCATTCCCTTTTCCTTTCTTTACCTGAGAAATCTTGAGGAAATGGAAATTATAGTTGTACTATAATCTCGTTTGCTTTGATAATGAATGAGTGCTTTTAAATATAAACACCTGCTGTCTACTTTGTTTTCTAATTGAGAAAGAATTATAAACAGCTGAAGAAAATTTGGAATATCTAATAAAGCGTAAAGAAGGCCAAATTTGCCAATATTTTCAATACCCAGAAATAATCATTGATAATATTTTATTGCATTTATATTCAGTGCTAAAATGAAAGTTATACTGAATACACATTTTCTCATCATGTTTCTCCTATATTGACATTATAGTATAACTATTTTCTATATCATCCAATACTCTTGTGCAACATTAACATTTTTAACGTTTTATTCCAGGTTACTTTATTTCAACATCTGTGCAATAATAATAGTGAGAGCTAATATTTATTATTTGTGATTTCTCTGTGTTCCAGACTTTATCAAATGATTTTACATGGACTTCACTTAATCATTACAGAAAGAATATGAGGTAGGTATTGCCATCCCTATCCTCATATTCTAGATGAGGATGACATGCATAAAGACATTTAAGTACCTGGTCACAGGGATAACAAGTTGCAGAACAACCTTTTCTCTTTAGTATTAAACTCTGTGTTCATCTCAATAGTTTCCTTCATTGTCTTCTTAACTGGGAAATAATTTCACAATGTAGATATTGTATTATTATTTTAATTTTAATTGTTGAATTAATAATAAATTATTAGGCTGATTTCTCATCTCAGGATCTGCCAAATTTGGTGATAGCTTTTTTCTCTGGGATAAATGGCCCTCAGTTTTTGTTTTTTTTATTAATCACAATTATGGCTAAATTTCAAGGTATGCCAAGTGAGAAATTTGTCCAAGATACCACAAGCTCTTTTTTTATTAATTGGGCAACCTGAAAACATAAAATGATATTAACTATGCTGCTTCCAGCCCTTTGTCCCAAGACGGGGATCTTTCTTAGTCTAAGACAGTGACTCCCAGGACTGGAGTTGCTTCATCTGTCATTTGGAAAGGGGTGTTGGTGGCACACTAACAGAAATACATTTATAGCTAGATTTGCTAGCTCATCTTAACGAGAGATCATGCAAAGGCAGAAAGTGTTTGGCCACTTTTTATTTCTTTCCAGAAGAGGGAATGTGAGCAGAGAGAAATCCTATTGGATTTCTTTTCATCTTGCTGAAATTTTCAAAGAGGTACATTTCTCCCTGATCTTTCCTTAGAGCCATATCAAATGGCCAGTAGCACATAGCCAAATGAAATGTGGCTTTGTGTGGAGAATTAATAGCGGCTACTTTTTTTTTCTGGAAGTATTGAAACGTGTCAGTTTAGTACTAGTGTGTTCCTCTGCCTACAAAATCTCTGTTACACTCTGAAGGAAAATGGCAGTTAGATTGGAATTAGGGAAGATGACTTCTCAAATTATAACTAGGCTTTTTTTTTAGTTATGTTATTTGTTAATTTACTTATTTTATTTTGAAATTCATTTATACATATATAATTTACTTTCTATAGAAACTTTGAAGAGTCATCTTTTTTTGTTTACTTACTTAAGATTTCTAACTTATTAGTTATTAACTAACTGTCAACTATCTGTAAACCTCTTCACCTGGCAGCCACTATTTGTGGAAAAAAGAAAAACAAATAAAATTCTTACTAGCTAAAAATTATCTATAACTCCCGAAAGAGTGAAATAAAGAGCACAATTTTTAGATCTCATTCTGTTCTTTGGTTTGAAACTGCTGAGCAATTAATTACTTGCCAGGGCTATTAACACGATGTAAAGTGGATTGTGTGTGTTTTGTCTGATTTTTTTTTTGGCTTCCCATACGTGACTCTGCTATTTGTGAAATTTAAAAAGGGACAGACATAAGAGGAATAAAAAAGGTCTTTATTTTACTAAAGTAATCATTCTGTCAGCAATTACTTAAGCCATGCAGTGACTCTTCCTATGAATGGGCTTTGGCAAATGAATCATAACTGTTGTTTCTTTTTCTTTTCTCAGATCATTCTCCATAACAAATAGCTATTGTTTCTGAAGGCTCATGTTTTAAGCATTGCACTTGGAACTTTCATGTCTCTTTTAATTTAACTGTTACAATAATTTTGCAGAATGAGTATTATTTGCCAGTTTCACAAGTGAGATTATTGAGGTTCAAAAAAGTTAAATAAAAAAAAAATCTTAGCAAAGCCATAGTTTATATTACAATTCTTTCATACTGAAAAGTCAAATGTTTTTCCTCTAAATACACATTGCCACTTACTATATCATAGAATTAGAGTTGTGTCTATATTCTTACACATACCCTAGTTTGCACAGTTTAATATTTCTGATTGATTAGGCCAATAATTTTTGGTTTTATGTTGTTTTGTGTGTCTATTTGTATGCACATGTGTGTGTTTGTGTGTGTTTAATTTGCTAGTGTATTATCTAGTGTTAAATATAGATTTCTACTCAATAAGGCAAATTCATCTCAAGCCATTCATCCATTAGCCCTGGATAAGAGATGACCCTAGAATAAACTGCTTTTCTACCATATCCCTTCCTTTCACTGTTCCCTGGACATAAGATTATTTGGCTTCTCATCCTATTGACCACTTTGCTAAATTGTCTCGTGTTCATATTAATGGCGGTTCAATAAAACTCACCATGCACTACTGGCCTTGAGAAATTAGTCATAATAAGGGCTATAGATCAGATAGACTGTGCTTTAGTGCCATTGAGAAATTACTCAAACAAAATTATCGTGTGATTACCAAAAACCCAGGCAGCTAAAATGTTGTCTGAGAACACAGGCACTGGATGTCTAGTCATGAACAAAAACATCAATAAATTGTATTCTCTTCAGAAGCCAAGAAAGCTGAAGAAACTATCTGAAGGAATTGAGTTTAAGTGTGCTCTTTGAAGCTAATAAGAAATGGTGTTTAGTGTGTGCCAAGGTTAAGATGTTCTTACTCAAGGCTAAACTGGATGTGGTCACAGTTAGCGGAGGCATTTACAATCATTTATGAACATTTCAGATCTTTGCAGTGACACATGGCGAACTATTATTGGAGACACCAAAAAGTAGTAAGTGGGAAAACATGAGTAATCCAAACAGGCTAGAAAAATTTAACTTTTTTGTTTTTATTATTGCTTATGAATTTGTAAAATTACTAAAGCAGTCATGTGCTAGTTTACCTACTTTCATTTGTATATTTCTAAGTTTCTAGGTGAACATTACATATTGTAAAAATATTTTGAAGATTTCTTTTTCTTGGTTTCACTAAGGCAGAGGCAAAAAATTAGAAAAGGGAAACATTTGAGCATTATTTTAAGAAAACTTATAATATAATGTAAAGAAAAAAAGGCTTAGGTCTAGAGAAGGCAAATGACTTCCCCGAGGCCACAGCTGGTGAAAATCCAGGCCCTCCACTACTGACACCCTATCTCCATAGCCATCTTGTGTCCAATAAATTAATGAGAATATTGAAGTATACCAGAAGTTGAGTTCTAAAAACATTACAGAAGTCTTTTGTTAATATGAGATTTAGTGCATGCAATAAAGATACCAACCATAGTTCATAATATTTCAAACATTCAACAGACAACATCAAAGTTATTCAGTAAAATACACTGAAGAGGTCACTGAAGGATGTAAAAAGAAAAATGACACAGTTTCTCCTCAAAAGCAAAGGAGGTAGAGATGTACAAAAATAACATAACTAATTGAAGCTTTTATAATGACAACAAAATTATAAGCAGGTTTGTGTGTGTGAGTGTCTGCATCAGTTTACATATTTTCACAAATATTATATTTGATTCTTACTATTGTCCTTCAATAGTGTAGTATTATCTATATTTTGTTTGCCTACTGACTGTAAATCCTGTGGTTTTTCTGTTCTATTTTATATATCAACATAACATATTGACATAATATATCTATATCATTATATATGTTAATATATATATCAATATAGATACCACCTGATCTCTGAGTGAATCTACAGATTACCATATATACGGTAGATTACCAATGGTAATATACAAGTTGCTAGTAGATTAAATGAAGAAATATATATGTGAAATATGAAAATATAAACATGTTTATATATTAAAACATATAAATATATGTTTACATAAACATCTTAATAAAACATGTGTTTAATTATATATTAAAAATATATGTTTAATTATATATTAAAATAATGTTTATATATTGAACATATATGTTTATATATATTCATAAAAATATATATAATATGTATGTTTATATATTATATATTATATATATTTCACATTTTTAAAATTTAATCTGCCAGTAAGTACTTACCTAGTAAGGACCCTATTATTATTCTCACTTACTTAGTAGATAAAGAGTGTATGTATTTTGTTTCAGTTTTCATTGCTAACACGTTAGATTATAGAGAGTAAAACCCAGAATTTCAGATATCAAATCATTCAGCATCCCTTTGGCATTATGCTATTGGACATGGGCAGAAAATGAAAAAAGTATCTTAGAAAATTCATTAGGAAATCTTAAAAACATAGTCTTAAAATAGTTATTACACTGTATTTAAATTATTTGCTTTTATATCTTTGTCTCATTGTATTTGTATGTGAAACTCCTTAAGGGAAAGGTCTGTGTCTTGCCTTGTTTCCAATTATTTGTAATCACTACTAAAATTACATAAGAGCAAATGATTAATATATTTTAGATAGGAGTTTGAGTAGTTCTTGGAATTTAATAAGCATAAAAAATATTTCCTGGATAGAATAGTTACTTAATTAATAAGTAAAGCCTTATCAATATTGGAACAAACCCATGCCATGTTTCTCTGGTTGTTATGCGATGAGAAGGACACAACATTGCTTCTATAATATCCCTGCCAAAATAGCATAACATAACTCCAATTACAAGAAAACATCAGGCAAATCCAAATTAGGGACAGGCTATAAAATAAATGGCTTTTCATTTCAAAATGCCAAGGCCCAAAAAGAAATAAAAGCTGAGTAACTGATCCAGATTAAAGGAGACTAAAATAGATATGACAACTAAATACAGTGCATTTTCCTCAGTTTGATCCCAGACCTGCTAAACATAGCTATAAAGCATTATTAGGATAATTTTTAACATTTAAATATAAACTATGGATTAGCAAAGCACTGAATCAATACCAAATTTCCTGATTGTGTTAACTGAACTGTGTGGTTTTGTAAGAGAATGCCCTTGTTCTTAGGGACTTCACATAGAATTATTTATGCTTAAAGGAGCATGGTGTTTCTAGCTTACTCAAAGTTCAGGTCCCTGAAACGGTTCAGGGAAAAAACAAAAACTGTATGTGTGCATATGTATATGTATAACATTTGGTAAATCAGGGTAAAAAGCATCCTGTTGTTCCTTTTACTATTTTACTACTCTTATGATTTGTAAGTTTGAAATTATATCAAATTAAAAGGTATCTTTCCAAATTATCTGCATTTCTAAAGTGTGACTATTTCCTCACACAATGCCCTTCAAGTGAATAGAAAAGAGGCTTCTAATCAATGCTGTCTTCCTGTTAAATACTTCTGGATGATGCTCAGATAGCATCTTAATCTACCCAAATGTTCCCTAATTTCTCCATTCCATTTTTTTTTTACCATATTCCCCTAAAATCTTGGAGATTAGCTAGTCAACTAATAACTAATAAATTGTTTTTAATTCCATTTGATTAAAACATGAAATGATTAAATTATGACTATAGAAAAGGTAAGTTTGACATTGTTTTTTTCTAATCAATTATCAACATCAACCACATTCCTGATTTTTAAATCACAATACAGTACTATAAATATGTTTTTTCTTTCTTATAAGTTTCATAATAAAATTTTATTTTCTCTAGCTTATCTTATATGAATACAGGGCCAGGTGTGGTGGTTCACGCCTGTAATCTCAGCACTTTGGGAGGCTGAGGTGGGTGGATTACGAGGTCAAGAGATTGCGACCATTCTGGCCAACATGGTGAAACCCCTACTCTACTAAAAATACAAAAATTAGCTGGAAATGGTGGCAAGTGCCTGTAGTCCCAGCTACTCGGGAGGCTGAGGCAGGAGAATCACTTGAACCCTGGAGGCAGAGGTTGCAGTGAGCCAAGATCGCGCCACTGCACTCCAGCCTGGCAACAGAGCAAGACTCCATCTCAAACAAAACAAAACAAAACACGAGAATACAGTATACGTAACTTGAAAAACATGTATTAATCAACTGTTTATTTATTAGAAAGGCTTCCAGTCAACAGTAGTCAAAAGTTATACACAGATTTTCAACTGTGGGGGAGTCATCTCCCTAACCCTTGTGTTGTTCAAGGACCAATTGTACTATGTTTTATTCACCCTTGAGTGCATTCATTAAGCAAGTATGATTGTGTATACACTCTTCTAAGAACTGAGAATACAATGAGGTCAACAAGAGAGTTTCAGCCCTTAAAAATATAACAAAATGGATGTAAGTACAATAAAGTGAATAGGAAATTAGAATATATGACATAAAATGAATGCTACAGCCCGGCACAGTGGCTCACGCCTATAATCCCAGCACTTTGGGAGGCCGAGGCGGGCAGATCACGAGGTCAGGAGATCGAGACCATCCTGGCTAACACGGTGAAATCCTGTCTGTACTAAAAATACAAAAAATTAGCCGGGCGTGGTTGTGGGCGCCTGTAGTCCCAGCTACTTGGGAGGCTGAGGCAGGAGAATGGCGTGAATCTGGGAGGCGGAACTTGCAGTGAGCGGAGATCGCGTCACTGCACTCCAGCCTGGGTGACAGAGCGAGACTCCATATCAAAAAAAAAAAAAAAAAAAAAAAATGCTACATTTAGAGGAATGCTATAAAGTAGCCCTTGAGAGCAACAACAAACCAAGCACTAAGAGGTAAGTTTAAAAAGCTGATACACAAAAATTAATAGGAGTTATGAAATTTTCTAGAAGGGAAAAAATATTTTAAGCTGAGAAAGAATTATGTGAAAAGCCAGTAGGTTACAAAAGAGCTTGGACAAGTCCTGAGCTCATCAGTAAATCTGGGGAAGGCATGAAGGATGAAAATATTCGCAGAAGTGAAATTACATGGACCATGTGTGCTAGATTGAGGAGCTTGGATCTGAGGGCAATGAAGAGACACTAGGAGTTTTACGGAGCAGAAAAGTAGAGTTAGATTTGTCTTTTGGAAAACTTCACTGAATATCAACCATTCTCCACATTTGTTTTGAAAGACATATTTTAAATACATGTCTATAATTTCTTACTCAAAACCCTTGGAACTAGATATAATTTAGAATTCAGAATATGTTGGACTTCTAGAAAACTATTAAGGTAAGTGCACTGAATATTGTATAACACCACCAGAGGGGTCAGTAGCAATAACCCACAACCAAATACATGAAATTATCTTCAACAGATTGTATAAATTTTCACCTTAAACAGGACTTATCAGTTCAGATCAGATTTTTAAGTAAATGAATTAAGATGAAATGTTTGGTTGTCAGAATATTTTGATTTCAGAATTGCAAATGAGGGGCTGTGGGTGTATATGAGAAATATCAGAGGCACCCATGAAGGCAGTATTAGTGTGAAAACCAAAGCAAACAATTTGGTAACAATTAATGGTGGTAGCATTGCAGTGGTATAACAATGATTTATGGTGTGGAGTAAAGCATCCACAGAGTAAATTGAATATTGGCTGCCCTTCATCTTTGTGTCACTGTTGAGTAGACTTTGCTCTCCTACTCCACAAAGGCAAATTGTTTACATATTTTAGTACACACTAGATTGCTCTCTGGTGTAAATTCTACATTATATTATGACTTGGAACAAGTTGTACCCTGCAGTTTTTTGTGACCTATCCTGCTCAGTATCCTGTCAAACTATTTAACAGTGTATTTATAAAGCTCTGGTTAAAATTCACATCTTCATTAGAATCTGGTGACATTCTTATGGACAGTTTGAATTATACCCTATGCTATAGCATAACAGTTGAGAGTCACTGGGATAGCAAATGGATCATTGGAAGGGGCAAGATTTCATTCAGGAAAGTCAGTTAGGAACAATTACAAAGTAATCTCATTAACAGATGATACTACTCTTAACTGGGGAAATTGCAGCAATATTCTTTGACCTTGAAATACAGATATTCTGCCCCACTATAGCATAAGGCAGAAAAAAAGATGAACTATTATTGATTTGGGGAAAGAAAGAGTACTCATTTATGATTGGAGATATTTTGGAATGTACCTTGCAGGAAGCGAACTTTGTCCTGAATCTTGAAATAAAAATAGTCCATGGATGGAAAGGATGATGTAGATAGTTAAGTCTAAGGGAGAGATAACAAAAGCATCAAGTTATACCTAGAAAGAATTTGCATAAGGTGGGGATAAAACTATCATGGACATTAAAAGTCCTGTTAAGAAATTTTATTTTTTTATTTTTATTTTTTTTGAGACAGAGTTTCGCTCTTGTTGCCCAGGCTGGAGTGCAGTGGCACAATTTCGGCTCGCGGCAACCTCCGCCTCCCGGGTTCAAGCCATTCTCCTGCCTCAACTTCCCAGGTAGCTGGGATTATAGGCGCATGAGCCACCACGACCGACTAATTTTGTATTTTTAGTAGAGACGGGGTTTCACCATGTTGGTCTGGCTGGTCTCAACCTCCCGACCTTGGCCTCCCAAAGTGCTGGGATTCCAGGCGTGAGCCACCATGCCCGGCCAAGAAATTTTATTTTATTCTGCGGATAATAGAGGCCGTCTGGGTGCAGTATGAAGGATGATCAAAATCAAGGAGATATATCTCAACAACTCATATTCAGCATATGAGAAAAATAAAAATTAAATATGTTGTTAAAATAGCCTCAAAAATACTGGTTCTCTACAAGATTGATTTTATATAGAACTGTCTGTTTACTGTGAAAGATTCAGAATCAAAATGAAGTCACTGATGTTATGAAAACCTTGGCAGATAGAGCCAGGGACGGCCATGAAGGGAGAGTTCTCATGCTTCTATACCTGATAACAAAAATTATCACAAAAGACTGCAAAAACCACAACTTTGTGTAAAGGCCATCACAAGTTTATTTAAAAAAATACTTCTGCAAGGACATATGCCCATCTAATCTCGGACTGGTGGTACCCTTGTTATTGATCTTTGTAGCGAAGTATAATTATTTCAAAACAATTATGTAAACCTCCTCATTGTTTTCTTTAAAAACTTTTGTCCTCCTTTTCATCCCTAAAAACACGCATAGTTTACAATGGCATGAATATTCTCATTGCAATGTTCTATTCCCAAATAAACGTCTTTTCTTTTAGAGAATGTCCCTCTATTTGTTAAGTTGACTCTATCTATCTATCTATCTATCTATCTATCTATCTATCTATCTACCTAGTGCTTATGTGAATGTTTATGTAGGTATGTTTGTATATGTATTCTGTAACCTCATTTTCTGGAATTTAAGAATTCAATTCAAAAGCACTTCATGCATAGCAATTCAACCATAAACCCTTTAGCATGACTACCCTTCCAGCAATGGAAATTTAGTCATGTTTTCCTGAAATAAAAGCAGTGAGGTGACATGTTCCTTGCTTGGCTCATGGGGTGAGAAGGTCTCTCTTGAGGCTGTCTGTTACATTGCCATGCCTTCTTACTAATGAATGCTTCCCCTACTTGTACACTTCTTTAGGCAAAACAATTTTCTTTCAAGGTGCTTTATAATGTCATTAGATTTTCCATTTGTGTTCAAATGTACCACATTCATGAGGAGGAGTTGCTAGCAGTGGGTTTCTCTGAAATGAGGGACCAAGAAGGCTGCTTTCTACAGAACATTTGACTTCTTGCTCCTTATACCTCTGTTTCTTAAATGCAAGCATTCTAGTTGTTTGCTATTTTGTCTCACCCAACTTTATTTTATGGATATGAAGATAAGTAGAATATTGGGGTAAGCACACTTTAACCATGGATGTCAGGGACACTATGACATTATGATGTTAGAAAAAAGATGAGCAGGTCTGAACACTGGTCACTGACATCAACATTTTGATATGACAATAATATCTTATTTCTTTTATCTTTTTAAGAGTAGTATTTACCAGGCTCTAAAAGACACACATATTTGGTTCATGAAGAATAACTGTGAGGTCATTTTGTAAGTCAAGAACACGTATCATCTATGATGGCTGCAGTCTACCCCAAACTGGGGCTATAAGAGTGTGCTTTAGAACAAAGTTCTGAATACTGCAAGAATCCTGGCATATATGACCTGTTTCTCTTAGATTGATACAGCTGATCCTCCAGTAACATCCTTTCATTGAAAGCCTTTTGTATTATAACACTGATGAGGATGTGAACCCCAAAAACCTGAGACAGGTCTCAGTTTATTTAGTAAGTTTATTTTGCCGAGGTTGAAGATGGGCCCATGACACAGACTCAGAAGATCCTGATGACACGTGTCCAAGGTGGTCAGGGCACAGTTTGGTTTTATACATTTTTGGGAGACATGAGACATCAATCAACAAATGTAAGATGAACATTGGTTCCATTTGGAAAGGTGGGGCAATGTGGAAGCAGGGAGGGGTCTTCCAGGTCATATGCAGATAAGAGACAAATGGTTGCATTCTTTTGAGTTTCTGATTAGCCTCTCCAAAGGAGGTAATCAGATATGCATTTATCTCAGTGAGCAGAGGGGTAACTTTGAATAAATGGGAGGCAGGTTTGCCCTAAGCAGTTCCCAGCTTGAGTTTTCTCTTTAGCTTAGTGATTTGGGGGTCCCGAGATACTTTACTTTCAAAACAAAAAAAAAAAATCAATTCCCAGCCAGGACCACTGTTCATGTGGAGTTTTCACATTCTCCCCATGTCTGTTTTCTCCAAGTACTCCAATTTCCTCCCACATCCCAAAGACATGGAGGTAGGTGAATCTGCATGTCTACATGGTTCGAGCCTGAGTGTGTGTATTGTATGTGTGAGTGTGCCCGATGGGATGGTGTCCTGTCTGGGTTGGTTCCAGCCTTGGCCCTGAGCTGCCAGGATATGCTCTGGCCATTCGTTATCCTGAACTGAAATAACTGGGTAAATAATTACCTTACTTGTTTGTATTGATCTTTCATAAATGTGTGTATAGCTCACACTTATTTAAATATTTAAAATTGGTAGATTTGGGGGCCTTTGTTTAGAAGTTTGGTGATGTTTTGTGACCAGAAATACGCTATAGGAACTTACATCTTGTTTATATCAATTAGTGTATGGTAAAATTGGTTTCATTATATGTTGTTTCACTTAAAGTCACGGTTTCCAAGAACTTATGGAGGATGTTGAGTGAGGGCTTACCATATTTTATTTGTTTAGTTACTCTTTGTGAACTGACAGGCAAATACAATTTAATTTAATTCTCTAACCTCAACCCTGTGAATGCCAACACTCACATATATTCTGACTCTTAAAATGTTTCAGCCTTGCTCCTTCTCAGAGAATTGTTGCAGTAAGGTTAGGACTTAGAGTTTCTCAATATTGCTTTGGCCAATGGGGTATTTTGTATCTTTATACAAATTTGGAGATATTTTTTCTATTTATGTGAAAAATACCATTGGAAATTTGATAGGGATTATCAACCTCTAGAATTCCTAAAATTGGTTAAAAAAAATATATATACACACACACACACACACATATACACACACACATATACATATATGTATATACACATATATGTGTCATATATGTATATACACATATATGTGTCATATATGTATGTACACGTATATGTGTCATATATGTATGTACACGTATATGTGTCATATATGTATGTACACGTATATGTGTCATATATGTATGTACACGTATATGTGTCATATATGTATATACACGTATATGTCATATATGTATATACACGTATCTGTCATATATGTATATACACGTATATGTGTAGACATATATACAATATACATATATGCATATACGTACATATATACGTATATACATATATACATGTATATACGTATATATATATGTATATATAGATGATGCCATTGCTAAGAAGTTGACAGGTTCTAGGTTAACCTGAAAATGTATTATAGATATATTTGCCACAAATACATGAAATTAATCTCCATCTGCATAAATTTATACTAGTTAGGTAAAGCTGATTAGCCATGCAGTAAAATACATACTCCGCTAAATCCAAGACCAAAACCAAATACCATCACAAAATGAAATTTGGGGATGAAAAAATGAATCTACAGTACGGCAAAATTAATTCTTACCATTTCATTTGTTAAAATAGCTTTATAAGTCATGTTTTTAAAAGTGCAGGAAAAATAATACCTCTGTGAAGAATTCGAAAACTTCTTAGCTCAAAAAACATACAATGATATTGAGCACATTGTTATATGGCCATTTGTATGTTTTATTTCTTTATTTTAATTTGAATTATTTTATTTTAAGTTCTGGGATACATGTGCAGGATGTGCAGGTTACATAGGCAAATGTGTATCATGGTGGTTTGCCGCGCCTATCAACCCATTACCTAGGTATTAAGCCCAGCATACATCAGCTATTCTTCTGGATGTTCTCCCTCCCCATACACCACCCCTGCCCGCCGACAGGTCCCAGTGTGTGTTGTTCCCTGCTCCCTGTGTCCATGTGTTCTCATTGTTCAGCTTCTACTTCTAAGTGAAAACTTGTGGTGTTTGGTTTTCTATTCCTGCCTTAGTTTACTGAGGATAATGGCTTCCAGCTCCAAAGGACATGATCTTGTTACATTTTGTGAATTCATAGTAAATGTCTTTTCAAGTCCTTTGCTCATTTTAAACTTTTCTTTCTTTCTTCTTTCTTTCTTTTCTTTCTTCTCTTTCTTTCTTTACTTTTTTTTTTTTTTTTTTTTTTTTGCTATTGCTTTGTTTAAGCTCCTTATATATTTTGGATGTTAAACCCTCATCAGATGGGTAGTTTACAAGTATTTTCTCCCATTCTGTAGGCTTTCATTTCACTTTGTTAATTGCGATTGTTTCTATTGCCTTTGCGGAAGCTTTTTAGTTTGATATAATTTGATGTGTTTATTTTTGCTTTGTTGCCTGTGCTTTTGGGGTCATAGTCAAAAGATCATTGCCCAGGCCAATGTCATAAAGTTTTTCCCCAATTTTTTCTTCTAGAAGCTTATCTTTACAGTTTCAGATTTTACATTTAAGTCTCTGAAACCACTTTGAGTTGAGCTTTGTGTATAGTGTAAGGTAACAGTCCAATTTCATTCTTTTGCATGGAAATAACCAGTTTTCCCAATACCATTTCTTAAGTGACTATCTTTTCCTCATTGTGTATTCTTGGTGTCCTTATCAAAGACTAGTTGACTGTAAATGCAGGGGTTGATTTCTGAGATCTCTATTCTGTTCCATTCATCTATGTGTCTGTTTTTATGCCCATACTGCACTGTTTTGGTTACTACAGCTTTGTAATATAACTTGAAATCAGATCGTGTGATGCTCCCAGTTTTTTTTATGTATTTGTTTCTCCATATTGCTTTGGCTCTTTGGGGTCTTTTGTAGCCTTATGCAAATTTTAGGATTTTTTTTATATTTCAGTGAATAATACAACTGGAATTTTTATAGGAATTGTGTTGAATCTGTAGGTCACTTTGGGTAGTATGGACATTTAAACAATATTATATCTTCCAATTCATAAAACAGAATGTTTTACCGTTTATTTGTATTTTTTTCATCAGTGTTTTGTCGTTTTCTGTGTACAATCTTTTCATCTCCTTGGTTAAGTTTATTTCTAGTAGTTTATTCTTTTGATGCTATTTTAAATGGGATTGTTTTCTCAATTTCTTTTTTAGTTCTTTGTTAGTGTACAGAAATGCAACTTCACTGAATTACTGGTTCTAACAGTTTTTTGGTGAAGTCTGTAGGGTTTTCTTACATAAGATTAGGTCATCTGTAAACAGAGATAATATAACTTTTTCCATTCTGATTTGGAAGCCCTTTCTTTTTTTTCTGTCTGATTGCTCTGTTTTGGACCTCTAGTGCTATGTTGAAAAAAAAATGGCAATAGTCAGTACGCTTGCCTTGTTCTTGATCTTGAAGGCTTTCAGCTTTTCAGCATTGAGTATAATGTTAGCTGTAGGCTTGTTTCACATGGCTTTTATTATGTTGAGGTACATTCCTTGTAAACTTATTGAGATTATATTATGAAAGAATGTTGAATTTTGTCAAATACTTTATCTGCATCTATTGACAGGATCATATATTTTTATTTTTCACTTTGTTGATGTGGTGTATTAACAGATGTATTAATTTAAAAATGTTGAACCAGGGATAAATTCCACTTGTTTATGATGTATGACCCTTTTAATGTGCTGTTGAATTTTGTTTTCTAGTATTACGATAAGAATTTTTGCATCTATGTTTACCAAGGTTATTGTCCTGTAATTTTTTTTCTAGAATGTCTTTACCTTGCTTTGGTATGAGAGAAATGCTTACCTCGTATAATATATTTGAAAATGTTCCCTCCTCTTCAATTTTTTGAAAGAGTTTGAAAAGGATTGGCATTAATTCCTCTTTAAATGCTTGGCAGAATTTACTGGTGAAGCCGTCTGGTACTCAGCATTTTTTGTGTTTGGTTGGGAAATTTTTGATTACTTCTTCAGTCTCCTTACTCATTATTGGTCTGTTCAGATTATCTATTTCTTTCTTTTTCTTTTTTTTTTTTTTTTTGAGACAGAGTTTTGCTCTTGTCACCCAGGCTGTTGTGCAATGGTGCGATCTTGGCTCACTACAACCTCTGCCTCCTGGGTTCAAGCAATCCTCCTGCCTCAGCCTCCCAAGTAGCTGTGATTACAGGCACACACCACCACACCTGGCTAATTTTTGAATTTTTAGTAGAGACAGGGTTTCACCATTTTGGCTAGGCTGGTCTCAAACTCCCGATCTCAGGTGATTCGCCTGCCTCGGCCTCCCAAAGTTCTGGGATTACAGGCATGAGCCACCACGCCCGGCCTTAGATTATCTATTTCTTAATGAGTCAGTCTTGGTATACCACATGTCCAAAAATTTATCCACTTCTTCTAGGTTATACAATTTATTGACATATAATTTTTGTAGTAGTTTTTGTGACCCTTTCTATCTGTGATGTCAGTTGTCATGTTTCTTCTTTCATTTATAATTTTACTTATTTGTGTTATCTCTTTTCTTTTTCTTTTTTTTTTTTTGACGGAGTCTCTCTCTGTCACCCAGGCTGGAGTGCAGTGGTGCGATCTTGGCTCACGGCAACCTCTGCCTCCCGGGTTCAAGCAATTCTCTACCTCAGGCTCCCAGGTAGCTGAGATTACAGGCACCTGCCACCACGCCTGGCTAAATTTTTTGTATTTTTAGTAGAGATGGGGTTTCACCACCTTGGCTGGACTGGTCTTGAACTCCTGACCTCGTGATCCACCCCCCTCAACCTCCCAAAGTGCTGGGATTACAGGCCTGAGCCACTGCACCCAGTCTCTATTCCCTTTCTAGTCTATATTTCCTTTATTTCTGCCCAAATCTACAATGTGATATCACCTCAAACCTGTTAAGATGACTATTCTAAAACTGACAAAATATATAACAACTATTGGCAAGGGGGTGGGAAAGAGAATCCTTGTACACTGTTAGGGTAAATGTAACTAGGTACAGCTGTTACAGAAAAAAAATGGAGGCTTTTCAAAAAATTAAAAGTGGAAATACCATATGATCCAGAAATCCCACTTCTGGGTATATATTCCAAAGAACATGTAGTCAGTATCTCAAACAGATATCTGCACCCTATGTTTATTGCAGCATAATCTATACTAGTTAAAATATGGAAACAATATTAGTGTCTATTAATGGATAAATCAATATAGAAAATGTAATATATACACATATATACATATGTATAAACACACATATATACATATACACACAAACACACAATGTGTGGTGATGGATTTGTTAACTAATTTGATTGTGGTAATCATTTCACAGTGTTTATCAATGGATGAATCAATACAAAAGATGAAACATATACGCATATATACACACACACATATACCCACACACACAAACACACAATGTGTGGTGATGGATGTATTAATTAATTTGATTCTGCTATTCAATTCATAATGTATATGTATGGCAAATCATCAAATTATACATTTGATATATGTAATTTTTAACAATTATACCACAATATAGTTGAACAAAACGTACAATATTCTCGTTTCTTAATATTCCACATTTTTTTGAAACTTATAAAATCCAAGCATCTCCATGTTAAGGATAAAAATTATTTACACAATGACTATCAATCATTGTTCGGTCAATGACTGTTCTGTTTTTAAAAAATATTTGAAAGACTTCACAATCAACAGTAACTATTGAAGTATTTTATTATTGCAGTGTTACACATATATTTAAAATTCCAGTTATGTACACTATTTCAACCTATTAATTTTATGAAGATAGTTTCACTCCAAGTGGCATGTAGAATGCTTATCTATATTTGAAAGTGGATATTCTAGTATTAGCACTAAATCTAATGACCTTCGTGTTTTTATTACTGAAGGAGTTACATGATTAAGTATGATGATAACTTATCTAATTTTATTATTATTCAATACTCACTAGTCCATAGAGATCAGAAGTAATGTTGAAAAAGGCAGTAGACTATAGAGACTTCAAATGGCTAAGGCCAAAAACAAGACCCAAAAAAAGACTTTAGCCAAATATCAAGAACAATGCCAAAATTTAGAGCATCCCCAGCTAAGTCACCTGATAGAATAAAAGAATTATTACAATTTTTTTCAATAACAATCTTTCTTTTTCAATCAAAATGACTCAAGGCTTTATATGTGTGTGTGATGAGTTGTAGAAAGATACAGATCTGTCTGTAATTTGTATGTATCTGTGTGTATGTATGTTTATGTATATATGTGTTCTATATTTATTCCTTGAGAAAAAAAATGAAGCATTTAATTTTTGGTGCTTCTTTTTTCTGATATTAACTGTGGTTTAGCTCTTAAACATCACATCTCAACTTCTTCTAACAATGGGATCATGCTTTTATGGTATTTTGAAAGTGCGTATCTCATTCATATGCATGAAAGACTATTTTCATGATTAAACATTGATTTTGCCACCATCATCACCACCCCGTAGGAAGAATCTTTTAAGCCAATGATATATCTGTTGATACAATTCACAACAAAAAAATTTATATCGAGATAGTCTTTACAGTTTTTCTGTGTAAAGCACAGCCCCTGGCTTTGCCAGCATGACCAGCCCGTGATCCTTCCGTAATGAATATTATGTTGATAACCACATACATTCATTCTAAAACTGTTTAGGTAAAGCTCTTAGAAGTAAAACACTCATTCCTAATACCTTAAGAAACAAAAGAGTTTGTGCAAATGGACTTTATCCCAAGTGAGCAAACCTCCTGCTGATGTTGTGTGGATGGAGTGGGAGGGGGTGGTGTTTTCCTAGGATGTTCTTCCAAGCTGCTTAAAAATGAAAGTGCATTAAGTAATTTGTCTGCTTTTACAGAGTTAATATTTTATGTCTGAGGAAGTCAAATCTGTCTGAAAGTTTTGCAAGCAATGGAACCCAAAGTGAATTGAAAAAAATTAGTTTGAAACCAATGAAACTGGGTCACTGTCTTCCCATTTTCCTTGGAAGCAGTTAAGATTCTAAGATCCCCATGCTCCAGAGGAGATGCTGAACATAGTGAGAGTGTCCAGTAATTGCTGTGTTTCTTTTTCTACAGCCTCTCATCTCACTGGTATTCCACTTCATTCCAGGTTTCTAATGCCTGACTTCAGCAAGTATATTTCTGTCATTGGTATTGATCGATACTACTTTTCGAAATACATTATGTTAACTAGTTTCTTGGCATCTAACACGTCATTTTAGTTACAATGTTGACAGGGTCAAAGCAGGTGTCACTAAAAAGAGAAGAGAATGAAAATAGTTCTGAGCCATCATGTTTGTTTTCTTCTTCTGGTTTCTTCTTCTAAACAGAATCGGGATTGTTTTATTTCCAAAAATAGTCTGTACAAAACAAAATGAAGTGTACACGTTTATATTACAGAAGGCCATGACTGTCACTAACTTTAGTGATTTGAAGAAATGTGGTTCTGCTAATGAAATATTTAACAGCCTCAGCCACTCTTCCCTCCCAGTACCACTCTCAGTGGTTCTGCTGCTATTGGGCTTTTCCAGCTCCATGAGTGCGTACCAAAGGAAACGGAAGGAAGTCAAAGTCTGAATTTGCAGTGAGGAGCTAGGAGCATGCTCATACACCTCCCATCCCCTGAGGTAGGATGCTGAGGGAAACAGAGAATGAACACACATGTCTGATGGGATTTCATATAGGAAAGATAATAAGCAGAGCAGAGGCAAGTGAAATCCTATTCTTGAGATGGAGCTTTGCAGTGATGCATGCTGATGCTAGTCTGCAGGTGACCATCCCAGGAGATAGATGGAAGGCTCCAGCATGCTTCATTTATAGTATCTCTGGGCCAATTATTTTTCTGGGTCAAGAATTGGTAAGTACAGTTGACTCTTGAACAACAAGGTTTTGAACTGCCAACACCACTCATACTAGGATTTTTTTAAAAATAAGATATTATAGTTAGCCCTCCCTGAGGGCAGGTTCTGCATCTACAACCAAATACGGATAGAAAATACTGTATTGGCAGGATGTGAAACCCCGCAAATACCAGGGCTGACTTTTCATATCCACAGTTCTGCACTGCAGACCTTGGGACTTGGATACACCCAGATTTTGGTTACCACAGGGATTCTGGAACCAGTCTCCCCCAGTAGCTATGGACATTATTATTATAGGATTGTAAGATATTAGAATTATTTTATATTGGGGGATGTCAATTTTATAATGAGTAATACCAATTAAATTACATCATTTCCTGGCTCGTTCTGAATTCTATACCAAGCTTAGCATCTACTCTGTCTCTTTCTACTTCATGGGGATTTTACCCAGATTAATCAAAATTGTATTTTAATCCTGAATTATTTAAATTTGAGAACTTTTTAAAAATTGGTGACACTACCAGTACGTGTTGATGCAAGGACTTAAATTAAAGAAGAATTCTTTTTAAAGGTCCCCCCGACCATGGGGAGTAAATGCTAACTCCCTGAAATATAAAGACGGACTGAATTAAATAATAAATCTGCATTTCATGTTACTTGAGAGGTACCTGTGAACATAATTTTGCAGAAAGTCAAAGTATTTCTGGGATAATATATTGATAACACAAGACGTTATTCTTAACCTATGCTGTAATCCTGAATATTTAAGGGGACAAATTTTTATATATTGTTTGCCATTAAGTTTTGAGGTATATTAGTTAATTTTACAAGGTAAGACATGTAGTACTTCACATATATTGCCAGAAAAACTGGGCCTCTAGACACTGGAAATCGAATAAAAGACATTTTCTTTTACTATTTCTTATTGGTGCATGTTTACATTTCTATTAAATAAAGATCAAGGAAGTATTTTGTTTTCAATGTCAGGAGTTTGAGGCCAGCTTGACCAACATGGAGAAACCCATTTCTACTAAAAATACAAAATTAGCTGGGTGTGGTGGCACATGCCTGTAATCCCAGCTACTCGGGAGGCTGAGGCAGGAGAATCGCTTGAATCCAGGAGGCAGAGGTTGTGGTGAGCTGAGATTACGCCATTGCACTCCAGCCTGGGCAACAAGAGCGAAACTCCGTCCCCCCCAAAAAAAAAAAATTCATCAGATCACATGAAAATCTTATATGTTTATGATAAAAACCAGTGATGAATTTTAAGGGAAATAAATAGGTCTTCAATGCCCCTTAGTTCCCTAAATACAGTACAGTTTATAAATAGTATATAATTAGGGGGCATCCATTCAAAAAGTGTACCAGGCACACTAAAATTCATCATGTCTACATACTATTTTCAAGATTTTAAGGATCATTTATTTCAATATTCATTGGATGCAAAAATATATCAAAATAAAAATGTACATTTCAATATATTTTGAGTAGAGATGAATATCATGATTTTTTTTCACTAGTAATATGAAAGTAAGCAAGTGAGCACATATTACTTTTTGTTCTGCTATAATTCATTTGAAGGAATAAAATAGGTATAAAATAATAAAATAATTTCTAGTCATACAGTACAGTAACAGCTTTATTATCAACATAAATTCTTTTATGCTGAAGTCTACATTATTTGAAAAGAAAGTATCTGGTTAGAAATATACATGTGAAATTCTTAGTGGGTTAATATGCTGTTGAAATGAGAATGAATATAAAAATTAAAAAGTTGAAATTGTCAGTCCAATCTCGTTGCATTCATATGGTACTGCTAAATGTATTACTCCATAGTATCAAGTCAATTGTGCTATTTTGAGATAGCAATTATATTTGGCAGGCAAAATAACATAAATTATTAGCATGCATGGGTTTAATATGGCCTTATCAACCTTTACTCATTGGGCCCTAAATTTGAAACATAATGTTTGCACAATTTATACATGTAAATATTTGTTTTATCATTTACTATAATTAGGGAAAAATGAAACTAGAAACTTCAAAACTTTATGTTCCAGGCAGGACATAAAGCCGTGTTTTCTTATAATAAATCTTAACATTTAATTTATATGTATTAGACCTAGCATTATAAAAAGCATAATTAACAAGATTAACCATAAAATTTTGCATCCATGTTGCTGCTATAACTCATTAGTTGTTATTATTATAAGTCTGAATTCTAGAAAAAGTGTGACTCCACTACACATACATGTACTCTCTATTTAAATTATTTGTGGTTTCAAATGGAAACATCTTTTGGTAGAAATTCAAAAAGAGTTACTTTCAACTCCTATATATTGAAACATATTGACGATCTGAAAAATAAATGACCTACTTTCATCAATGAAATACGTAGTTTTATCCATTAGTACCCAATAATCAATGTATTATGACAGCTTACAGCAATGTGGTCAGCATTTTAAAATTCAAAAAGAAAATACAATTAGTTTACCACTGCCAAAACAAAATTTGTTAAGAATTTCTCCATCTATCTACTCACCCACCACCATTTACCCAAATAGGACTCTTGTATTTTGAAAACAGTTAGCAGTATAAATCCAATAAGGTTAAACTGATAATTTTAACCTTTATATTTTTATATGCATTCTCATTTCAACAGCATATTATCCCACTAAGAATACTGCATGTAATTTCTAACCAGACACTTCTGTTTCAAATAATGTAGATTTAGACATCAAAAAATATTTATGTTGATAATAAAGTTGTTATTGTACTGTATGACTAGACACTATTCTGTGAATGAACCTTTGAAAATATCTCACAACAAAAACCAATTCCTAAATTTGGGATTTGAAGACTGACACTTGATATATATTTATTTTTAAAATATATATTTATTTTAAAGAATCTAGAACTACACAAAAACAAAATGGGTGGAAGTTCTGAAAATGCTTGTGTGAAGAGTTTGGTTGATTCCTTCTATAAAAAACAATTATAATACAGATCCAAAATATTATAAAAATTATTTGAAAGTAATAAAAAAAACACTAAATGAAGGCAAAAACTGAAGTAGAGTTTACTCTTTAAAGACTCTACTACATGGGTAACCACTGAAAGATTTTGGTTTTCTTTCTTGGGCGAATACCCTTTGCCCAGTAGTTGTGGAACTGGAGAACTGTAATGGCTTTAGGTGGCAGATATCAGAATGCAGAGCAACAGAGGAGTTAGAAATATAAAGAGGAAAATCAGAAAGTGAGACAGTCATAAAAGGGCTGTGATACCAATCCTGAATGTATTTTTCCCCAAAACTACTGGCTGATGTATAAACATCATAAATTTCTGGGAGCCTACAAAAAAAGAATAAAAAATGAGGGATATTGGGGTTGGGAGAAAGTACCCCTGAAAAAGGAACGTCTTTGGGTAAGATTTGCAAGTTTGTTATGCTTGTAATTGTCTCCCCAAACTATGTACAGCTTAGTTAGCAGAGAATGGAAGTCTTATTGGCATGAGGGGGAAGAGACCATCTGGAAATTCAGGGGGACATGGAAAGTGAAAGAATCACGGATAAAGTAAACCCTCAAAACCTCAGTTGCTTTGTCTTTTTCTACTATTTTTCCACCTATCTTGTGGTCTTTTACATGTGTGCATAGTGAAACCATCTAGCCAGGTGCTAGTGCTTTATTTTTTAAACATTAGAATAATCTCTTCATTCATTGACAAATTTATTCTTTAAAATATTGTGATTACTAACATTTGATTTTATTCTTGTCTTCTTATTTTGGGCCTGCTCATTATGATGCATTTTCTTTGGTATTTTTTTTCTTTCTTGCCTTCTACTGGTTTTATAAAGTTTTTCTTCTTTTTCTCTTTCCTTTATGTACTATGTTTAAGGTTATCTATAACATTTCTGTATGTTGAGATATTTCCCTTAAAATCTTAGCAAAAGATTTCACAAAAGAAAATCTTAAATATTTATTTTCTTTATATTCCTCTTAAATAAAACTCAGTCACCCTCAATGTACATAGTTAAGTTGTCTTAAATTACATCTTTATTTCCAACTTATAATACTTATTATTATTAATAATGGTATCTTACCAGAATTATTTTATATCATAATTAATTTGTGTGATTTGTCTACATATTTAGCATTTATTCTTGCATATTAATCTGTTTGAGTTTAGCTTACTTTTTCCTGAAAAACAAACTTTTTTTTCCCATTAAGATTTTTAAGTGGAAAATTTTATCAGTCTTGTATGGAAACATATTTATTTTGTCTTCACTTGAGGAGTATTATTTTTAGATAAGCATACAATTTTTGTTTGATAGTATTTCTCTCAATGCTATGAAGATAATCCATTGTCATATAATCCCCATTTTTGCTTTTGAGAAGGTTATTTTCAGGCATTCTTTCATTCTAGGTAATCTGTCTTTGCTTGTTAGAAGCTTTTAATAATTTATTTCTATCTTTAGAGGTCTGCAATTTTATTATGATGTACCTAGCTGTAAAATCATTTTGCTTTTTTCCCTCAACTACTTGTATTTTCTAAAAATAAAATTTTTGAGCCCTTCATATGCTATGATAAAATTTCAGCCATTATCACTACATGCATTTTATCTATTTATTACTGATCCTATTATATGCATGTTGGACCTTTCTCTCTCTCTTTCTTTCTTTCTTTTTTTTTTTTTTTTTTTTTTTTTGAGACTGGGTCTTGCTCTGTCACCCAGGCTGGAGTGCAGTGGCACAATCTTGGCTCACTGCAACCTCCATCTTGCAGGTTCAAGTGATTCTCCTACCTCAGCCTCCCAAGTAGCTGGGACTACAGGCACACCACCATGCCCAGCTAATTTTTTTCTGTTTTAGTAAAGACAGGGTTTCACCATGTTGCCCAGGCTGGTCTCAAACTCCTGAGCTCCAGCAATCCACCTGCCTCAGCCTCCCAAAGTGCTGAGATTACAGGCGTGAGCCATCATGCCCAGCCAGTATTCTTTCTTATAACCGCTATTTTGTAATTTCCATGTCCTTGTACCTGTACTGCATTCTTAATAATTTCCCCATGTCTCATATTTCTGTTTATTCATGCTCTCTTGATCTGCATCTAAATTTCCATGTGGCACATTGTATTGTTAATTTAAATTACTATATTTTTAAATTCTAAAGGTTATATGTGAATTACCTATACATGCCAATTCTTTTGTAATAAAATATTTTCCCATTGGAGTTCAAGTATCATTTTAAACATATTTGTTTTGTAGTCTATTTCACATCGTCCTATTAAGTTCTCCAGTTTGAAATCTCTTCTTTTTTCCTTCCTGAATGTTGCTTATGATGGACTATACTTTTGAGTATTTTTTAATTTAGGTATTATTCACAAGACAATCAGCTGCAGAGAGGAGCTACCCTTTCTGCTAAGAGCTTGCCAGGGCAACCTGCCTGCAGAGAGGAGCCACCCACTCCAGGGCCTCCTCTCTGTTAAGAGCTGAACACTCGACCTCCCTACAGAGAGGAGCTACCCACTCTGGGTCTACTCTGAGTTGTTCTAACACTCAATAAATCTCCTCTTCATTTGCTCACTCTCCACTTGTCTGTGTACCTCATTCTTCTTGGACACAGGACAAGAACTCAGGCAAAGGCACCACCAGCCACAGAGGTTTCCAGCCAGAAAAGCAACACCCCAAAGATTCCTTAACATTATGAGTTCAAATATATCATGTGAGTCATGGGTTGTAGGCATATCTTCTTAGATGAATTTTGTGTTTGCTCTGACAGAACCTAAGTGAATTACAACCTTGAAACTAAGTTTCATGTTAATTTTTTGTTTTGGTATTGCCTGAATCATACAAGTAGTGTAAGTTTGGACCTCACATCAAGAGAAATAACAGAATTGGGGACTTAAATTTTTAATTTTAAATTTTTTTCTACCTCACATCAGATAGAGACAAGCCTCATTGTCATCTCCCTGTACCAGAATGTGGAATTTTTCTTGTTCAACCAGTATTTGTGAGTATGGCTTTTTAAAATTTCTGGTTTTATATTTACTTTCCACTTCTATGTCTTCACCTCTTATAGGCCCAGAACCTCACTCTCCAACCAAGTGCAAAATTAAATAGAATTCTTGTGATATCAGGGGAAACAAAATATCTCCCTGACCTTCTCTAGATGTCTGTACTATCAGTTCACGAGTTTCTGTCTCTAAAGCATAGTCCCTGTTTCTCCTGATGTTTTCTCTCTTTCTGGCAAAAAAGAATGTTATTGCATATTACAAATAATTTTTGTTAGTTTCTACTCAAAATTTTAACATATTTGTAGTGAGAAAGATGTTACAATATTTATTTCACCATCCTGCCAGAACAAGATGTCAAGGTGGTGTTTTCTGAAACACAAATGGGTGTGTCACACTCCTACTTAAAATCTTCAATGACTTTATATTTCTATTATCATAAAATTCCATCTCCTTCATATGACATAAAAGGAAATCCTACCTTTCAAGTCTAACCCTTTGCTATGGTCTCCTTCACACTCAGTTTTCAGCTATATGGAGCTCCTTTCAGGTCCTAAGATGTTTTGGTGTTTCCTCGAGGTCTTTTGGTAGGCTTCATCTAAGTAGTCCTCCTCACCCTTCTTGCCCAACCCCACCCACACTCACACATACAGATACATGTAACTTCAACTGTTATTTGTCTCTCTTTAAATTTATTTGATCCTTGAAAATCTTCATTAGTTTTCTAACAAGTTAGGCACCCTTCTAGGTGTTTCAGAACATGCTATATATCCCATATCATACTACTTATTGCCATGCTTCTTAAATTGCACACTTTGAAAACTAACCTATTAGTGCCATTCACTTATTCAATGAATATTTATTAAGCATCTGCTATGCACTAGGTCTTGTTTTAATGGGAAGATGGTGGTGAACAAATCATATACAAATCCTTACCACGACAACAGTTTGTCCCATTATCTGGCACAGTAACTAGCCTTCAGCAGGTATTGAATAAATATCTATTCAGTGAATGACTCTTATCTAAGCATTCAGTTAACATATGACATTTTTAAGTTTGACCTCTTTTTTATTACATTCATCTGCTTTTTAAGGTAAAATCATAAAAATAATATAAAGTACAATAAATCACAAAAATATTATGTGATAATGTGTAACATATGAGCTCTAAGCTTAGAGACTTCATTAAGGTCAGTGAATTTATCATCTTCAGGGCAGTGCATATTGTTGATGTGAATCCTACATAACTAAAAGATGGGGAAAAAATCACCAAAAAGTTACTTGAAAAGTCATGTGCAGTATTTCTAAAATTACACATCTCCAGACATGTTCATTTTTATTTGTTTCTTCACTTTTATTTCATTTTGTAGATTCTTCTCCAAAAAAAGTTCACTGGTATACACACTTCTTTTTCTGCTACATATCTCTACCTCTAATAGCCTTTATTATGACTTTATGTTTCATTTGAGTGGATATTGTTAATTTATCTGACATATATTTCATTTAATTTATTATTTACAGATAGACAATGTTAATAAGTGACTAAAGTCAACTTATGGATTACTGCTTTTAGGTTTTTGCATCTCTACTTCAGTCAAATGTGGTAACTATTTTCTTTTTATCTAGTAACAGGCTATGTGACCTTCTAAAGTTTAATTTCCTTGTCACTACTTGAGTCAGAATGAATATGCAGTCATTTTATTCTCATTTATTTCTAGACCTTTTCTGGAAACCAACAACTTGAAAAGAGAAAATCATGATTTGTCTGAATAGAAGCCTTTTCTTTAGTGCACAAAGAATGGTTCCTCTCTTCCCTAAACATATTATGTGATTTGTCTTGTTTGCCAAAATTAAGGCGGCTAAATTCTATGTTTTGGTAGTCTTGTGCTCTGGCTGGAGTACTGTGCCATAAGCTGTTTTTCACCAGTCCTTGTAGAAAATTTCTTTAAAAATTTTGCAGCTGGTGTTAATGACATCAGTGGCCTCCAGTTTCTAATATTTAGTTTCTAATATTTATTCTATTTACTTTTTAAACATATAATTGTTAATCTTCTCTGTCTCATGGTGGTGATTGTTTTGCTTTCTCTCCCATGCTTTTGAAATCAACAGTCAAAGGACGCTAGGTTGGACCCCAGAAGTCTTGAAAAGTGCAGCAGTAGAGCTTTCAGCCACAAAGCACTGGCCTTCTGCAGGGACTAGACCAAGGAGACCATAAATCATTTATTGAACTTTGGTGCCTGCCCTTAAATCACTCGCTATTAAATTTCTTGGAATCCTATCATTCATATACACACAAAAATACACATACACACATACTCACATATATATATAAATACACACATATTATATATATAGATATATCTTGCTGTTAAGATAGTTCTGCAAACAACTTGTTATCTGCATTATCTACTTCTAATCCATCTTAAATCTCTTTGTTTATCTTGTCTACATCCATTACTTGTTACTCGTAAATCCTCTATGTGTTAATTTGGCAATACTTGGATTTGTTCTTGATATTTCTGCCCCTACCCCTAATACCTAATAATCATCCCTTCTCTTTATAAAACAAAAAAGGATTAAATTTTCTATGTTTTACTATTATCCATTGCTTATCTTATTTTACTTTTATCTAAGCACCCTATAAACACTTTTGCAGCTGGGCATTTTTAATTTGATCTTTAAATCTTTCAAATTTTCTACGAGAGGCTTCCATTGTTCATTGTTAATGAATCCTCACCCTTCTCTTGGAAAGGTGCAGGCTCCCATATCCTCGACCATCTCCACTATATATGCTATTTATTTCTATTCTCACTGGGATTTACCCATACTCCTTTTACAGCTACCAAATTGCCCACTTTGGGAGTGATTCTTTTCATCTAACATCATAAAATCATCCAAAGGAGCCGTAAAAGTGGTCTTTATTTGCACTTTTTTAAAATTATACTTTAAGTTCTAGGGTACATGTTCACAGTGTGCAGGTTTGATACATAGGTGTACATGTGCCATGTTGGTTTGCTGCATCCATCAGATCGTCATTTACGTTAGGTATTTCTCCTAATGCTGTCCCTCCCCCATTCCCCCACCTTCTGACAGGCCCCAGTGTGTGATGTTCTCTGCCCTGTGTCCAAGTGTTCTCATTGTTCAATTCCCACCTATGCGTGAGAACATGCAGTGTTTGGTTTTCTGTCTTTGTGATAGTTTGCTGAGAATGATGGCTTCCTGCTTCATCCATGTTCCTGCAAGTGACATGAACTCGTCCTTTTTTATAGCTGCATAGTATTCCATGGTATATATGTGCCACATTTTCTTAATCCAGTCTATCACTGATGGACATTTGGGTTGGTTCCAAGTCTTTGCTATTGTGAATAGTACCGCGATAAACATACATGTGCATGTGTTTTTATAGTAGCTTGACTTATAATCCTTTGGATATATACTCAGTAATGGGATTGCTGGGTTGAATGGTATTTCTAGTTCTAGATCTTTGAGGAATCGCCACACTGTCTTCCACAATGGTGGAACTAATTTACACTCCCACCAACAGTGTAAAAGCATTCCTATTTCTCCACATCCTCTCCAGCATTTGTTGTTTCCTGACTTTTTAATGATCGCCATTTTAATTGGCATGAGATGGTATCTCATTGTGGTTTTGATTTGCATTTCTCTGATGACCAGTGATGATGAGCATTTTTTCATGTGTCTGTTGGCTGTATAAATGTCTTCTTTTGAGAAGTGTCTGTTCATATCCTTTACCCACTTTTTGATGGGGTTGTTTGTTTTATTCTTGTAAATTTCTTTGAGTTCTTTGTAGATACTGGATATTAGCCCCTTGTCAGATGGGTAGATTGCAAAAAATTTCTTCCATTCTGTAAGTTGCCTGTTCACTTTTATTTAATTAGCTGAGGTATGTCTATCCCTTTTCGTTAAATACTTAAAACTGTTAATATATACATTTAAATAAGTGGTTTCGTATCTCCATTTCTATATGCCAATTTAAATATTTGGTTTCAAAGATAAGTTTTAGTTACAATATTTATTTCTTACATGTTTTCTGTGAATGCTGAAATTCTAATATTATCCTTCATGTTATATGCAAAATGTCACCATCAATTTAAATGGTTGTATTTTTTACATTCCTTTTTTGCATTTTTTAAGATTCTTATAAATTTCATTTTTCACCCTTTCCAAATACTTATCTATAATCTTGTCCATTCCAATACACTCAAGTGTTTCAGATGTCTTACATATATATTAATATAAATATTATCCTCACGTGGCTCTTGTCAATTGTTGACTGATATGACATCCCCAATCTTAGTCCTACATCTTGCAATAAATATTTCCCTAATATCTGAAACTAAATTTGATGTGCTAAAATATATCTAACTTCATTTTTCAGAGTGTACCATAGGTAAAAACCTTTCTTCCTGATGTATTCTTAGAAGTTTTGATTTCACAATATGTTGCCCAGATATTTGTGTGATTTCAATGATTTCACTGACATTATCATAACCTAGTTCCTTCTCTTGTTCCTTTCATAAAAGATTCTGTATTGATCCCATTTCCACTTTTCCTTCTTCATGTGGTGTTTAGAGATCTTTATCCAATTTTTCCTATTAGTTTTAAAGTTTCCTTTCTCTTTTACTTTCTCAAGCCAAAGCCTTGTTTGCTTTTTCTTTTCTTTCTCTCTTTTCTCCTTTCTTTCATCCTATCCCTATCACCATCTCTGTAAAACCATATCTTCCTGTATTCTACTCCTAAAGTCACAGGAAATTTCATTGAACTGAGATTACAAACTCAATTTTTGCCTTCTTTTTTCTCTAATTTAGCATCCCTTTTATAATAACATGGTTATGAGCAATTTGCATATAATGCCCCATTTTCACCTCAAAAGTTATAAAAACAGTCAACTTCTATTATGTCTAGACAAACATTTTAACATAAAAACAAATTTCTCTTAGTTCCACCAGCCTAATCATTTTCAACTCAATATTTTATATAATATGTGACTACTCAGTTAAGTAGTATGCTTTTTTTGTCATTTTATACATTTTTTTATTGTGAATAACTTTTTATTATGACAGTCTATCAATTTGTTATATAAAAGTTTACTTACTATTCCTCTTAATAGTATCTGTTAATGTTTATTAAATGATGACAACGTACAGGCATTGTTCTATACGCTTCATATTTATTAACTCATTTAATGCTCATAACAGATCTATGAGGTAAGTATTAGCATGATCTTCATTTTAAATGTATTGGGCTTCCATCCAATTGGCTTCCCTCCTGTGTTCCCCATGCCTTTGCCTCCTATATCCCTATTGAACTAATTGTTCAACCTTAAAACTGCAGTGTTATCCTAGACTTTTTCATTTTCAACTGCCCCAATCATCAAAACCTTTCATTTTCACCTCTGAGATACCTTTTTATTCCTTAAAAGACAGGGTCTTGTTCTGCTTCCTGGGCTGGAGTGCAGTGACACAATCATGGCTCATTACAGTCTCAAACTCCTGGGCTCAAAGAATCCTCTGGCCACAGCCTCTCAAGCAGTTGGCACTACAAGTGCACACCACCACACCTAGCTATTTATTTATTTATTTATTTATTTATTTATTTATTTATTTATTGTAGAGACGGTATCTCACTGTGTGCGCAGGCTGGTCTTGAACTCCCAGGCTCAAACGATGCTCCCGACTCTGCCTCCCAAAGTGCTGGGATTAAAGGGATGAGCCAGTGCACCTGAGCTGAAATGTCTCATGATTTCCCATAAGTTTCAATCACCACTATGTCTGTGCCAGCCTAGCCTATCACACATGAAGAGAGACAGGGCAAGAAGGCATTCCAGGAAAAGGAGACAGCTCTCTAATCTACTCAACCATCACATGTCAGCTCAACGTGTTAGCTCCAAAGTGGAGCTCTCTCTGACTTCTCTGAACATGTTGAATGGAGCATTTCCCTATGCTCAGATAATTGAGTAGCTACTTATCTTAGAAACACTGCAGTGCCTTTTTTCAGTAAACTCATCATTTTCTCAAGGCCTATGTCAAAATACCCATTGAATTGCAGAAGTCTATGAATCCTCCCTTTACACTAGAAGTTGACTTTCTGTTTTTCTAAAGCCAATATATACAAGGAAATGGAATTTTATCTCAAAAATTGAAGTGTTATAGTGGCAAGAATAATAACCAACAGCTAAGTCATTTTAAAGTGTACACTTATGAGCAGCCAAATAGGAGTATTTGCTGCCTAGCCTATAAGTCTCCACACAGCAGCCTGGCAGTGCATGTGGTTAAACTGTATACCTCAGCAAAATATTAAATCTATTCATGCCTTGGGCAACTGAATCCACCAGGAAGCATTAAAAGCAATAAATTTTAAATTGTGAATAAATGAATAAATACACGAATAAATTTTTAAAAAATCTGTTGAATGCTTTTAAGTGTGTAAAGCGCTCAATAAGTAAATACATTATTTTCTTTATGTAGAATAGATTCCTAAAAGTGAGATATCTTGTCAAGTTAAATTTTTTTTATCTTATCCCTTCAAATCCATAACACTACTCCCGATGACATATATATATATATATATATATATGTTATTTCTTAAATTTTCTAATGGAATACCCCAGATCCTTTTGAGTGTCTCAGATTTCAATCATAACTTTATCTGACCATAAATGAAAAACTTCTGTGAGTAGTTTTAGATTCTGTTTTCCCTTGGGTGTCTCTCTGGTTTATTACTATCTTTTAAAACCCAATAAGTCTATTCCTGGTACTATGAACTCACAACAGCATCTTTCAGAACCAGGCCATTCCTGGATAAAATTTACAGACCATTTAGCCTGTGAAGCAGAAGTATCTCCAAGTTTTTCAAGCAGTTTTTTTTTTTTTTTTTTTGCCTTCGTATGCAGTCACCAAATGATGCCAGTCTTTCTGCTGACCTGAAAGCCAACTTGAGATCCCTGACTCCTGATATTTGAATAAACCCAAATATATCCTTTTGATTTATTTTTCCACCTCAATCAGGAGTCCTACAACATAATGTCTTATTGGGAAACAGCTTGCCCTCATGTAAGAAATTTCAAATTCTATTGTTCTTAATTATTAGCTCTTCTTTTGTCTTCTTAAGGTTGTTACGGAATAGCCAAATATTTTTTAAAACATTTTTTCTTAACTATTTTTCCACTGGGTTTCTTCCTCCCTTCTTTTATCCATTCCAAATTATAAATGTACTACTCTTCTTCCTTTTCCTTTTCTAGCCCTTGTTTCTTTTATTTCTCTTCAGCTTCTTTTCCTTCTACTTATCCTTATCCTAGTTCCCATTTGCTGTAGATACCTTGAACTTCAAATGGCTCCTATAGCTGAATCCAAGCTCAGTATATCTGAAATGTTCTTCCTCTGGTTGGACTTATAAATTTGTTTCTTTCACACATTGTGCATTGCTCTTCCCTCTCTTCTTTATCTTTATGCTAGAAATAAGCCCATATCTTGGTGAAGCTGATTCTACTTTATAGTGCTCTACACCTAACACCCATTTGATCCAGTCCAGTATCCACCACTCATTGCTGATGCTTATCACAGAGCAGTTAAGTACATAAGATCTCTTGTCACAGGGCTGAGGTTCAAATCCAAGGTCTGCATCTTATTAGTAACGTAAGCTTTGATAAGATCTGTTTTACTATGTTTAAAATTACAATAACGATTCTACTATGAGATCTTAGATCTGCTCTGTGGTCTGTTCACCTTCTCCTACAAGGCTATCTCAGATCTCAGATAAAATCAGCCTTTGAAGAATTAAAGCAACCATAGCATCTTTTCTAGCATGAAGGGATAGCTAACTCAACCCAAGAACAACCTCACTAAAGTCACCATTCCTTTGAGCTCAATATACATGATCACAATCCTACAAACAAGTGTCCACTCTCCTCTAAGAAACTGTTGGAATGAATTCAACCAAAACTCAGATTTGGTCAAGAGTTTATGCTTACTCTGTTTCATTCCAATAGGGTACGTACCTTCTCTGGTCTGATCCAATTCCTCTTCTCTTTCTTGTTTTATTAATTTTCTGTTGCTGTATAAACAATCACAAATCTAGTGACTTAAAACAAAAACACTTATTATCCCACAGTCTCTGTGGGACAAAGGTCGGGGCAGTTTTTTTGGATTCTCTGCTCTGGTTCTCACCAGGCTGCAATCGGGATGTCAGCCAGGTTGAGTTCTTATCTAGAGACTCGCCTAGGGAAAAATCCAAGTTCATTTGGGACATTGACAACATTAATTTCCTTGTCGTTAGATGTATGCCTTAGGGCTTTGGATTCTTTCTGGCTGGTTGCTGGAGGCTGCCCTCAGGTCCTAGAAGTCACCCACAATTCCCTGTCGTGTGATCCTTTCTGTAGGCAGTTTACAACATGGCTGTCTGCTCCTTCAAGACCAGCCACTGAATCTCTCATTGCAGTTTGCCGAGGCAGAGTCTTCTTATAGACTGGCTGACTCCTCACCATTTAGATCTTACTTAGAAAAACTGTTCCTGAATACAGCAGATAGGGAGATCCTCCTATTATTCTAAATTACAGTATATGTAACAATGTAACATAGGCATGGGAGTGACATCCCATCACCTTAACCATATTTTATTGTTAGAAGCAAATAACAGTTTCCACTTGCACTTAGGAAGAGGGGATTATATAAGGACATGATTCACTGTGGCTCACCATATGACAATCTGCCATGCTTGCCTTGCAAGGCATTCTATTACTTTGCCTCTAGCATCTTCTGTGTCATCACCAAACTCTTTTATATCCTCAATCTCCATGTATTGAAAAGATTCACATCACTTTGTTATGTTAACTCAAAATTAGAGAACATATTTTGTTCTGGAGCCATCTCAAGTAAAAGGTACCACTTCTAATACCCCATTTGGCTTAGAGCCTGTGGAAGAAGACAGGGCTCCTCTCTGCTCCCTAGTGCCAGCCCCAGGCCTTTTCTCACCCATTCCTCCTGAAAAAAACCTTGTTTCTCTAAGACTCACGGTGTCTACCTATACAGCTTCTAGTTCCTATTGTATTCTGACCTTCTCCAATCATCTGAATCCTTTTCCTTTATCAGGCTTTCCCTATGCCTGTACATCGCTCATGCTGTGACTTCATTTGTGTCTCTAAATCATCTGACACTCTTTCCCCTCTGATCTTATAATCCTTATCTCCAAATATATTTTTCTTCACTCCACCACTGCAATGTACTCCTATGCTTTCGCTTTAAATAATATCCATTATTGACTCTATAAGCCCTCCAAACTTTCGTTCCAAGTATCTCATTCTCTGACAACCACTCTTGTTTTCCATTTCACTTACTCAAACACAAGACTTTTTTTTTCCTCCAATATTCTCTCTGCTCTTTGCCTATGGCTGGCTCCTCACCATTTAGATCTTAGAAAGACTGTTCCTGAATACAGCAGATAGGGAGATTATCCTATTATTCTAAATTAGAGCATATAATTTATTTCCCATATAACATTGATCCCAACTATAATAATTTATTTATTTGCTTGTTCATTTACTATAATTTAATAACCTCAGAAGATTTTTAAACCCATGTGGACAGAAATTATGTTTATTAATCTTTTTGCCAGTATATATCAAATATTGTGGCAAGAACCAAATAAGATTTTTCATATAATGATGATAATAATAGCCAGTGTTTATTGGGTTTTGTAATGTCCCAGACACTATTATAAGCACTTTGTACATTACCTCACTTAGTCCTCTCAGTAAGTCTATGAAGTAGATATTATGGTTTCATCTGTTGGAAAGATAAGGAAACTGTCCAGTGTGACACAGACAGTGAGAGACAGAACCAGCAAGCCTGGCTACAGCTTCTGCTCTTCATCTCTACATTCAACTGTTTTCAATGTTAAATAAATTATACTTTTAGAATTATCCTAATCACAAATAAGTTAGAAAAGTTAAAGTTTGTATACAGTATATGTATGTATATATGTTATATGCATACACATATGGCATATGGATATGAGTATAGATAAACAATATTTCAAAACTATTTCAAAGGTAGTGAATATTTATTTTTATTTTCAAATTATTTATAATATGGATGTACTAATATTTTCTGGAAGAAGAAACAAAGAACAAGGAGAGAAAATAACATTCCCAAGGTTGGGTAATTTGTTAATAGTAGAAATAGATTTTCAACTTAGAAGTATTTTGCTGTTATTTTCTCACTATCAATGAGTCATTATCAATAAAAATTTGTGGGTGGGTACGTATAGATGTGCAAATGTGTACATTCATTGAATTTGAATGAATTATAATTTGCTTTTATATTAACTCAATGAATGTTCTGAAGAAGTATTATAAAAAAGGACAAAGAAAGATGATATATTAGCTATATTAAGACATAATTTATTACACTTTAGTTTAAATAATTTCAACTTTTTTCTTTATCTTTTTAGGAACATACTTTCTTTTATTATTGGGATTTTTTATTTTACACAAACTTTCTTTCCCCAAAAAAGTTTTGAAGTTATTTATTGCTTTAGCAGATGAATTTATAATTAAAAGCAATGTTGAGTTTAAAGTAAAAACTATCATTGATTTAATAATACACATTAAATGTTAATAGGCTTTAGTATATTAGAATACAATGCAACATTTTTAAATAATATATTGTATACATTTCACAGTTGCAAAAAAGTTGAAGAAAATTTCAAGCTACATCATTCAAATCCTGCATTATTTTTCTAGACTTGAATCAACATTTTTGTCTAAACTGTAAGTGCATACTGAAATAGCAGTTTTAAGCTAAAGATGTATAGAAAGAAAAAGCAACCAGCGAAGAATTTCAAGTCCTTTCCTTTGAGCATAAATTTAAGAAGAGAACCTACCTTTAATATATGAAGGATTGTTTTAACAAATTTTTAAGTGTACAGTAAGGTATCATCAACTACAAAACAAAATTGTACAGCAGATCTCTAGAACTTATTCATCTTGTGTTATTGAAGTTTATACTCAAACAGCAAATCCCCATTTCCCTCTCCCCAGAGCCCTTAGGAACCACCATTTTACTTTCTGTTTCTGAGTTTAACCATTTTAGATACATGTAATATTTGTCATTTTGTGGTGTACTTATTTCACCTGGCATAATGTTTTCAAGGTTCACTCATGTTGTTGCATATGGGATGATTTCCAACTTTTTTACGGTTGGATAATATTCCACTGTACGTATACACCACATTTTCTTTATCCATTATCTGTCTTCTTTCTTTATGTTTCTCTTTTTATGTGCATTTATATTTAAAGGAAACTTAAAGGATTAGTTCATATTTTAAAGTCATACAGGCTTTACTTTTATTTATTATTTTAACTACATTTTAAAATTCAGAATACATTTATATTAAGAAGTGAAAAAGACTAGATTCAGTATCTCTTTTAGATACAGGCAAAAGTGGCCTCACATTAAAAAGGCCTATGTGTATTTAATTGTCTATCTCTTTGATGGAAGACCCTGCTGTCAGGATGTGCACCTTGGCCAGAGAGGTGGCCATGGGGACACTGTGTGTTAGCAATATGTTCAAGCTTGTATGTGCAAGCAGAAATGTCCACAGCCAGGTATGGGAGGCCACTTGTACTATAGAATGGAGACAGTGGAGAGGTGGGGAGAGAGAAAGAGGCAAACCCAAGTTTCAGTTCATTTTCATTTTTAAGGTGTGTATTTTTCAAATGTAGAAATCATTATTTTTAAAAACTTTTACTTTAGTTTGAGGGGTACATGTGCAGATTTGTTATATAGGTAAATTGCATGTTGTAGGGGTCTGGTGTACAGATTATTTCATCACCAAGGTAATAAGCATAGTACTCAATAGGTAGGTTTTTAATCCTTCCCATCCTCCCACCCTCCTCTCTCAAGTGGGTCCTGGTGTCTGTTGTTCCCATCTTTGTGTCCATAAGCACTCAATGTTTGGCTCTTACTTATAAGTGAGAAGATGTGGAACTTGGTTTTCTGTTCCTGTGTTAGTTCACTTTAGATAATGGCCTCCAGCTCCATCCATGTTGCTGCAGAGGACATGATCTCATTCTTTTTTATGTCTGTGTAATATTCTATGGTATACGTGTACCACATTTTCTTTATCCAGTCTACTGTTGATGGGCATTTAGGTTGAATCCATGTCTTTGCTCTTCTGAATAGTGGTGAGAAGAGCATACGTGTGCATGTATGTTTATGGTAGAATGATTTATATTCCTTTGAGTATATACCCTATAATGAGATTGCTGGGGGCATGGTAGTTCCATTTTAAGTTCTTTGAGAACTAGTCAAACTGCTTTCCACAGTGGCTGAACTAATTTACATTCCCACCAGCAGTGTACAGGCATTTCCTTTTCTCTAAACCTTACCAACATCTGTTATTTTTTTACTTTTTAGTAATAGCCATTCTGACTAGTGGGAGATGGTATCTCATCATGGTTTTAATCTGCATTTCTCTTACGCTTAATGATGTTGGGGTTTTCATAATAGTAATGTAGAAGTCTTCATAATAGTCTCAGAGTTTCTTGTATTTCTGTGAGGTCAGTAGTAATGTCCCCTTGGTCATTTATGATAATGCTTGTTTAGATCTTCTCTCTTTTTTTCTTTATTAGTCTAGTCTAATAGTGGTCTTATTTATTCTTTCAAAAAACCAATTTCTGAATGTGTTGATCTTTTCTATGGTTTTTTAAGTCTCAATTTCATGTAATTGAGCCCTTATTTTGGTTATTTTTTGTCTTCTGCTAGCTTTGGGGTTGATTCCCTCTTGTGTTTCTAGTTCTTCAAGGTCTGATGTTAGATTGTTAATTTGAGATCTTTCTAACTTTTTGATATGGGCATTTAGCACTATTAACTTTCCTCTTAATGCTGCTATGTCCCAGAAAATCTAGTATATTGTATCTTTGTTCTCATTAGTTTCAAAGAATTTCTTTATTTCTGCTTTAATTTCATTATTTCCCAGAAGTAATTCAGGAGCAGGTTATTTAACTTCCATATAGTTGTATGATTTTGATTGATCTTAGTATTGATTACTATTTTTATTGCATCATAGTTTGAGAGTGTGGTGGTATGATTTCATGTTTTTAATGTTTTCTGAGAATTGTTTTATGGCTGATTATGTGGTCAATTTTACATTATGTGTCATGTGCAGATGAGAAGAATGTATATTCTGTTGCTTGGGGGTGGAGAGTTCTGTAGATGTCTGCTAGGTCCAAATGGTCAAGGGTTGAGTTCCAGTCCTGAATATCTTTGTTAGTTTTCTGCCTTGATGACCTGTCTCATAGTGTCAGTGGGTGTTGAAGTCTCTCACTATTATTGTGGGGTTAGTTTCTTCATAGGCCTCTAAGAACTTATTTTATAAAATTTGGGTGCTCCTGTGTTGGGTGCATATATATTTAGAATGGGTAATCTTCTTGTCGAATTGAACTCTTTATGATTATGGAATGCCCTGCTGTCTTTTTTGATCATTGTTGGTTTAATGTCTTTTTTGTCTGAAATTAAAATAGCATTCCATTTGCTTGGTAGATTTTTCTCCATCCCTTTACTTTGAGCTTATTGGTGTCATTGCATGTGAGATGGGTCTCTTGAAGACAGCATACAGTTGGGTCTTGCACCGTCATCCAACTTGCCACTCTGTGCCTTATCATTGGGACATTTAGTCTGTTTATATTCAAGGTATATATTGATATGTGCAGATTTGAACCTGTAGTTATGTTGTTAGCTGGTTATTATGTAGATTTGATTGTGTAGTTGCTTTATAGTGTCAATGGTTTATGTAGTTAAGTGTGTTTGTGGTATGGCTGGCTATAACCTTTCATTTATATATTTAGCACTCCCTTAATGACTTCTTATAAGGCAGGTCTGGTGCTAATCAATCTCTTTAGCATTTGCTTGTCTGAAAAAGATCTTATTTCTCCTTTGTTTACAAAGCTTGGTTTAGGTGGATATGAAATTTTTGGTTGGAGTTTCTTTCTTTTAAGAATGCTGAATATAGGCCCTATCTCTTTTGGCTTGTAGGGTTTCTACTAAAAGGTCCACTGTTAGCTTACTGGGGTTCCCTTTGTAGGTAACCTGCCTCTTCTTTCTAGCAGCCTTTAATATTTTTAATTTCATTTTTACCTTGGAGAATCTGATGACTGTGTGTCTTAGGGATGGTCATCATGTATAATATCTTGCAGGGATTCACTTAATTTCCTGAATTTGAATATTGGCTTCTCTAGTGATGTTAGGGAAATTTTTGTGGATGATATTCTCTAACATATTTTCCAAGTTGCTTACTTTCTCTCCCTCTTTTTCAAGGATGCCATTGAGTTGTAGATTTGTTTCTTTACATAATACCATATTTCTCTGAGGTTTTGTTTACTTTTTTTTCTTCATTTTTGTCTGAGTAAATTAATTTGGAGAACTAGTCTTCAAGCTGTGAAATTCTTTCCTCAGCTTGGGCTATTGTGCTTTTAAAGCTTGCCATTGTATTATGAAGTTCTCGTAGTGTCCTTTTCAGCTCCATTAGATCACTTTGGTTCTTTCTTAAAGTCATTTCATCTTTCAGCTCCTATACTGTTTCATGTATTCCTTAGATTTCTTGAATTGGGCTTCAACTTTCTCCTGAATCTCAATGATCTTCATTCTTATCCATATTCTGAATTTCACATCTGTCATTTCAGCTATTTCAGTCTGGTTAATAACCATTGCTAAGAAACTAGTGCAGTTGTTTGGAGCTGAGAAGACACTCTGACTTTTTCAGTTGCCAGAGTTCTTGCACTGGTTCTTTCTTAACCGTGTGGGCTGATGTTCCTTTAATCTCTGAAGTTACCGTTCGTGGATGGGGTTTTTCGCTTTTGTATCCTTTGATGCCCTTTGGTGGTTTGATTGTGAATTAAGGTGGGTTTGGTCAACTGGCTTTGATTCCGCCCCTTGAGATTAGGAACCTGCTGTACTAGATGACCTGAAGTGTTCCTGGTCCACTAGCTCCAACACCCAGCCAAAACACTTTGTTCAGGTGGTAGCAGCAATATCCATGCTCACTCATGTTTGCCAGTGTAACTGCCCAGTGGGTTCACCTTGCCTGCTTCCTAGACAGAGCCAATTTATCAAGGCAGGGGAATTACAATAGAGAAAGATTAATTCATGCAGAGCTGGCTGTGCAAGAGAACAGAATTGTATTATTATTACTCTAATCAGTCTCCCTGACAATTCAGGGATCGGAGTTTTTTTCTTGTTGTTGTTTTTGTTTTTAATTAAAAAGCAAACTTTAATGTCAAAAATGCAAACTTGAGGAGGGCAGAAAGATCACACACAAGGCTATCACTTCACACTTGGAGGGTTGCACAGTGGCCAGGCAGCGGTGCTCCTCACTTCCTAGATGATGCGGGGGGCTGGGCAGAGGTGCTCCTTACTTCCCAGACAGGGCTGCAGCTGCACAGAGGTGCTCCTCACTTCCGAGACAGTGGGCAGCTGGGCAGAGGTGCTCCTCACTTCCCAGATGGTGAAGCGGGCAGGCAGAGGTGCCCCTCACTTCTCAGAAGGTGGGGGGACCAGGCAGAGGCGCTCCTCACTTGCCAGATGGAGCGGTGGCTGGGCAGAGGTGCTCCTCATATCCCAGATGGTAGGGGCGCCTTTTAAGGATAACTTGGTGGACAGGGGGACAGTGATTCAGGTGTGCTGATTAGTTGAGTTGGAGATGAAATCATAAGCAGACAAAGCTATCCTCTTATGCTGAGTTACTTCCTGGGTGGGAGCCACAAGACCAGATGAGCCAGTTTATCCATCTGGGTGGTACCAACTGATCCATCAAGAACAGGGTCCGCAAAATATCTCGAGCACTGATTTGGATTTTGCATTTGTAATATTATCCCCAGGAGCAATTTGGAGATGTTTAGAATCTTGTGGCCTCCAGCTGCATGACTCCTAATTTCTGATCTTGTGGCTAATTTGTTAGTCCTGCAAAGGCAGTCTAGCCCCCAGGCAGAAAAGGGGTTTGTTTGAGGAAAGGGCTGTTATCATCTTTGTTTCAAAGCTAAACTATAAACTAAGTTCCTCCCAAAGTTAGTTCATCCTATGCCTAGGAATGAACAAGGACAACTTGGAGATTAGAAGCAAGGTGGAGTTGGGTTAGGTTAGAACTCTTTCACTATCTCAATTATAATTTTGCAATGGCAGTTTCACCAACAGCTGCAGCAGTGTGGCGGGTTGCCTGCACATAGGTGGGGCAGCGATGGGGGTGCCAGCATCAGTGCACACACTCATCCCAGTGGTGGTGGTGGCACAGCAGGCCCACTCATCTGTCATTGAACATTTAGGCTGTTTTCATTTGTTGGTTATTGTGAATAATACTGAAATAAACAAGGAACTGCAGACATCTCTTCAAGATCCTAATTTCAGTTCTTTTCGATATATGCCCAGAATTGTCATTGCTGGATCATATGGTCATTTTACTTTTAATTTTTAGAGGAACATCTTCATACTGTTTGCCATAAAGGCTGCACCATTTTGCATTTCCAGCAGTGTACAAGGATTCTAATTTCCCCACATCTTCACCAACATCTTATTTTCTTTTTTATTTAATAGTGGCCATCCTAACAAGTTTGAGATGATATCCCATTGTTCCTTCAATTTGCATTCCCCTGGTGATGATGAGTATCTTTTCATACATATATTGGCCACTTATATGTCATCTTTGGAGAAATGTCCTTGCAAGTATTTTGCCCATCTTTCAGTATTTTTTTTTTTTTGCTATTAAGTTGCAGGATTTCTTTATATATTTTGGATGTTAACCTCTTATCAGGTATATGGTTTTTAAATATTTTTGCCCATTCAATATGTTGCCTTTTCATTCTGTTGATTGGCTTGCAGAACAGAGCCATTTTAGCTTGATATAGTCCCACTTGTCTATTTTTGCTTTTGTTGCATGTGCTTTTGGTGTCATATCCAAGAAATCATTGCCAAAAATCAATGTCATAAGGTGTTTCTCCTGTGTTCTCTTCTATGATGTTTACAGTTTTAGGTATTATATTTAAGTCATCAATATCCATTTTGAGTTAATTTTTGTGTATGATGTAAAATAAGAGTCCAATTTCATTCTTTTGTACATGAATCTTTATTTTTTTCAACATCATTTTTTGAAGAAACTTTCATTCCTCCATTGTGTATAATTGGCTCTTGTGTCAAAAATCAGTTGATGGTATATGCGTGGGATTATTCCCCATGCTTTCTATTCTGTTTCATTGGTTTATATACCTGTCTTTATGCCAGTTCTTTATTAGTCTGTTCAGGCTTTTATAACAAAAATACCATAGACTTGGTGGCTTAAACAATCAACATTCATTCCTTACAGTTCTGGAGACTGGGAAGACCAAGATCAATGCACTGGTGATTTGTTGTTGGTGAGGATCTGCTTAATGGATCACAGACAGTCATCTTCTCACTGTGTCCTCACATGGCAGAAAAGAACTAGAGAACTTTATTTTTTTTTTAAATAAAATAAGGCCACTAAGGCCATTTATGAGGGTTCCATCCTTGTTATTTAATTACTTCCTGAAGACCCCATTTCCCAATATAATCACTCTGGGGGTTACTGTTTCAACACAGAAATTTGGACAGACACAAATATTCAGTCTATAGCAAGTACCATACTGCTTTAATTACTGTAGCCTTGTAACATACAGACATACCTCAGAGATATTGTGGTTTCAATTCCAGATTACCTCAATAGAGCAACCATTGCAATAGAGACTCACGTAAAATTTTTTTGTTTTCTAGTAGACATAAAAATGATGCTTACATTCTACTGTGGTGTACTTAATGTTCACTATGTGTAAGAAACAATGAACAGATCTTAATTTAAAAATACTTTATTGCTAAAAAGTTGCTAATGTATTAGTCTTTTCTCATGCTGCTATGAAGAAATACCCAAGACTGGGTAATTTATAAAGAAAAGAGGTTTAATTGACTCATAGTTTCACATGGCTTGGAAGGCCTCAGGAAACTTACAATCATGACAGAAGGTGAAGGGGAAGAAAGGCACCTTCTTCACAGGGCAGTAGAAAGGAGAAGTGTTGAGCAAAAAGGGAAAAGCCCCATATAACACCATCAGATCTCACGAGAACTCACTCACTATCATGAGAATAGCATGGGGAAAACTTCTCCCATGATTCGATTACCTCATACTGGGTCCCTCCCACAACATGTGAGGATTATGGAAACTACATTTCAAGATGTTATTTGGCTAGAGACACAGCCAAACCATATTATTCCACCCTTGGCCCCTGTACTTATATTTTGAAATGAAATCATGCCTTCCCAACAGTTCCCTCCAAAGTCTTAACTCATTCCAGCATTAACCCAAAAGTCCATGTCCAAAGTCTCATCTGAGACAACGCAAGTTCCTTCTGCCTATGAGTCCATATAATCAAAAGCAAGTTAGTTACTTTCTAATCATAATAAAGTTATAGGCATTGGGTAAATACACCCATTCCAAATGGGAGAAATTAGTCAAAATGAAAGGAAATAGCCCCCATGACAGTCCAAAATTCAGTAGGGCATTCATTAAACCTTAAGTTCTAAAATGATCTTTGACTCTATGTCTCACACGCAGGTCATGCCAATGCAAAAGGTGGACTCCCACGGCCTTTGGCAGCTCCACCCCTGTGGCTTTGCAGGTATATCCTTAAAATTTTTATTTCTTAATTAATAAGACTTGAAAGTGAAATTACTCTTGATCCATGGGCTATAGAATGGATGCTGTGTTAGCAGACATAAAAAAAACATTAAGCCAATAAGGAGTTTTCAAGATGGCTGGCTAGGGACATTGGAGGTCAGTTCTCCTCAGAAAGAAGATCAAAATTACTCAAAAATGGATAAGTTCTGAACAGAAAACTGAAAAAAGAGAGCTATGCTTTGTCAGAGTGCCCACAGAGAGAAGCCAGGGCACAGAAAAGGAAAATCAGCAGGAGTCTGGCAGAGACTGACCCCCAAGGAATTTGAAGCCCCATGGAAATGATAGGTGAAAGTGCTTCCCTGCTCCGCTCAGCCTTCTGACAATCTGCTGATAGTGAAACTCTTGGGGAGTTCCTCTGTCCTCACAACCCAGGTAATGCCATCAGTGGCAATTTGGGAACTTCCTGGGGACAGCTACCTGAGTGGCCAACTCACACAGATGTTCCTGCATTTCTCTCTGACTGAACTGAGATTATTGGTGTCACACTGGTTATGCCCATGGTAGGACATGACCTTGCTTGGGATTACTTGCCCTTGTGTCACTATACCACCACAATCCCTGCAAACATACTCCCACAACCTGCCTTGACTTTGTTAAACACAGGGCCACCAGTGGTGCCCTGAAGAGCTGCAGGGCCCCTGGAGATCTAACCCTCAGTATGGACCACCCCTAAGGGAAGGGGAAGCACAGCTCGCCAAAGCCACTCAGTACAAAGGAGATGCAGGCACTGGGCTAATTGCAGCATCGACCCAGGAATAGACATGAAGATGGGGTCACCTCCCATCCACCAGCAACCTCCCTGTACACTGCCGCAGGTGCAGCAGCAGTTCTTTGCACTGGGAGCCAATGAGAGTGTGCACTGGGGGAAAGCATTTTTCACACTTTTCATGTCTGTTGCCCTCTACCCCCCAAGTAAACCCTGACTTCTGGGGCTTTCACAGTGGGGGCGGGGGCCAAGCTACCCCTCCCTACATAGAGTGGCAGTGCCTGGCAATGAAGAAGATACTGTGGAAATTCCTTCCCTAGAGAGCGAGAAGAGACTATGCCCCAAGCCCCACTTTTAATGGTAGCCATCAGAAAGGCATATCCATAACCCACAGTGGCACACTGCAGTTGGGAACCAAAGGACAAAATCCTTAAACTGAAGGTCATGAGCCCTGTGACAGAGGCATGATAGGGAAGCAGATTATGTTTTTCCTAAATCAGGATAAGGAGCTGGTGAACCCTCCACCCTTTCCACGAGACCTCAGTGCACCCCAACACAATCTCTTCCCACCATCCTCATCAGGAAGGTGCTTCCACTTAGCAGCAGCCTATCTGTCAGCTCTTACTCATAAGCATCATCTAATAGACTGCAGCCTGAACTGCACCACCAAATTAAAAACCTGCTACTGAATTGGCTTAGTTCTAGTCCATGAGTTAAGCTTTCTGAGACCTCCACACCCTCAGCTCTTCAGGAGATAGTGTGCTGACTCATACATCTAATATGTCACTCCAACAAGCAACACTGAATTCACCACAAAAGGAATTTCACCACTAAAGGAATTACCATTAAAATATTCACCACTAAAGGAATTTCAAAAGCTATCCACAACCAAGGAGCCCATAGAGAGCCTTGGCCCCCTGAACAGTATCCCAAAATGAAGCAAAACAATCATACACAACATATACCACAGACATAACCTCAAGGAAAAAAGAATTTAAAAATTTAAAACCCCATCCAAATGATAGTGAATTCAAAAATAAGAAGTGAGAGCTACCTCAGATGAGGAGGAATTAGCATAAGAACTCCAGCAGTTTGAAAAGCCAGTGTTGTGAAACTTTCAAAGGATCATATCAGCTTTCTAGGAGTGGATCCTATATACATTGAAGTGTCTGGAATGACAAGTAAAGAACTCAGCATATTGATTTTGAGGAAACTCAACAAGATCCAAGAGAAAATGGAAATTCAATTAAAAAACCAAAAATAATACAGAAATATGAAAGATAAGACAGCTATATTTTTAAAAAATAGAATTTCTAGAATTAAAAAATTTACTAAAGGAATTTCAAAATACAATTGTAAGCATTCACAATAGGCTAGATTAAGCACAAGAAGGAATTTCAGAGCCCAAAGACCAGTCTTTCAAATTAACCCAGTCGGACAAATATAAAGAAAAAAGTATTTAAAGAAATTAACAAAGCCTTTGAGAAACATGGAATTGTGTAAAATAACCAAATTTATTGGCATTCTTGAGAGCTAAAGATAAAAGGTAAGCAACTTGAAAAACATTTTTGAGGGAATAATTCAGGAAAAATTCCCTAATCTTGCTATAGAGATCCACATCCAAATACAAGAAATTCAGAGAACACCTGCGATAAACTATACAACACAACCATCCCCATGACATGTAATCAACAAATTATCCAAGGTCAACCCAAAAGGAAAAAATCTTAAAAGTAGCTAGAGAATAGGGGCAAATTACCTATAAGGGGAATCCCATCAGACTAACAGTAGGCTTCTCAGCAGAAATCTTTTAAGCCAGAAGATATTAGGGGCCTATTTTTAGCCTTCTTAAAAAGAATGCCAGCCAAAAATGTTATTTCCCACTGAACTCAGCTTCATAAATAGAGGAGAAAGAATATCTTTCCCAGAAAACAACATTAATCCACTTGTACATCTCCATCAGAACTCCTGGATGATTAGGTGCATTGTCAGTAAGCAGTAACAGTTTGAAAGAAATCTTTTTTCTCTGAGCAGTAAGTCTCAAAAGTGGGCTTAAAATATTTAGTAAATGATGCTGTAAACAGGTGTGCTTTCATCTAGCTGTCATTGTGGCATGTATAGAACACAGACAGAGTAGATTTAGCATAATTCTTAAGCATTCTAGGACTTTTAGAAAGGTGAATAAGCATTGGCTTCAACTCAAAGTCACTAGCTGCATTATCCCTTAACAAGAGAGGCAGACTGTCCATTGAAACTTTGAAACTAAGCATTGATTTCTCCTTTCTAGCTACAAAAGTCCTAGATGGCATCTTCTTTTAATATAAGGCTGTTTCATCTCTACTGAAAATCTATTGTTTATTGTGTATATCTTCATCAATTTTCTTAGCTAGTTTTCTGAATAACACAGTTATTCTGAATAAACACAGTTCATGGCACCCCAAAGCAATTTCAATAGTAACATCAAAGATCACTGATTACAGATAACCATAACATATTATAATAATAATGAAAAAGTTTGAAATGTTGCTAAAACTACCAAAATGAAGGCATGAAGTGAGCACATGCCTTTGGAAAATGGCACCAATAGACTTGCTCAATGCAGAGTTGCCACAGACCTTCAATTTGTAAAAAAAAAAAAAAAAAGCAGTATCTGAAAAGGGCAATAAAGTGAAGCACAATAAAATGTTTGTACTTTGAAATCAGCAAGTGTGACACTTGCAACTTTTTTGTTCCTCCTTAAGATTCTTTTTATTATTTGTTATTTATTTATTTATTTATTTATTTATTTATTTATTTATTTGAGACAGAGCGTCACTCTGTCACCTAGGCTGGAGTATAGTGGCATGATCTCCACTCACTGTAACCTCTGCCTCCCAGGTTCAAGTGATTCTCCTGCCTCAGCCTCAGAGTAGCTGGGATTACAGGTGCTGCCACCACGCCCAGCTAATTTTTGTATTTTTAGTAGAGACACGGTTTCGCCATGTTGGCCAGGCTCATCTCGAACTCCTGACTTTAGGTGATCCACCCACCTCGGCCTCCCAAAGTGCTGGGATTACAAGCATGAATCACCGGGCCTGGCCACCTTCTTAAGATTATTTTTTACTTTCCAGGGTCCTTTGTGGTTTCACATGAATTTTATGGTATCTTTTTCTATTTTTGTAAAAAATTTTATTGGAAATTTGATAGGAATTGCACTGAATCTTTAGATCACTTTGGGTAGTATATACATTTTAACAATATTGTCTTCTAATCCATGAACATGGATGTCTTTGTATTTATTTTTTTCTTTTTCAATTTATTTTATTTCATCAGTATTTTGCAGTTTTTAGTGAACAACTGCTTTACCTTTTTAGTTAAGTTTAATGCTACATATTTTATTCTTTTTGATGCTATTTGAAATGAGATTGTTTTCTTAATTTATTTCAGACAGTTTGTTGTTAGTGTACAAAATTATAAGAAATAGAAAATCTGAACAGACCAATGATAGTAAGGAGACTGAATCAGTAGTCAAAACCTCCCAACAAAGAAAAGTCCAGAACCAGATGGCTTCACTGGTGTATTCTGCCAAACATTTAAAGAAGAACTAACACCAGTCTTTTCAAACTCTTCCAAAAATTTGAAGAGGAGTGAATACTTCCAAACTCATTTTCTGAGTCCAGCATTGCCCTGATACCAAATCCTTATAACACTACAAAGAAAAAAAAAAAACAAAAAAAACTATAGGGCAATATCCCTGATGAACATAGATGAAAAAATTCATTACAAATACTAGCAAACTGAATTCAGAAGCACATTAAAAGGATTATATACTATAACCAAGTGAGATTCATCATTGGGACTCAAGAATGGTTCAACATAAGCAAGTCAATGAATACGATACACTATATGAACAGAATGAAGAATAACAGTGTATGATCCACCTCAACAGATACATAAAAAGTACTTGACAAAATCCAACATCTTTTCATGATAGAAACACTCCACAAACTAGGAACAGAAGAAAATTACCTCAACATGGTAAAGGCCATATATGAAAAGCTTAGAGCCAATATCATATCAAGTGTGAAAAACTAAAAGCCCTTCCTCTAAGATCAGAAAGAAAGCAAGTATGGCCACTTTCACCATTTCCATTCAATAGAGTACTGAATGTCCTAGCCAGAGCAATTAGGCAAGAAAAAGAAATAGAAATCATCCTAATGGAAAGGAAGAAATAAAGTTATCTCTGTTCACAAAGGTCATAATCTTATATGTAGAAAACCCTATGGACTCAACATACATCAAAAACTGTTTTTAAAACTAGCAAATGAATTCAGTAAAATTTCACAAAACAAAATCATCATGCAAAAATCAGTGGCCATTTAGAAGTATTACCTGACTTAAATATGTATCCAAGCCATTTGTTTAGTTTTCAGGAGCAATAGGGAAATAGTACTGATTTATCACTACAAAAAAGTGTTGACTGTATGCACCTGTATCTACATAATTGCAGCTACATATGAACATATTTTGTAGGGCATATAACGTAGGACACTAGCTCCCAAATGGCATTTAAATTAAAACCCTCTAAAATGTATTTGCTTTACACACTAGAGACAAATTGCTTGTGACGTCACCTTGCCCCAAGAGACAACATTGCTTTTTGCACACCCACAACATTTTGTCTTTAAAATATCTCTTCTCCTTCTGTTGTGAATGGAGAATTTTTAAATTGTTTCTAATTTTTTATGGTTGAAAGATAGAACTATATTTTCTGAAATAATCATGTTTAACTTTGAGTTAGGAAAACTTTGAGACCACTGAACAATTAACTTTGACATTCTTGGCTCTCTGAAAAGTGCCTAAGTTATGAAGAAGTACCATATTGTCTTATAGAGTACATTACATTGCTTTTTTTGTCATCATTGGAGGTAAATCTCAGGAATGTTAAGGAAGAAATGCACATCAAAAAATCAGCAAATTAGATTTTTCCCCAGATCTTTATGAGATGTGACATTAAAATATCTGGGCATTATACAAGCCAAAATATGATTGTCTCTGTTACAGGTCACTCCAATTTTTATTTTATTGTCCAGAATCCCATTTTTGGACAGAATACCATTTCTGAGACTTCATCATGTATATTTACACCAAGCAGGTGGTTAGGAAGTGCCATCTACCGATTGTTTTACTTTCTAATTTGTAGAGTCTATAATGCCCTTTCATATATCAAACTATAATTAAAACAAAACACATGGGAATAGAATCCAAGTATTACTTTAATAGCTTAGGCATTTGTGGTTAGTACAGATGACTTTTTTCTATTTGTTTTCAGAAGCCCAAATACCGTAAATAGAATCCTGCAGCAAGCCTTGTGTTTCAACTGTATAACAGAAGCTTGAACTGGGGATTTTTAACAATTCCACTTCAAAGGAAAGCAGACTAGTCAGTAGCTCAGTTTTGTCCTTTTGAAGCAAACAATAATAGATGTGCCAGTTTGCAAAATGTGCACATATGACTAGTGTATCAACATTGTTAAATAAAAGGTTATTGCATTAAATAAGATGACCTTGCTACCTTTTAGTCACAGTCTTAGAGAGCAAACTTGTTTTAATTAGCAGTCAGCAAGCAGACTGTAACTTCACTGAAGGAGCATTGAAGAATCACTGCCTATTAACAACCCAGCGGTAAGTAAGCCAGCACAAATACTTATAACCAAATAGTGTGCATTTCAGGAGTGGAAAGGATTAGCTATTGGGCACACAACACAGTGGAGGAAATTGCTTTATTCCCAGTACTGCTGGGTACCAGGAGGCAATCACTGTGCCTCCATCCCATTAACAGCATTCAGAGTGTTGCTTCCCATAGAAGGGGTTATTGGCTAACCACTGGGTGACCAATTAAATGCTATGAATAAGTCCCAAACCCAGCAGCATGGGGCCTGTTTGTGGCACAGTTGTATCATTACTAAAGTGAAAAACTTGATGAGAAAGGAACATATTTAATTATAGAACTATACAAATGGCTAATTAGGACCATAAAGTGAAATGAATGACTTTCCAGTGGATTTTTGAATGTTACTGATAACTGCTCAGCTTCTTTGGAGACCATGAAAGTGATCTACAGACAGAGCTTGCATGTCATGGTAATGGATGGATCTTCATTAGAGGAAGTTTTTTGACCTGGTTGCTCAGGTAGCATGGGTTCTAAAGACAATCCTTGATTCCTTTCACTGCAAGGGTTCTTTCACTCCAACCCCCTGGTCTCTCTTGAGTTCCGCTTGCTTTCACAATAATTCTTATGGGTTTAAATGCAGAAACATTATCTGCAATAGTCACTCTCTATCAGTTGGAAAACTGAATGGCAAAAGAGTGTCACTAGTTAGTGGGAAACACTGATCCATGCTTAAGTTTAGCTTTTAAACTCTAGGATTAATCCTAAAATCTGCAATTACACTTTGCTAATTCAGGCATCTCAATTGCTAAAATGTCATGAATCCTTTAAATGGAAGAATTATAATTTAAGGCTGTATCTACCTAGTGACTAAGATTAAATTAAGAAAAACAAAAAAAAGGAACATTGGAAATTGATCTGAAATCATGAAAATGAAAATCAATGTAATTGACTTCTTGCTATCAATTGCTGGAGCAAACTTTTGTTTTGGATGTGTTTGTGTGTTTTATGTTAATTTTGTAAGAACAGGTTTAATGATACTAATTTTATTTTTGTTTATCAAAAATGTAATAAACATCTATAATGTATAAATAACTGCACTAAAACTGTTCAGAAACATCACCTTCCTGGCAGAGTAAGAAATATTCAGTGCTATCAAAGAATTACATCCTTCTAGTCAGGTAACTATACAAAAGACTTACTTGATGTCACTTAATATTATTGAATGCTTGCCTTTGCTTTTATTTTTATAATTTAATTTTATTTTTATTAAACAAATTATTATTAAAAAATAAACAATTCTTCAATATGTATAGTAAAGAGAACAATTTTATCACCTCTGAACTCTGTCTACTAAATTTGCTAGTCACTATTATATTGTAAAGGGCATAGTAACCACCTTCCTGGTAATCAAGATTTGGTGAAAGATACTGATACTAGATGAGTTTATAAACATTGTGGCTAGAAATTTGAATGAGAATGCTATAAATTTTCCACATCGGTAAATACATTATATATTCCTAGATGATTTTATCCAGCAGCAAAGTCAAGGTCAATATAAATATGTACCCAATTCTGTTCCTGAGAATACTGGAATAGTGAAAATGTATATTGACTGACTCCATTTCCACCAATCACAAGAATACTTGTCATGAACTTGTTGATTGACTGCTTAGTCAGAATTCATATAAATATTATTTTATTTTTAGCTTGATCACTGAAATGATTTGGAGAGTTCTAAAGGTAGCACAGATCTCCAAAGATCATCTGACATGGACCTTTCTATCCAGGAAAGCTACATTTTACTCATCCAAGGAATTGATGGCTCCTTACGTTTAAAATATCCTCAGGTATGCAGAGCCTGTCAGGCCTCTGAGCCCAAGCCAAGCCATCACATCCCCTGTGACTTGCACATATATGCCCAGATGGCCTGAAGTAACTGAAGAATCACAAAAGAAGTGAATATGCCCTGCCCCACCTTAACTGATGACATTCCACCACAAAAGAAGTGTAAATGGCCAGTCCTTGCCTTAATTGATGACATTACCTTGTGAAAGTCCTTTTCCTGGCTCATCCTGACTCAAAAAGCACCCCCACTGAGCACCTTGCGACCCCCACTCCTGCCTGCCAGAGAACAAACCCCCTTTGACTGTAATTTTCCTTTACCTATCCAATCCTATAAAACGGCCCCACCCTTATCTCCCTTCGCTGACTCTCTTTTCGGACTCAGCCCGCCTGCACCCAGGTGAAATAAACAGCCATGTTGCTCACACAAAGCCTGTTTGGTGGTCTCTTCACATGGACGCGCATGAAATTTGGTGCCGTGACTCAGATCGAGGGACCTCCCTTGGGAGATCAATCCCCTGTACTCCTGTTCTTTGCTCCGTGAGAAAGATCCACCTATGACCTCAGGTCCTCAGACCGACCAGCCCAAGGAACATCTCACCAATTTTAAATCAGGTAAGCAGCCTCTTCTTACTCTCTTCAACCTCTCTCACTTTCCCTCAACCACTTTCTCCTTTCCACTCTTCAATCTCTCCCTTCTCTTAATTTCAATTCCTTTCATTTTCTGGGAGAGACAAAGGAGACACGTTTTATCCGTGGACCCAAAACTTCGGCGCTGGTCACGGACTGGGAAGGCAGCCTTCCCTTGGTGTTTAATCACTGCAGGGATGCCTCTCTGATTATACACCCATGTTTCAAGGGTGTTAGACCATGCAGGGACGCCTGCCTTGGTCCTTCACCCTTAGTGGCAAGTCCTGCTTTTCTGGGGAAGGGGCAAGTACCCCTCAACCCCTTCTCTCCTTGTCTCTACCCCTTCTCTGCTTTTCTGGGGCAGGGGCAAGTACCCCTCAACCCCTTCTCCTTCACCCTTAGTGGCAAGTCCCGCTTTTCTGGGGGAGGGGCAAGTACCCCTCAACCCCTTCTCTTTCACCCTTAGCGGCAAGTCCTGCTTTTCTAGGGGGCAAGAACCCCCAATCCCTTATTTCCGTGCCCCAACCCCTTATTTCTGTGCCCCGACCCCTTATTTCCATGCCCCGACCCCTTATTTCTGCGCCTCATCCCTTATTTCCATGCCCCGACCTCTTATCTCTGCGCCCCAACCCCTTTTCCCAGTTTTCTGGAAGGTAAGAACCCCCGAACCCCTTCCCTCCGTTTCTCTACTCTCTCTTTTCTCTAGGCTTGCTTCCTTCACTATGGGCAACCTTCCACCCTCCATTCCTCCTTCTACTCCCTTGGCCTGTGTTCTCAAAAACTTAAAACCTCTTCAACTCACACCTGACCTAAAACCTAAATGCCTTATTTTCTTCTGCAATGCCGCTTGACCCCAATACAAACTTGACAGTAGTTCCAAATAGCCAGAAAATGGCACTTTGAATTTTTCCATCCTGCAAAATCTAAATAATTCTTGTCGTAAAATAGGCAAACGGTCTGAGGTTCCTGACGTCCAGGCATTTTACACATCAATCCCTTCCTAGTCTCTGTGCCCAGTGCAACTCGTCCCAAATCTTCCTTCTTTCCCTCCCACCTGTCCCATCAGTACCAACCCCAAGCGTCACTGAGTCTTTCTAATCTTCCTTTTCTACAGACCCATCTGACCTCTCCCTTACTCCCCAGGCTGCTCCTCGCCAGGCCGAGCTAGGTCCCAATTCTTCCTCAGCCTCTGCTCCTCCACCCTATAATCTTTTTATCACCTCCCCTCCTCACACCTGGTCCAGCTTACAGTTTCGTTCCGTGACTAGCCCTCCCCAACCTGCCCAGCAATTTACTCTTAAAAAGGTGGCTGGAGCCAAAGGCATAGTCAAGGTTAATGCTCCTTTTTCTTTATCCCAAATCAGAAGCATTTAGGCTCTTTTTCATCAAATATAAAAATCCAGCCCAGTTCATGACTTGTTTGGCAGCAACCCTGAGACACTTTACAGCCCTAGACCCTAAAAGGTCAAAAGGCCGTCTTATTCTCAATATACATTTTATTACCCAATCTGCTCCCGACATTAAATAAAACTCCAAAAATTGGAGTCAGGCCCTCAAACCCCACACCAGGACTTAATTAACCTCACCTTCAAGGTGTACAATAACAGAAAAAAGTTGCAATTCCTTGCCTCCACTGTGAGACAAACCCCAGCCACATCTCCAGCACACAAGAACTTCCAAATGCCTGAACCGCAGCAGCCAGGCATTCCTCCAGAACCTCCTCCCCCAGGAGCTTGCTACACGTGCCAGAAATCTGGCCACTGGGCCAAGGAATGCCCACAGCCTGGGATTCCTCCTAAGCCGCGTCCCATCTGTGTGGGACCCCACTGAAAACTGGACTGTTTAACTCACCTGGTAGCCACTCCCAGAGCCCCTGGAACTCTGGCCCGAGGCTCTCTGACTCCTTCCCAGATCTTCTCGGCTTAGCGGCTGAAGACTGACACTGCCCAATGGCCTCGGAAGCCCCCTAGACCATCACGGACACCCAGCTTCAGGTAACTCTCACAGTGGAGGGTAAGCCCCTCCCCTTCTTAATCAATACGGAGGCTACCCACTCCACATTACCTTCTTTTCAAGGGCCTGTTTCCCTTGCCTCCATAACTGTTGTGGGTATTGACGGCCAGGCTTCTAAACCTCTTAAAACTCCCCAACTCTGGTGCCAACTTACACAATGCTCTTTTAAGCACTCCTTTTTAGTTATCCCCACCTGCCCAGTTCCCTTATTAGGCTGAGACACTTTAACTAAATTATCTGCTTCCCTGACTATTCCTGGACTACAGCTATATCTCATTGCCGCCCTTCTTCCCAATCCAAAGCCTCCTTTCGTTCTCCTCTCGTATCCTCCCACCTTAACCCACAAGTATAAGATACCTCTACTCCCTCCTTGGCGACCGATCATGCACCCCTTACCATCTCATTAAAACCTAATCACCCTTACCCCACTCAACGCCAATATCCCATCCGACAGCACACTTTAAAAAGATTAAAGCCTGTTATCACTCACCTGCTACAGCATGGCCTTTTAAACCCTATAAACTCTCCTTACAATTCCCCCATTTTACCTGTCCTAAAACCAGACAAGCCTTACAAGTTAGTTCAGGATCTGCGCCTTATCAACCAAATTGTTTTGCCTATCCACCCTGTGGTGCCCAACCCGTACACTCTTTTGTCCTCAATACCTTCCTCCACAACTCACTATTCCGTGCTTGATCTTAAAGATGCTTTTTTCACTATTCCCCTGCACCCCTCGTCCCAGCCTCTCTTTGCTTTCACTTAGACTGACCCTGACACCCATTAGGCTCAGCAAATTACCAAGGCTGTACTGCCGCAAGGCTTCATAGACAGCCCCCATTACTTCAGTCAAGCCCAAATTTCATCCTCATCTGTTACCTATCTCGGCATAATTCTTGTAAAAACATACATGCTTTCCCTGCTGATCGTGTCCGATTAATCTCCCAAACCTCAATCCCTTACAAAACAACAACTCCTTTCCTTCCTAGGCATGGTTAGTGTGGTCAGAATTCTTACACAAGAGCCAGGACTGCACCCTGTAGCCTTTCTGTGCAAACAAGTTGACCTTACTGTTTTAGCCTAGCCCTCATGTCTGCGTGCAGCAGCTGCCACTGCTTTAATACTTTTGGAGGCCCTCAAAATCACAAACTATGCTCAACTCACTCTCTACAGTTCTCATAACTTCCAAAATCTATTTTCTTCCTCATACCTGACGCATATACTTTCTTCTTCCCAGCTCCTTCAGCTATACTCACTCTTTGTTGAGTCTCCCACAATTACCATTGTTCCTGGCCCAGACTTCAATCCGGCCTCCCACATTATTCCTGATACCACACCTGACCCCCATGACTGTATCTCTCTGATCCACCTGACATTCACCCCATTTCCCCAAATTTCCTTCTTTCCTGTTCCTCACCCTGATCACACTTGATTTATTGATGGCGGTTCCACCAGGCCTAATCACCACACACCAGCAAAGGCAGGTTATGCTATAGTACAAGCCACTAGCCCACCTCTTAGAACCTCTCATTTCATTTCTATCGTGGAAATCTATCCTGAAGGACATAACTTCTCAGTGTTCCATCTGCTATTCTACTACTCCTCAGGGATTATTCAGGCCCCCTCCCTTCCCTACACATCAAGCTCAAGGATTTGCCCCACCCAGGACTGGCAAATTAGCTTTACTCAACATGCCCTGAATCAGATAACTAAAATACCTCTTAGTCTAGGTAGATACTTTCACTGGATAGGTAGAGGCCTTTCCTACAGGGTCTGAGAAGGCCACCGCAGTCATTTCTTCCCTTCTGTCCGACATAATTCCTCAGTTGAGCCTTCCCACCTCAATACAGTCTGATAACAGACGAGCCTTTATTAGTCAAATCAGCCAAGCAGTTTTTCAGGCTCTCTGTATTCAGTGAAACCTTTATATCCCTTATGGTCCTCCGTCTTCAAGAAAAGTAGAATGGACTAAAGGTCTTTTAAAAACACACCTCACCAAGCTCAGCCACCAACTTAAAAAGGACTGGACAATACTTTTAACACTTTCCCTTATCAGAATTCAGGCCTGTCCTCGGAATGCTACAGGGCACAGCCTATTTGAGCTCCTGTATAGACGCTCCTTTTTATTAGGCCCCAGTCTCATTCCAGACACCAGACCAACTTAGACTATGCCCCTAAAAAAACTTGTCATCCCTACTATCTTCTGTCTAGTCATACTGCTATTCACCGTTCTCAACTACTCATACATGCCCTGCTCTTGTTTACACTGCCGGTTTACACTGTTTTTCCAAGCCATCACAGCTGATATCTCCTCATGCTATCCCCAAACTGCCACTCTTAACTCTTGAAGTAAATAAATAATCTTTGTTGGCAGGACTATGCTGAATCTCCTTAGGCACTCTCTAATCAGATATCCTGAATCGTCCCAATTCTTAGACCTTTTATACCTGTTTTTCTCCTTCTGTTATTCCATTTAGTTTCTCAATTCATCCAAAACCATATCCAGGCCATCACCAATCATTCTATACGACAAGTGTTTCTTCTAACATTCCCACAATATCACCCCTTACCACAAGACCTCCCTTCAGCTTAATCTCTCCCACTCTAGGTTCCCACACTGCCCCTAATCCTGCTTGAAGCAGCCCTGAGAAACATCACCCATTCTCTCTCCATACCACCCCCCAAAAATTTTCGCCACCCCAACACTTCAACACTATTTTGTTTTATTTTTCTTAGTAATATAAGAAGGCAGGAATGTCAGGCCTCTGAGCCCAAGCCAAGCCATCACATCCCCTGTGACTTGCATGTATATGCCCAGATGGCCTGAAGTAACTGAAGAATCACAAAAGAAGTGAATATGCCCTGCCCCACCTTAACCTATGACATTCCACCACAAAAGAAGTGTAAATGGCTGGTCCTTGCCTTAACTGATGACATTACCTTGTGAAAGTCCTTTTCCTGGCTCATCCTGACTCAGAAAGCATCCCCACAGAGCACCTTGCGACCCCCACTCCTGCCCGCCAGAGAACAAACCCCCTTTGACTGTAATTTTCCTTTACCTACCCAAATCCTATAAAACAGCCCCACCCTTATCTCCCTTCGCTGACTCTCTTTTCGGTCTCAGCCCATGACTCTCTTTTCGGACTCAGCCCGCCTGCACCCAGGTGAAATAAACAGCCATGTTGCTCACACAAAGCCTGTTTGGTGGTCTCTTCACACGGACGCGCATGAAAGAGCCCACGATCTTCCTTTCAGGTTGATGCCCATCCTGATCATATCTATAACCAAAAAGGCATCCTTATATGATGGCTTTGCTTGGGCTTAGAGGCCTGACATTCTTAACTCCAGTTTCTCTTGTTAATATTTGTATATGTTTTGTCAACATCTGCCCCTGTATTTAGTGACCTCTAAAAACATTCCTCACCAGTTAAAAAGAGGCATAACTATGTAAACCAAAAATAAAATTATAAGCCTCCCAACCAACTGAATGGACTCACTTCTTGACCAAATGGATCCCAAAGAAACCTGAAAAACTAGTTCAGGCCATGATGGGAAGGGAGGTCAGACATGCCTCATTATACCCTCTCTCTATGGTGTTTAGAAACAACTGACCAACATTAACATTAAAATAGAGATCCTAAGACTAACAGAACAGACTCTTTGTAGCAAACAGATACCAAATTCCAACCTGTTTCCTGTATAGCCTCACACAACAGATAGCAGGCCCTGAAGGCAATAAAAATATTTTACCCCAAAATATATTTCTTCGACAGTTTGAAATGGCTCTGTAAAGCTGTCTTGTGGGTAAAATTTGCATTCTGTGGAGAATCTCCTCCCTTTTCTAGGTGTTTTCCAAGTCTGATACCTTTTAAATTCCGAAAAGAGACATTCATAGGCCGGGCGCGTTTGCTCACACTTGTAATCCTAACACTTTGGGAGGCCGAGGCGGGTGGGTCATGACATTGGGAGTTCGAAACCAGCCTGGCCAAGATGATGAAACCCCGTCTCTACTAAAAATACAAAAATTAGCTGGGTGCAGTGGCAGGCACCTGTAATCGCAGCTACTTGGGAGGCTGAGGCAGGAGAATCGCTTGAACCCGGGAGGCGGAGGTTGCAGTGAGCCAAGATAGTGCCATTGCACTCCAGCCGGGGCAACAAGCAAGACTCTGTCTCAAAAAAAAAAAAAAAAGGGACATTTACATTGCCCATCTATTCTCTCTGAAGCCTGCTACTTACAGACTTCATCTACGTGACAAGAACCTTGTCTTCCACAACCACAATGCCCTTTATCTTTTTTTTTTTTAAGAGCTAACTCTTATAACCAGTTGTCAATCAGAGAATCTTTTATCCACCTATCACCTGTAATACCCACCATCCACACCTCTTTTCCTACTTCCAGATGTCTCACAGTTCTAGGCCAAATCAATGTGTGCCTTACATGTATTGATTTATATCTTTGCCTGTAACTTCTGTCACCCTAAAATGTATAAAATCAAACTGTAACCTCACTATTTTGGGCACATATTCTCAGGACCTCTTGAGGTTGTACCCCGGGCCATGGTCACTCATATTTAGCTCAGAATAAAACTCTTTAAATATTTTACAGAGTTTGACTTTTTTTTTGCTCAACAACTATAGACACTCAAAATTCTTTAAAATTCTCTGGCTCTCTAGAAGTGAGATGTTTCAAATGATCATTATTTTTTGTTTTCTTCCTCATTGTTCACTTTAAGATGATTTTTAAGTATATAAACTACAAAAATGTTATATATAAATTAGCTCTGCACTGATATTTACTATTATCTTGAAAATTATATTGCCTTTTAATTGCATGTCAGATATTTTGCATAGCACATGTGACTAAAGTGTATCTTTTTGCTAATTGCATACTGATTCTTTTGGTTGTTTTGGCTTCTGAATGTACTGAATTTATCTTAACTAAATTTATCTCTATGCTCTTCTTGATGACATCGTTAATATATCTGTTTCAGATAAAACAACAACTCTGCCCCACTTCCTCAGACTCAACTTTAAGATAGTGTTTTCTATTTTATTACCTAAGGCACGAATAAGAGTCTTAAAAATGTTTCCATTACTTTTGTTAAAGCTTTACTTAAAATAGCTAAATAATAGAAAAAAAAAACAGACAAAAATGTAAACCAAATATAGCTATGTTTTTATTAGGTATTTTTGTTATTTCCTGAAGAAACTCAGTTTGGATTTCAAAGGCTTTGCTGAATCATATATACTATTTCTGAATGCATTCTTAAGGGAGGACAAAGAAAGAATTTACCCTACGCAACAAACAACAAATATCTTCAGTATTTGTTCTACTTCTCTTTGCAAGTCCCACATCACAGGCAGCTAACTCTAGTATTTCTTGTCTCTCTCTCCTTGATAAAACTTTAGCCAACTTTAGTGAGTTCTCCTGTTTGGCTTTCCTTTCCCTTTCTTTTCCTAACTCTACTTTCTCACCCGTCCCAGTTTCCTGGTCACCATGCACTGGGACCACACAGAAAGAGTTCAGAAATAGTCAAACAAAACAAAATGGCCCGAAGAAACCAAAAAAAAAAAAAAAAAAAAAGGGAAAGCTTTTGGATGCTTGTATTTGATATTTTTGACTCTGTCTCATTCATATAAACAGTCAAAGTAAATTATGGTGAGCTCATTTGAAGAAATATAATCCAATTATAAAGGTAATTATTATGAACACTATATAACCACACAGATAAATGTTTATGGTATAATCTCAAAGGAAAGAAAAGGACAGATTTTAGAACAGAATATTTACCTACAAAGATTGTAAAATAAATAAATATATATACTGTTAGGGTAAAAAATGTTCATTAACAGGTGAATAGACAAATTATGCTATAGGCACACACTGTAATGCTACTCAGCAATACATAAAAATACACACAAACACATACATGCCTATTGATATGGTTTGACTCTGTGTCCCTACCCAAATCTCATCTCAAATTGTAATCCCCATGTGTTGAGGGCGGGGTCTGGTGAGAGGTGATTAGATCATGGGGGCAGTTTCCCCCATGCTGTTTCATGATAGTGAGTGAATTCTCATGAGATCTAATGGTTTTATAAGGGGCTCTTCCCCCTTTGCTCATTTGCTCTCTCTTCCCTGCTGCCATGCAAGACATGCCTTTCCTTCTCTCTTGCCTTCTGCCATGACTGTAAGTTCCCTGAGGCCTCCTCAGCCATGTGGAACTGTGAGTCAACTAAACCTCTTTCCTTTATATATTACCCAGTCTCAGACAGTTCTTTATAGCAGTGTGAAAATAAACTAATACACGCACATACAGGAAATAAAAAATAAAATAAATCCAACAGAGAGACTAATGAACAAAATTACACATAAGTCTCAAATCTAACTCAATTTTTCAGCAGTCAGTATAATAATAATGACCCATTCCACAGCTCAATGTAATAATCAGATACAATTAATTAGTGTCTTAAGTGAAACACAAATCCTAAAAATGACATAAAAGAAAAAAATTGTCTTATAGGTCACATTTGATATCATGTTATCAATATAAGAACATCCTCAACAGCATACATTTCTTAGAGACAAGTACACATTTTACATGAGAGTTTTTGAAAAAGTTCCTCCGATTATGTCAAAGTAAATTCAGAAAAATAGAAATTAAAAGTCAGGGGATGAAGTATGGTGGTGTTTGATGAGTTGCAGAGAAATGATGAGGTCCACATCTGTAGCAGATGACTAACATTGTAGTTTAAGGTAAGCCACATTGTAATGCTTTTTAGAGGAACAAGTAGATTTTAGATGCATTGGTCAATCAACTGGATTTGATGGACATTAAGTATCAGTTCTATTCCCTGACAAGCATCTGAGATACAGATATTCTACACTGTCAGTAACATACAAAGCCATAAACTTTACAAACAGGTTGAGTTGAAGTAGATTAAGATTCTTTTGTTTGAAAACAGTAGGATTTAAAAATGTTTTGCTCCTAGGCAAAACACTAGCTGCAAGTAGTGCAAATATATATATACACACTCATAAAATAATCTTGCATCTAATCTTTTCATGTACATGAATTTTAATGGGAGAAATGTCTCTTAAAGATAAAATAGTGGAAGCTGGAGAAGGCAAGGAGACACTTCAGAATGATGCAGGTCTAACATGGGTACAAGAGAAGCAAGGCACAAGGATTAGGTAGGAAGAGTTTTAGACTAGTGAACAGTCCAAGAAAGTTTTGTCTAAACCAATAAAGAATCCTAGATCTCAAGTTCCCATTTAAAGAGGTCCCATATCCTATATAAATAGACCAGCGTTAGTATTCTCACTAGGCTCAGAAACTGACTGGGAGCTGTCTGTAGAAGCATGTCTTCAGTGTAAATGCAGTGGTTAATTCAAAAGGATCACATATGAGACCATCAGTCCATTACATTCTCTGCAGCAGAATATATATGAGTGGGACATTTTCATGTCCACTACAGGAGGCTTGTTATGTATGTGGAAAACATATTTCTTGTGATTGGCAACATAAATAATACAAGTTTGCAGTATGAATTAATACTATCTGTGTGTTGTAAAATCAACTTCTAAGGGTAAACTTAAAATGTTTACTGGTAGGTAGACTCTCAGTCAAGTAGAGAAGAAAATGTAAATCTTCTCTGGAATAATATAACTTAAAACAGGCTTCATTAAATTTCATTTTAAAGAAAAGTAACACAATCAAAATCACAAGGTACACAAATGAGTAAGGAACCATGAGTGTAAGCCTGTAGAAACAACACACAGTAGAAGATAATATTTAAGAATAAATTTAGGTTGTATGCAGTGTCTCACATCTGTAATCTCAACACTTTGGGAGGGTGAGATGGGAGGATCACTTGAGCCTAGGAGTTCAAGACCAGCCTGGCCAATATAGCAGGACCCTTTCTCTAGAATTTTTTTTTTAGTTAGCCAGGTATGGTGGCACAAACCTGTAGTCCCAGCTACGTGAGAGGCTGAGATGGGAGGATCACTTGAGTCGTCAAGGTTGAGGCTGAACTGAGCTGTGATGGTGCCACTGTACTCCAGCCTGGGCAACAGAGAGAGACCTTGTCTCAAAAAAAATTAATAAATATAAATAAATGAACTTAGATATTAAAACTATTAGAAAACAAGATATGAGATAATTACATTTAATGTGTTTAAAATATAAAAGAGATAAAAATATGCATAAGATATAGAATATTATAAATATAAAAGATTGAAAAAATAATAACTCTAAAATTGGAAAATAATTTTTAAAACTCAATCGATAGATTAAAGTAGGTGTCAGCAAACTATGGCCCATGGGCTAACTGCCTGTTTTTGTAAATCTGTTTTATTAAACACAGTCATGCCCATTTGTTTATCTATCATCTATGGCTGCTTTCATGCTACAGTGGCAAAATAGCGTGGTGGCAACAGAGACCACAGAAGCCAGAAGCCTGACAGACAAGTTGACACTCTGGTACTTTTAATAAAAAGACTCCTGGATTAAACAGATGATTAGATTCAGCTGAAGAATTAGTTCATTGGAAGAAAGGGTTAAAGAAATTATCCTGCATGCAACACAGAAGAGACAAAGACATGGAATATATATGAAAGGGTTGATATACAGGGATGATAAAAACAAAAGAAAATATCATATACCTAAATGAAGTTCAGAGGGAGGAAAGGAGAAAGAATGGGGAAAAGGTCCTATTAAAAGAGAAAATGGCTACAAGTATTTTCATAGTTATTCAAAGAAAACAATTCTTAGCTCTGAGATTTCCAAGAAATCACAGGAAGACACATGAGAGATCACCAAAGAAAATATTTCTTCAAACAAGCCAAAGAGAAATGAGAGATCAACTACAAAAGAATTGCAATCTGAAAGAGGAGAGACTTCTCAGTAACAATAAAAACAGAAGACAATGGAATCATAGCTCCCATGTGCTAAGATAAAATATCAGGGAATATAGAATTCTATACATAGCAAAATTAGATTTTGGTAATAAGGACAAAAGAAAAACCAGGTAATATAGTTCAGGTGAGGAATATGATGACTGATAAAAAAAGAATATTGAACAAAAACTTTGGTTAATATGGGGTAAATCTAAACAAACTTTGAATGTAATAGAAATAATAATTATGTTTAACATATACTAGGGGCCAAAAATCAGACTAAAACATTTCTTGAAACATACTTGAAATCATAGCATATGACAGCATTTAATATGAGAGACGCTAATGGGTCTTAAAGTATTCTAAGATCATTGATTTTCAAGAAGAAAATAAAAACGGTTTAATTTTAGATTTTGCTAATTTAATTATAAGTGTAAAAAAGAGCCAGAAACCATAAATTAATGGCATACAACACTTAACTTCAAAACAAGTAAAAAAATAGAATGAGAAAAAGGGAAAAATAAGTCAGGAAACATGCTAGTGAAAGAAACAGGAAAATGAGTTTGCTTAGTTAAAAGCATGTGATAAGATAGGAGTAATGAATCCAATTATCAATCATATCAATCATGATAAATATAAGTGGACTAAACTCTCCAATTAAAAAGCAGGTTTTCAATGGCCAGGCATGGTGGCTCACACCTGTAATCCCAGCACTTTGGGAGGCTGAGGCTGGAGCGTTGAGGCCAGAAGTTTGAGATTATCCTAGCCAACATAGCAAGACCATATCTCTATTTTTTTTTAATTCAAACTGCAATTTAAAAAATAAAATTCTGTCATATTCTGTTTATGCTGTTGATAACTAAAACATAAGAAGAAATTTTGAAATCAAAGGGCTGAAAAACATAAAGGGAATAGTATCTATCCAAAAGAAAGCTATGTAGTTATATTAATATCATGAAAAAAATACAATTTGAGGCAAAAACCAATATTGGAAATATAAAGGCAATTCATAAACATAAAGGTTGCAATTTACTAGGATGATCTGGTAATTATAAACTTGCAATTATTTAATAACATAGTTTCAAAATATATAATGACAAATTTAACATAACTACAAAAATAAATGGTCAAAGCAATATTTCTTATGGCAATTTTAAACATGTTTCTCTCAGTAAACCATGGATCAAGCAAAACAAAAATCTAAAATGATATTATTTGAATGTCAAATTGTAAAGCCTAAAATAATATATGGATAATAAACATTGGGCTTATCAGAAAACATTATCTTCAAGTACATATGGAAAGACATTTGCAAAAATTGGCCATGTGCTAAGATTTAAAGCTATCCTTCAATTTCAGAAAATTTATATTGGTCAAACCAACTTCTGACCAGAGGGCAATTAAGTTCATTCAATAAAAAGCAGACAGAGAGCTTAGAAGATACAATCTCTTTGGAAATTTATATAGCATACTTTCAAACAAACCAAAAGTCAATGGGGAATAATGAAATATTGCAAATATTTAAAACTGAACAAAAGTAGAAATACTAAAGTAAAATATGTTAAATTTTCATAGTTTCTTAATCACGTAACCATGAGTGACTGAGCAACTATTAAAAGTAATGGCAAAAACTGCAATTACTTTTGCACCAAAGAATACTTTGTTGATTTAATTTAATTTTTACTGATTTGAAATTGAATTTAAATAGCCACATGTGGCTAGTGGCTACTGTATTGGACAACACAGATACAGTGTATTCCCACCATCATGAAAAGTTATATTGAACAGTCAGGATCAAGCACAGAGGCTGTGTTTGTGTGTAAGTGCGTGTAAGTGTGTGTGTGTGTGTGTTTCTGTAAAGAACCAGAATAATAGCTTGTTGTTCTTTTGGTCTCTGTTTCACTTTGCTCTTGTAATACAAAAGCAACCATAGAGAATACAAAAATGAATAGGAGTGGCTGTGCTAAAATAGATTTTGTCTATTTGTTTTGGTTTAGTTTGAGACAGGGTCTCACTCTGTCCCCCAGGCCTGACTGCAGTGGCACAACCACATCTCTCTGCAGCCTCAGTCTCCCAGGCTCAAGCAATCCTCCCACCTCAGCCTCCCAAGTAGCTGGGACTACAGGGGTGCACCACCACATCCAGTTAATTTTTGTATTTTTTGTAGAGGTGGGGTTTTGTCATGTTGCCCTGGATGGTCTCGAATTCCTGAACTCAAGGGGTCAGGAGTTCCAGATCAGCCTGGGAAACATGGCAAAACCTATCAGCCTTGGCCTCCCGAAGTGCTGGGATTACAGGCTTGAGCCACCATGACCAGCCTAAAATAAAATTTTATTTCCAAAAAGGCATCCAGGCAACAGACTGTAGTTTGCCAACTCCTGGTCTTAGAAGAATATGACAGAGGATAGCAGTCTTCCTCAGTTCTCAGTACTCCGGGTAAGGATCTAGTATTGTTTATCTAACACAGTGACAAAAATTTGAGTTTGTAATTTTTGTTATTTAGTTGCTATACACCACTGGATAGCAAAGAAAGAAAAAACATAACCTGTTCTACTCTCCCGTCTCCCAAAAAATGACTCTGAGAAATGAATTCCTTTAAGAAGAAATACAATCTCAAGGAAAAGAACTCAAAATGAAATAGTCTAAACAACCTTGTAACTTCTCTAATATTGGAATATTCTCTGTTTTCCAAATCCAAATCAAGCTTGATTGTGTCATCACTAGAATCTGAAGTAGAACCCTCTATCAGCTTCTTGTATCTCACATGCTTTTCAAACAAACATGTATCTTCTCTATTGAATGATAATATGGTAAGCTAGTTGGTTGATGTCAGCCTGGACAGTTTAGATTTACTTTTGCTGTATAGTAATAAAAGAAGAAAGGTAGAAAAGATGAAACAAAAGTAAACAAGAATGTTATCCTCTGGGATATTCACTGTGGAGAGATTACCACTGAGGTAAGTCACTGACCTATGTTGAAGAGTTACTCCTGAGAAGTATGGGGCTGTTGTTAGGAAACAACACATCCTTGTAAGGTGTAGGTGGAAGAAGCCTAGGAAGAAACCTGAGAGTGAGAGTTCAGTGAGATAGGAGACAAGGCAAAAAGTAACCTGTCTTTATGGCCCTCTAGCCTTTCCCCACTGGGGCCTAAATGTCTATTGTGGTTTCAGACATAGATAAGGAAGCTGTTTCAGATCACCTGCGCTCTCAACCTTCTTCCCCATTTGTTGAATCTGCCCCTATTCCAAACACCTGGTAATTTGACCTTGGTTTTTATTTTCATTTATTTATTTATTTATTTGTTTGTTTATTTTAGAGATGAGTTCTCACTATGTTGCCAAGACTGGTCTTGAACACCTAGTCTTAAGCGATCCTCCTACCTTGGACCCCCAAAGCGCTGGGATTACAGGTGTGAGCCGCTGCGCCCAGCTTAACTCCAGTTTTTATGTGTTCCCTCTTTTCAAAGTTCTGTTTTATTTTGCATAACCAGTTTTCTGACTCCTAATATCCCTGATTCAATTTAGCACGAAGAACTGAGCTCTTTTTCTCTGAAAATTAATAGTGCAGTGAGTACCTCTGCATGGATTATTGTTACTTATTAAAACACAGCTTTCTCTGGACCTGTCTAATTATTTCTACCTACTGGTAATGATTCTCTACTTAAATTCCATGGGCTAGCAACGTAGAAACACTCTCAACATTTCACTTAACAAATTTCTCATCAAAACTGAGATTCTTAGCTAAGCCAATAATTATTCTTCATCTTGAAACAACAAACAGGATACCAGACATTCATTACTTTGCTAATAGCTGTTTCCTATTTATACACCAGCTCTTTTTATTTTTTTTTCCTTTACTACAAACAGCAACAGATGCACAAAATATTTTGGCAATATTATCACTAAAAATATAATTTTCACTGGTGATAAAATATGTCGAAATTTTTATCTTTGAGTAATGGAACTGATTAATTTTTTGTTGTTGCTCCTTTTCATGGACTTTCTACATTTCTCTATACAAATCAAGTGTTACTTTTGTCATGGAGGGAAAAAGTAAAGTAGTCTTAATTTTAAAAAAAAAAAAGGTCAAAAATCTGTGGTCAATATTTGTATATTGATATATCTAGTTGTTCTAATGCTACCTTTTAAAAATGTGTGTACTACCAGAAGAAAAAGGCCTATCTTGAGAAGAATAATGGAAGCTGGCAGGCATGTCTAAGTATATAAAATCTGACTTTATTTTCAGTTTTTTTCAACCATAGGTACAAATGTAGGAAAATTAAACAAATTCAGTAAGTTTCCTTCATTTTGTCTTTAAAAGCCACAAATTTGCCAGAATGTTTTTGTTGCTGTTGTTGTTTTTATAACAGGTTGCTTCGAAATGGCATTTCTTAATTCGGCAGAAGTGGTTTTCTAAACATACCTCTATGTGTGCTCTTAAGTGCACCTATATGTAGTATACCAAGAAAAATATTATAAAACGCAGAAAAGTTCTGCTTCATAGAGTGTTTTATGCTTATCAGTAGCTAATCAAAAGTTTCAACTTTCCCTTAGAATGCTATAGAGAAAAACAATAGGGAATATCCTCCAGTTCCCAAAAATATAATCCATACTTTTTTACTTTGAATAAATTGCAGATGTTTTTCCCAAAGCAAAATATGTATTCTTCAGAGCTAATCAAGGTATACCTCATGAATTTTCTAATGGAGAAAATTGTGTTTAATAAAGCCTAAAGAAAATTACTCACATAGAGTAATTGTGCGGCCCCACTCAGGAAACCATGCTTTTCCCATGTATCTTTGCAACCCACAGATCAGGAGATCCCCTCATAAGCCCATGCCACCAGAAGACAGAAAATTAACAAAGATATTCAGGACTTGAACACAGCTCTGGATCAAGTGGTCCTGATAGATATCTACAGAACTCTCTACTCCAAAACAACAGAATATACACTTCTTCTAATTGCCACATGACACTTACTCTAAAATTGATAACATAATCAGAAGTAAAACACTGCTCAGCAAGTGCAAAAGAACTGAAATCATAGTCTCTCAGACCACAGAGCAATCAAAATAGAACTCAAGATTAAGAAACTCACTCAAAACCACACAACTACATGGAAATTGAACAACTTTCTCCTGATTGACTCCTGTGTAAATAATGAAATTAAGGCAGAAATCAGGAAGTTCTTTGAAACTAATGAGATCAAAGAGACAACATACCAGAACCTCTGGGTCACAGCTAAAACAATATTAAGGTGGAAATTTACAGCACTAAATGCCCACATCAAAAAGCTAGAAAGATCTCAAATCAACAACCTAACATCACAGCTAAAAGAAGTAGAGAACCAAGAGCAAACAAACCCGAAAGCTAGCAGAAGACAATAAATAACCAAGATCAGAGTGGAATTGAAGGAGATAGAAACACAAAACACCTTTAAAAAAAATCAATGAATCCAGGAGCTGGTTTTTTGAAACAATTAATAAAATAGATAAGCCGCTAGCTAGACTAATGAAGAAAAGATAGAAGACTCAAATAGATACAATCAAAAATGATAAGGGGGATATCACCCCTGACCCAAATAAATACAAACAACCATTAGAGAATACTATAAAAAACTCTTTGCACATAAACTAGAAAATCTAGAAGAAATGGACAAATTCCTGGATGCATGCACCCTCCCCAAACTGAACAAGTAAGAAATTGAATCCCTGAATACAACAATAAGGAATTCTAAAACTGAGACAGTAATAAATAGCCTAACGACAACAACAACAACAAATCCCAGGACAGTACAGATTTAGAGCTGAATTCTACCAGAGGTACAAAAAAGCACTGGTACTATTTCTACCAGAACTATTCCAAACAATTGAAAAGGAGGGGCTTCTTCCTAACTCATTTTATGTGGCCAGCATCATCTTGATACCAAACCTGGCAGAGATACAACAAAAAATGTAGACTTCAGGCCAATATTCATGATGAACACTGATGCAAAAATTCTTCATAAAATTCTGGCAAACCAAATCCAGCAGCATATCAAAAAGTTTATCCACCATGATCAAGTTGGCTTCATCCCTGGGATGCAAGGTTGATTCAATACACACAAATTAATAAAAATAATTGACCTAATAAACAGAACTAAAGACAAAAACCACATGATTATCGCAATAGACACAGAAAAGGCATTCAATAAAATTCAATGTCCCTTCATGTCAAAAAATGTCAATAAACTATGTATTGAAGGAACATACCTCAAAATAATAAGAGCCACATATGACAAACCCACAGCTAACATCATACTGAATGGGCAAAGCTGGAAGCAGTCTCATTGAAAACCAGCACAAGACAAGAATGCCCTCTCTCATCACTCCTATTCAACATAGTATTGGAAGTTCTGGTCAGGGCAATCAGGCAAAATAATGAAATGAAGGGTATGAAATAGGAAGAAAAGAAGTCACATTACCATTTTTTTGCAGATGATATGATCCTATATCTAGAAAACCATGTCATCTCAGCCTAAAAGCTTCGTAAGCTGATAAGCAGCTTCAGCAAAGTCTTAGAATACAAAACCAATGTGAAAAAATTGCTACCATTCCTGTACACCAACAACAGGCAAGCAGAGAGCCAAATCATGAATCAACTCCCATTTACAATTGCTACAAAAAGAATAAAACACTTAAGAATACAGCTAACAAGGGAAGTGTAGGACCTCTTCAAGGAGAACTACAAACCACTGCTCAAGGAAATCAGAGAGGACACAAGCAAATGGAAAAACATTCTATGATCATGGATAGGAAGAATCAATATTGTGAAAATGGCCATATTGCCCAAAGTAATTGATAGATTCAATGCTATTCCCATTAAACTAGCATTAACATTCTTCACAAAAGTAGAAAAAACTATTTTAAAATTTTATAAAACCAAAAAAGAGCCTGAATAGCCAAGACAGTCCTATGCAAAAAGAACAAAGCTGGAGGCTATCCAACTTCAAACTACACTACAAGGCCACAGTAACCAAAACAGCACGATAGTAGTACAAAAACAGACATACAGACCAATGGAACAGAATAAAGAACTCAGAAATAAGACTGCACACCTACAACCATCTGTTCTTTGACAAACCTAACAAAAACAAGCAATGGGGAAAAGATTCTGTTATTTAATAAATGATGCTGGGAGAACTGGCAAGCCATATGTGGAAAATTGAAAGTGGATCCCTTCCTTTTACACTATAAAAAAATTAACTCAAGATGGATTAAAGACTTAAATGTAAAACCCAAAACCATAAAAACCCTAGAAGAAAATCTAGACAATACCATTCCAGACATAAGCATGGGCAAGGATTTCATGGTGAAAACATCAAAAGCAATTGCAACAAAAGTAGAGGTTGACGAATGGAATCTAATTAAACTAAAGAATTTCTGCACAGCAAAAATTATCATCTGATTGAACAGACAACCTACAAAATGGGAGAAATTTTTTACAATCCATCCATCTGACAAAGCTCTAATATCCACAGTCTACAAATAACTTAAACAAATTTACAAGAAAAAGACAATCAGCCCCATTAAAAAGTGGGCAAAGGACATGAACAGACACTTCTCAAGATAATACATTCATGTGGCCAACAAACATTTGAAAAAAAATCTCAACATCACTGATCATTAGATAAATGCAAATCAAAACAACAATGAGATACCATCTCATGCCAGTCAGAATGTCAGTTATTAAAAAGTCAAGATACAACAGATGCTGGTGAAGTTGCAGAGAAAAAGGAATGCTTTTACACTGTTGGTGGGAGTGTAAATTAGTTAAGCCATTGTGGAAGACTGTGTGGTGATTCCTCAAAGGCCTAAAAACAGATATACCATTTGACCCAGCAATCCCATTACTGGGTATATACCCAAAGGAATATAGATCATTCTATTACAAAGATACATGCACATGTATGTTCACTGCAGCACTGTTCACAATAGCAAAGACATGAAATCACCCAAATGCCCATCAATGACATACTAGATAAACAAAATATGGTACATATATACCATGGAATACTATGCAGCTATAAAAAGGAACGAGATCATGTCCTTTGCAGGGACGTGAATGGAGCTGGAAGCCATTATCCTCAGCAAACTAATGGTGGAACAGAAAACCAAACACCACATGTTCTCACTTGTAAGTGGGAGTTGAATGATGAGAACACATAGACACATGAAGGGGAACAAAACACCCTGGGGCCTGTTGGGGCGGGTGGGGGTAGGGAGAGCATCAGGAAGAATAGCTAATGGATGCTGGGCTTAATACCTAGGTGGTGGGTTGATCTGTGCAGCAAACCACCATGGCACACATTTACCTATGCAACAAACCTACACATCCTGTACAAGTAGTTCAGAACTTAAAATATAAGTTAAAGAAAAAAATTACTCACATAAAGATAGATGTACTAATTAATGTAGGAGGAAGAGTTAGATTGTATGTATCTTTAAATGTGATACTACATGCTATAAATTCTTCAATAGAGAAACTGAGTTTCTTTTTTACTGGTTCAAAATGCCAATATTGAATCCACATTGCCATCATCAATGTGGAGATGAATGTTGAGTGCCCTACTCATTCTTAGAAGAGTTGTAGAACTATCTCAGAATTGTCTGGAAGGTTTTCAGTGCCCTTGATAAATGCACGTTTCCCAAACTTTAGGAGGAAACAGAAGCAGGTGTATGGTATGAGCAGGAGAAAAAAAGGAGCTACAGTTCCAGGGACAGATGTTCTGGGAAATTATATTTTAATACGGAGAAGAATCTTCAAAAGAGAGGAAGATGTGATCCAGTATTAATGTATTCGTCATTCTTTGCCAAGAATCAAACATTGCAGTTTTCCTTCGTGCCCTTGCTTATCTGAGCTTTCTGCCTGTTTGTATTTCACTATTTAATGCTTTAACCTGTGGTTTTAGACCCCGTCTTTCCTTTGCTCCATTATCCTAAAGTAATTTTGTAAATGTTTTGATGTTACCAGATGTGTGAGATGAATTGCTTCCCCACAAAAATTCATATGTTGAAGTCCTAACCCTCAGACCTCAGAATGTGACTAGATTTGCAGATAGTGTCTTTAAAGATTAGGTGTCATAGGGAGTGGGCACTAATCCAAAATGACTGGTGTTCTCATAAGAAAGAAAATCCAGACACAGACATGTACAGAAGGAAGACTTGTGAAGACATAGGGAGAAGATATAGGGACAAGAGGGCCATCTACAAGTCAAAGAGAGAGGCCTGAAACAGACCCTTTCCTCACAGCCATCAAAAAAGAACAAACCTTTCTGACACTTTGATCTGATTCCAGCATCCAGAACTATAAGAAAGTGAATTTTGTTGTTTACACTGCCAAGTCTCTGGTACTTTTTAACAATAGCCCTAGCAAATTAATGTTTCAGATTTTCTGATTTACTAAAATTTTCATGCCGTAGATTGCTCAACCTAAGAGGATCCAGTTGTCAAAATTGCCTTAATTTCTGGAAGTGTTGGAGTTAAGTTTAGGAGTCTGGACGTGATGAGTGGTTTGGGGAAGAAGGCACAATTCTGCCCCAAGATGGACAAATTCTACATGTCATCTGCTATGTGAACATGATAGTGAAAGGCTGTCCAAGAGACAGCAAAAATAAACCAGAAGTTTTACCATATGTTCCTATTATACATGAAGAAAAAGTGTCTTCTGCGAGACCCAAAAGGAGCAAATCTTAGAGAGCTTCTACTTATTCCCTTTAGTGGGTAATATTGAAATGCACTTCTTCTGAATTTAAAAGAAGGTAAGGTCTTGGAAAATAGTTACTAATTCCAAATAAATTAAAACCTAAAAGAGTACTTAAAATGAGAAAAACCAGGCCATCCTACATTCTGGTAAGTTGAGAAAAATGGTTGTTTTTGTCTTTTTTGTTTATTATATTTAAAAGCAATGAGAGGCCTATAAAAAAAAGAAAAAATATTTGCTTATTAAGTAAATCAGAAGGTCACTGACAATACTCAGTTAAACTAAACATTAGATTGTCACCGTTAACTACTTCTGTCTCCATCTTTAACATTGTAAGAACATTTACCTTGGAAGTTTTTTGGGAACTCTTACTGGCATTGCTGTATGTTGCTCTATGATTTATAGAAGGTGAAGCATAGAGCAATTTTGGTAATCTTTTTGTCAATGTCAAAGTCAACAACAGTCCCTAAATTAAGCAAATAAAAACACAGGATACCCAGATAAATTTGTATTTTACTTGTATTTATATTTTATGATCGTGTCTTCAGCGTAATTATGTCTCATGCACTATTTGGAGTACACTTACAAAAAGTTATTCCTTGGTTATGTTTCAAATGTATCTAGGCACTGTAGATGTTATCTGGCAACCCTGGGTATAACTTCCATTTTGACAGGAACGGTAATAGTCTCTCACTCTTTCTTACCAGGGTGCCTCTCTTTTATGTTAGTTGAGATTTTATAGCTTTACATCCAAAACTTAAAAAAATTACTCAGGAAATATTGGAATTTACAAAGCATTATCTCACATCAGCAGGATATTAAGTAGTATGTCACATGGCAACCAATGAGGTTGTTGCTATCAACTAATGAAGTGGTTTGGGGTGGAAAACCCTGTACATTTTAATGGGCAGTAATATCTCAATTCCCTAGGAAAGTTTGAGGCCAGCCTGGGCAACATAGTGAGACTTAATCTGTGAATGTTTTGTTGACTGAGCAAGCATGGGGTAAAGTCTGTGCTACCTGCCTGCATTAGTGGACCTTGGCTGGCCCAATTTCTTGATGACTCATTGATGGAAACTTTGGCCCTTCCTGACTTTAACTTTGCATCTACCCATGATTTTAGGATAATAGCAGGGTGGAAAAACCTCTCAGCGCTGTTATATTATTCAAGGCTACTTTAAACATGTTGAAATGGGTTCTTCATTTTTTTATAACCTATAAATATGTGTGTCAAAATAATTTTCCCATGAGAACAATGATAAAAGAGCTTATTGTTTCATTTTCAGGGGACTCTCCCAACTAGCTGGTTACTTGCCTATTTATAGGTTAACTTATGTAGTTCTCAAGATACATTTAACCTCTGCCACCACTCCTCCCCAACTAGAGTTGTTCTATGTTAAATGTTAGATTTCAAAGTTAAATTTAAGATTTGAGTAATACACCCTTATATTTATGTTTCTTAACTAACCTCCACGGCTTGGAAAAAATAAAGAGTGGAAAGGTTGTACACCATTCTGAAATACAACATCCCCACAAATGTACTCCAGAAAAAAAGCTCTATCTTCCAACTCTATTCCATAGTAAAAGTAACTGCTAAATGTTCTCTCAAACACTGTGTTAGGCTCTTTATAGACACAGGTATAATTCAATCTTCACAACATGTCTATAAGTTAAAAGTTATGATTGTAATTTTACATAAAATGAAATGAGACTAAGAGAGGATAAAGAGGTTAGAAAGTGGAGGAACCCTTATTTGAAAGCACATTTAACAGAAAAACCATGTTTGTCTGTCTGTCTCAAAAGTTTGGATTTTTAACTACTTCCTAGTGCTTTTTTTTTTTCTCCTGTATTAGATCCCAGACTTTGCAGGATCCTCTGCCCCAAACCATCAGCAATGATTTATAGTTGGGGGATTCTCCACTCCTGTTTTCTATCAGGTGGAGCAAAGAGAAAGGTGGTAAAATAGAAAAGAAAGTCTCAATCTCATCAAAATTGATGAAGAACATTTAAATTTCTTAAACTCTTACTCAGAGTAATATGGGGATGTCTGCTGGGTAAGATCTATAAGACCATTAGTACAGTATTAATGGTGAATTTTTTTAGGTATAACACATGTTAAACGAGCTTTTGGTATCAGGTGAGGAATCTACCTTAACTGCTAACATGCAAAGATAAGATCCACACTAAATACAAGTCAATAGTGTGGACCTTATAAATGGGGCGCCCCTTTGTGGAAATGAGAAAGTTATTTTGGCTTTATTCCCTCATTTTCTCAAAAAGTTAAATCAAGACCCCTGTCCTTTGTCCAAGCAATCAAATTAACACTAAATTGAAGTGTTGCATGGCCATCACAGCCACAAGTATGGCCTCACACATACCAGACCAAGAAGATGCCCACATCTGACCATGTCCTGGTTACATGAGGTCAAAAATAAAATTGGATTGGTTTTGAATATACATCAATAATTAAAAATATTGCAGGGTACACTCAACAATTTTAGTATTGAATTTTTGTCACATATCTATTTCTGAACTCTTTTTAAAAAAAAAATTATTTAATTTTTTATAGAGTTGAGGTCTTGCTATGATGCCCAGGCTGATCTTGAACTCCTAGGCTCAAAAATTTCTCCTACTGTGGCCTCCCATGTAGCTGGATCTATAGGAGTGTTAACCACACCCAGCCGTGAACTCTTTACAATCCATTCATAAGTTGTAGTCTGTTTGTTTATTTATGTAAATTGCTCTTGTTTGTTGCTCTTGTTTATTTATGTAAATTATGCAAGGTTTGGGTGTATGTTCATGAGTGTTCCTGTGTATAGAGGTAAGAAAAGACATTATAAATAAATGAAATTCCATGTTTGTAGGTATAAATAAAAGCAAAGGAGTTGGAGCCAGACTGAAATCAAGCTATGTCTCAACCACTGATTAGCTCTGCGATTTTGGGCAAGTTCCTGAGAAACTCTTTGTGCCTTAGCTAAAAGTTCCTCCTTATAACATTGTTGTGGGGAATAAATACAATAAAACATAAAGAATAAGTTTAATAGTGCCTGAGAATATAGTAAATGCTCAATAAATATTAGTATTATTGTTGTTGCTGCTCTTCTTGTTGTGTGACCTTATTTTCTGAGAGGCTTAATAAATGAAAAAGAGATGACCCAGATGTTTGTACCTATGCCCTGTGATGCTGTCTGGTTTTTGAAAAGTGTCCATTATGCTATGAAACCAGGATAATTTGTTACTTATTTGCATATGCACAGCAATTGAGAGACATGCAATCCAACAGACTAGGATTAAAATGCTTAAAAAGAGAATTGTGTCTTCAAAATGAACTGAAGATAGACTGAGAAGATGCGAACCACTGCCCAGAATATCTTGAAGACACAACCTTTATTAGCTTTCCTCTTTTCTGCTCACATCTTCTGGGAGATTGAAGAACATTACACTTGCATGCTCTCGGTCATTTTCTAACCCTTATTTAAATAAACTACCTAAGGTTATGTTACAATCTGTTAAAACATATTATTGTTGGATTATGAATATTAGGAACTTTGTAACAAAGTGGAAAGTCGAGGTTATATTTGGAGCTTCTAAATTATTGAATCTAGTGAATGATGAAATATAGGCTTCATCACTATCTCTTCAAAGATACCTCAAAGAATATTACAGAAAAAAAGTTATAACACAGACAGTGTGATTACTTTTTTACATTAATGAAAACCAAAATCAAGTTGAAATTCTGCATTAGCACTCAACAGGAATGCATTTTTTGCTAGATCTTTTTAGAGATTATTTCCTAATCATGTGTTACTATAACTAGGTAAATAACAGTATTTACTCAAATACAGCTATGTTTATTTTTCTGGGGTGGTACATTGAGCAACAACATATTTTTATCTTGTTTTTGATTACTTAAATATTGTACATCACACCTTGCTCTTCTCTCTCTGCCCCACCAGTCCCTCATGGCTATTTCATTGAATACTGATGGTGCCTGCAAGTAGCTTACCAGAATGGTTTATTTTCGTATTTTATAGATAAATACTAGGCACTGTTATATGAAAACAGAATGCCCAAATCTGGTTTCAATTCCAACATTCCATCTGTTGTTTAAATAGAAAGAAGTGGTCATTGGTACATCAATCTGTGGCATATTTCAATAAATGTAAAGGAAACATCTTCAGATGGTTGGTTGGATTAGAAATAAGAAGCAGTATGAAGAAGTGATGTCCTTTTCCATTTCACCCCTAAAAATAGCATAATTCACTTGATTATGTATACCAATCATACTCTCTAAATTGCCTTTTTAAAAAAGATTGTATTTATATGCAGTCTTATTTATAGTGTATTTTTAAATATTCCAAAATTCTTTTGTTTTTATATGTCAGTTTCTACTATTTATATGCTTTTTATGCTTTAAGAAATTTAAAACATCAACCCTAGTGCTTATTATTCTACACAACACTCCAGTCTACAGCTTCATTTAAGTTGGTTAAAATGGAAATATCAGTTCTTAAGCAAACCAGGAAACCACCATCCTCATGCATCTTGCTTTCAATTATTTTTTAACGTAACCTTATTATTATGTTTAACTTTCTATTTTGCCTTTGTATTTAGTTTACTCAATCCAATATTATGACTTATTTATAAGTATATAATAAATGGTAAATAGAGTGAAGGTTCATGGAATTTTTGCGTTTTATTTTAGAATGCAATATTCACTTAAATGAATTACTTCCAAAAATGAATATACACAATGTCTAGACAAGTGCAAATAATACCTTGGCAGAAAGACAATTTACAGAGAAGTTAAATAAAACTCTTAAAATTTTTTTAAACAACAATAAAGGATTATATTAAGCTAGTCATGTTGCTAAGAATATTGTTATCATTCAATAAATTAATGCTATTCTTTTATTTGTATTATTATGGTTTGTATAATCACTAGTGTATCAAAAGTGAGGATACCAAGAGAATATTGATAATTTGAAGTATAACTTTCTGATTGAAAATAATTGTAATATCTGAGTGTTGTCCTTATACTGAAAATGGCACATTAGAGTTTTAAAATATTCTGTGAAAAACAAAATTTAATTAATTTTAAGAAGACAAATTCTTCTATTCTATCACAGAAAACCACTGCTTCTGAGAAAATAAATACACTAAATACCAAATATTGTCAGCAGCCTGCACTGTACTTTCAAATGAATAGAGTTGAAAGGCCTCAAGGGAAGTTCTCCTTCAATAAAGTAACTCTTGACCAACAGCCCTTGCCTTGTCCTCAAATGTCTTGTGGATTTTTTTTCATGTAACTATTACAGTTTTTGGTGACCCTATATGTAAACTCATTCATTTTATAACGTAAATGCAGTTCAATGAATAATATTGGAATCACTGTATTATTGAGACACAAAATGGTAAACACTTTTTGTCTTTTAAAGAAAATAATGAGAGAATATTCGAATTCTGAAAACTACTTTTTTTGCCATCTCTACTTCTAAAACAAGATTTAGAAAGTTTAGAATAAAATTTGACATCGTATGCATTTATTTTATTATTCAAAGATCTTAGTTAAATGACATTATTCGGAGGATAGAACCATGAGTAAGTTAAAGCCTGTATTTACAGAGCTTCATATGGATTTAGAAAGCTGAAAAATCCCAATCTTATTTCTTTTTCCTTCCTGTGGTTGGGCTTTTTGCTATTGCTAAGCAGATGAACCAAACAGGCTAGCAATGTGAGGGGTATTCTCACTTTATAAAAAGGTCTCTTCATTTTACCTACAAATCAACCTCTTGGTCATGTTCATATATTTCTGCCTGCAGTACTGTTGAGGAATGAGCTTGCCTCTGAGACTTGGGAGAAATGGATAGAACTGCCTGGGAGATCATCATCCTTTGTGTATCACCACTTATTGTGCTCTTCTCAAGAAGAGCACAGAAGCAGATATTGAATTTGGAATACTATCTATTGAATTTGAAAAGAAAACAATTTGTAGTGAAAAGAGCATTTAGAAAATAGAAAAGCATGAATTTATTTTCTTTTTTTTTTTTTTTTTTTTTTTTTGAGATGGAGTCTCATTTTGTTGCCCAGGCTGATGTGCAGTGCTCTATCTCAGCTCACTGCAACCTCCACCTCCCAGTTTCAAGTGATTCTCCTGCCTCAGCCTCTCAAGTAGCTGGGATTACAGGTGCCCACCACAACACCCAGATAATTTTTGTATTTTTGGTAGAGATGGGGTTTCACAATGTTGGCCAGCCTGATCTCGAACTCCTGACCTCAAGTGATCCACCTGCCTTGGCCTCCCAAAGTGCTGGGATTACAGGTGTGAGCCACCAAGCCCAGCCAAATAGAACTTGGGGAATTACATCTAGTTTAGCAAAAATTTAGAAATAGTGAAGTTTCTGGTGCTTTAAAAAAATAATCACAGGAATATAGTGATTCTACCCATTAGTGTGAGCATAAACCAGCCAGAAGATTGGGTGGCTCGTTTTCCTTGTCTGTATCAAAATGCACAGATGCCCTTCCACTGATGCCATAGAACTGACTTCCACAGGCAAATAAAAGTTGACACTTCCTGCCTTTGATTCATTGCAAAAGTGTGACTTTGGGGACTCTTACCATCAGAGCTGAAATAGGTCACTGTGGCAAGACACTGAAATAAAAAGAATGGATAACAGGAAAAGTCTCTTCTTGTCCCACCATAGCCCATCAACATTTTCTCATTTGCATAAGCATAGTAATTTCATAACGAGGAAAGAAGTCTCCATTAAGCCTGACTTTATGTCCTTTCCAATGGCTACTGCCCGCTTGTTTCGGAAAGGGGAGAGTAACTGGTATCTGCAGAAGACAGTGGAAGACAACACAGTGTTTCCCTGAAGTGGTGGGATCTGAATTTGATAATCCACCTAAGAAGAGTTATTAATTAAATAAAAAATAATATTGGGGATACTATGAATAATGATCAGCATTTCACCCTTTCAACATACAATAATATATAAATCCAATAATTGATATATTACTGTATTTAATTCTTAAATTAACTCTGGTAAAAACAAAACAAAACAAAACAAACAAAAAAAAACAGTAGATTAGCATCCCTCATGCATTTACCTTACACCAACCTTCGGTGAAAAATATCTGGTCTTTATTTTTTCTCTTCCTCTCTCTTTGACAGAATTTAAAGTATAGGAAAGTCATACCTTGCATATATGCCCTCTCATATACCAAACTTTCTGGGTACATTTATATATACCTACTCCTCTACAGAATTGCATATGCAGAAGCACATGCACGCTACTTCACAGACACTTTAAAACATTTTAAAAATCAATTTTTACTCTATTTACTTCTTATTTTATTTACTCATCTTAGTACTTTCACACGTCATTGTAAGATTCTGATAATGACAGCAGTAGTTTGTCTTGAGTTCAACTGAAATGTGAAACGCTATCTTAAGAGGTCTACACACAGCACCCAGCAACTCTTTAAGGTTTTCGCTTCTGATATTTGCATTTTACAGATGAAGAAATTAAAGCAAAGGAGTGTTGAATAATTCTTCTAAGATGACACAGCAGTACATTTTGAAGCTGGAATGCAAACTCAGATAATATTTCTCCTAACATGATGCTCTTGACTATTATTTTACTCTACTTCCCTTCCAGTGCTTCTATGTTATTATTATCAACAACTTACAAATGTAGACAACTAGGCTTAGAGAAAGCAAGGGTATTGACTAAGGTCATAGAGTGAATAGTGGTGAGGCTGAGACTGCACCCAGAGGATATGCTCTTAAACAATACACTGCAATATAAATCCACACGCCTTTTTCTTCATTATGGGGCTAGAGTTTCATTCATCCATAGCTACTAAGCTGTATAATATATATTACCTTTGTGGGAATCAGAAAGTTATTTCAGCTTTTATTCCCTCGTTTTCTCAAAAAGTAAAATCAAAGCCCCTGTCCTTTGTCCAAGCAATCAAATTAACACTAAATTGAAGTGTTGCATGACCATCACAGCCACATGTCTGGCCTCACACATACCAGACTAAGAAGATGCCCATTTCTGACCGTGTCCTAGTTACATGAGGTCAAAAATAAAATTGCATTGGTTTTGAATATACATCAATAATTAAAAATATTGCAGGGTAGACTCAACAATTTTAGTATTGAATTTTTGTTACATATCTATTTCTGAACAAAATTTAAATCTTTGAGCACTGCTGGAGTTCATTCAGCACCCCAGAATTGTTTGCAGTCATCTGTGTGTCCCAACAGCCTAGTTCCCTTTGATTCTTTTAGTATCAAACTCTGGACATGTGAAGTTGGGATGAAAGGCCTTGGCTCCTACAGTGAGGACAAACATCAGTGGTTCACTCTCAGGGTGATGGAACCAGGAAGGAGAAGACAAACTTTGCATTGTGTAAGGCACCCACTGGAAAGCCATCTTTAATCCCTTTCCTCCACAGAAGGATTTGAATGGAATTGAACTAAACAATTAATAAGTGTCTGGAGATACTGTAAAGGAAGATACTTTAAGCAACAGATCAGTACTGTCATTATTCAGAATACTGTATATTAGAAGGCTTTACACTGGAGGAGGCCAGTGATGCATTTGAAGCTACCCGTATGTTTTCTCTTGCTAGGGCTTCCTCTGTCTTGCCATGGCAGGACGTGAAAAGTTTCCTAGAGGCTGAATTGAAGGGCAAGAGCAGCCAAGTACAAGGTTCCAAAAAGACTGAGCCAAACCTTTCTGTCAAAGTAATTGCATAACACGTTTCTATATTGACCCAATGATTTCAATATAGAATTGAACAATTTCACACTGATAGACTTTTTTTTTTTAAAACCATTAATGGCATAATGAAAATCTGTGCTATATTGAAAAGAGACTGCCACTTTTTGATGAGAGAAAACTGTATAGCCATAAACTCAGTCATGAGAAATAAACCTGGGGAAATAAACCTCAGTTGTGGCTAAATGTCATGGTGATTTTAGCTCACTTTCATCAGCTGCTATTTAACTACAGGTAAAATCGCTTAAGAATGATATCTCTCAATATGGGAAGCCCAAATGTTAAGTGCGATCACTTTGCCCATATCCATAAATATAATGGCACTTTCATGCTTATATATATACCCTATGATACTTTATATTATCATGCTATGGGATTGTAAAACTGATTTCACAGCACGTGGCTTATTAAAACTCCGGCCGTCACACAGCATTCCTGTGCACTGGATTTTCAATTTTGTTGTCGCTCTTGATTCCCTTTTGCATATGTATTTGCTGGGAAAACCAATTACCAGATGGCACATGGTTATTTTTACATTTTGTATGGAGAGCTTCCAGCTGATAATTATGACATTACAGGAAGACTCCTATGCTTTGCATTAAGAATCTTTGGCAGAGGCCGTGATAAGCTTTTCCATTTGACTCTATACCTCTTGACTGATATATATTTATAAATTATTTGTGGGCAACGTTCACAGATATCAGGGAAGAATTTCCTTTCTTATAAATGGGGTTCCACAAACATAACACTCATGGAACAATGAACGGTGTTTTTCATTCCTTCAATCCATCAATAAACTAATATGTATTTTAAAATTTCTGGTTCTAGGTAACTCAGGACAAATTGTCATAGCCATCGCATATCAGAAAAGTCACACAGTCCAGTGGTCTATGTGTGACTGAGGCTTTCAGACCTGTCAGGTGGCATCTGTGTTACAGCATCCAGTCATTTTTTTTATTAGCTCCCTTGCTTTAATGCTTCTGAGGGAGGTTTTAAGAGAGAGGAAGAGCGAAAAGGAGAGACTGAAAGCAAAGGTAATAGTACAAAATGACTATAATTACAATTATGTAGTAGTAATAAATCCAGAATTGCAGTGTAACACACCAGAGTAGAGTCAGGCCTTAAAACACATTAGAATTAGAATTAATAGGCTATACTTTTGTTAGTATATCAACCCTCAACCCAAAATGCACCTTAGCTCCTGAAAAACACTGGGTTGCGTTCCTGCTATGCTCCCAACTCAGACACTTCTTTCCAATTACTTTAATTATGTTATTAAAAGCGTAGAATATGTGAAATCTTGTTTCCTTGAATATTATCAATGTTTTCCTTTTGATTCACCTCAGTTACAGAAAGTACATTTTTCCCCTAAATACATATATTGTTCTTGCTGGTTTTGATTTTTTTTAATTTTTCAATATAAGGGAAGAATGGCTATTAGATTACCACCAAATACTGTTTAAATATACCATTTTACATAAATATTGCTCTAATATTAATACATTTAATGTGGGCTGTGAAGAAATGTCTTTGGACAGCTTAATTACAATTCAGGAAATTTTGCCAGCTTCTTTCCCAGTTTCAATGATAAAAATAAAATGCTGTGTGGCTGATCTGAGAATTAGTCCCTAGAGAATAAAGGAAGGACTCAGTAGAAATCTGTGTGCTTCCAGACTGCATTTTCCTACTCAACCCCAATGAACATGAAGCATGCATAATTTGGCACTGCTGTCTCTGTATTTGCATTTAGCACACATACATTAAGCTAATTAATCATGTTGTGTCCTAACTCCTCCCAACAAATAAATTAACTATTCAGTTAACTGATGATGAAATAGCCAATTCTTTAAATGATATCCACACTAAAAATGGTAAGGTGAGCACATACTTATTGACAGTTGATGCTTTTCTGGAATGACCCTCCCCTGCTCAACAGAATTTCTGCTCAGTGAATGCAGCAAAAGAAAAGACATGTGCGGAATAATCTGAATCTGTGAAAACCGATTGTTCATGCTGCTAAAATAGCTATTTCCTGTAAAGAAAACACAGTGGTCAATGTATCTTTAGTAAACAATGCTCTTTATTAAGTTGATACAGTTAAAAATTAGAGGCAGATGGAATAATGGAGGAAGGAGTCACAATTAAATACTTCTTCATAATTTCTGACACTAAAGTAACTTCTAAAGTAATTGCATGTTTTCTGTGGCTTATATCAGTGAAATGTGGTCAGCCTTTACTCTGGCACTCATTATGAGTGGCAATGTCTTTAATCCTTGTGCTGTTTCTGACCCTGATTCTGAAGATTAGCATTCTGCAACCCTGAGTCACTGGGTTATCCTGGTAAGTTGTACAATCATTGACTTCGAGCAGGGTTCTGATCAGTGTAGTACAAGGTTAAGATAATCCTTGCTCTTCGTGACATTTTTCTTCTCTTATTTTCTGTTAAGGAGACAATCTGATGGCTGTGGAAGATTTTACAAGAGTCGGTGTTTGAAAGTTTTTTCCAAATCCACGTTAATGGAACAAAATAATGGGGAACCAACTGAGACTGGGGCCTAATTTAAAGTCACTTTGCCAAATTAAGGCATAGCCTTTCACCCACAGCACTACATCCTAGTGCCATTTGTCTTTTCAGTTAACTTTATGGATCCCAGAAACACTAAATATCAAAGCACATAAAAGTAAGCACTTTAAATAAAACCTGGAAGAATCTTAAATTAATACAGCCATTGCAAACTTAGATAATACATTTTTTTTCCCCAAATGACAGTGTTCAGAAGATAGGAAAAAGCTCTAGCTGTTTTAAAAGAATGTGTTCTGCATAACAAAGATGATGAAGATGAAGCAGGTAAGCAATTATCAGTTAGTAAAATGGTTAGAAAATAGAATAACTAACCTGGTGGGTGAAAACTCAGATGAGGATATTAATTCACTATTTAACTGGACAGACAATTTATAGCTAAAAAAATTATTATGTTTTGATTTTGTAGCTGTTATTGAAATGAAAGTCTTTAAGCTCAAGACAAAAGTAGTGTTTTCCATTCACATCTCAAAGGTAATATAAAATGAAGTTGCCTTATTTTCCAACCCAAGATAAATTTAGAAGGCCGTTTTTCACAAAAGGAAAAGGATATTGGAAAGGAGGGAAGATAGAGGAAAGGAAAGTAGGAAGGAAAGAAGATCCTTACAAAGGTGTCTTAAAAGGGAAATAGCTAAATCCTACAAAACTAAAGAAAATGGTATACCGTTGTAAATGAAAAGATGGGAAATAAAGCCAAATGTGGATGTGTAGTACTTTCTTTATGATTTTTACTTTGTTAAGCTTATATCTAGTCTTTTATTAATAAGAAACTATTATTTGTCTCTCATTTTTTTCTCCTATTTATCTCTTGAAAGTTCTTGATGAAGCAGTATGATTGTGTCTTATCCTATTCAGGCTGCTATAACAAAAGACCACAAACTGGTAATTTATAAACACCAGAAATTTATTTCTCATGGTTTTAGAGTCTGGGAAGTCCAAGATCAAGGTGCTTGGCAGATTCAGTGTCAGGTGAGGTTCTACCTCCTGGTTCATACATCGTACCTTCTGATCCCCACATGGTAGAAGGGCTTGCAAGGCATCTCTCTGAGGCCTCTTTTATAAGGGCACTAACCCCATCCATGGGAGCCCCCAAGACCTAATCATCTTCCACTAGGCCTAACCCAGTAATATCATCACCTTTTTGATAAGGCTTTAACGTGAACTTTGGGGGAACACAAACATTCAGGGTGTATAGCAAGTTCTAAATTTGTGGGAGTTTGAAAGTTTTTTGTGTGTGTGGTTTTTTTTAAATGTTTATTTTAGGTTCAAGGGTACATGTTCAGGTTTGTTATATAGGTAAACCCGCATCACAGGAGTTTGTTACATGGATAATTTCATCACCCTGGTTCTAAACCTAGTATGCTATAGTTATTTTTTCTACTTCTCTCTCTCCTCCCACCCTCCAACCCCTGAGAGACCCCACTGTCTGTTGTTCTCTTCTTTGTGTCCATGTGTTCTCATCATTTATCTCCCATTTATAAGTGAGAACATGTGGTATTTGGTTTTCTGTTCCTGTGTGAATTTCCTAAAGATAATGGCCTCCAGCTCCATTCATGTTCCCACAAAAGACATGATCTTTTTCTTTGTTATGGCTGAGTAATATTCCATAATATTTGGTAATATTCCAAATGTAACACATTTTCTTTATCCAATCTGTCATTGATGGACATTTAGTTTGTTTCTGTGTCTTTGCTACTGTGAATAGTGCTGCAGTGAACATTTGCATGCATGTCGTGCATGCGTCTTTATGGTAGAACAATTTATATTCCTCTGCATATATACCGAGTCATAAGACTGCTGGGTCAAATGCTATTTCTGTTTTTAGCCCTTTGAGGAATTGCTGTACTGCTTTCCACAATGGTTAAACTAATTTACACTCTCAGCAACAGTTTATAAGTGTTCCCTTTTCTCTGCAACCTCCCCAGCATCAAGTTATATATTTGAAGCATGAGATTTATCTATTTTGCAATCCAGGAAATCATTGTAATTTTTCCTGAGTCTCTAAAGGAACGAGTAGCTCTGTCTTGCACACTAAGCATACATAAGGTTTGGGAGAATATGTAGTTCATAAGTTATGAAATCCCACAAAGTGCCTCAGGGAAAATAAAAGGCATTAAGAAGTACAAATATTCATGTGTTGTCTTTTTTATATTCAAATATAACAGTGAGAAGACAACTATATTTTTTTCATGTGCATGTGAATAAACAAGTCCAGAATATGTCACCTTTTGGGATGTTTATAGAAAGACCATCCTTCAGGTTAGAGCTATTTCTCTTAGTCTGCAAGTCATCTTGATTCTTTGATCAAAATGAATCATGCCATTCTGGATGGCTGCAAGCTTGGTTGGCCTGCTGCTGCTGTTTCGTAGCATCATATAGCCATACTGCGTGTCACATGACAAGGTCATTGCCCAGGAAGTGTTGCTATCCTGCTCATCAGCACTGAAGCAGCACACATCTGCTGGCCTGAACCATGTAGAAAAGAGAGGATGTCACAATCAACTGCTGTGAGGCAGGCAGGAGTAGGGTGGCGTGTGAAAAGGAAAGACTACAAGACACAAGCAAATGGTTTGTCTTATCACTGGATATTAAGACAGCATCCTGTCAACACTGTCGAAACCCTCAACATGGTAGGATGAGAGTAATCAGTCCAATCCTTTGAGGTCAAGTATTTGGGGAAATATTTCCCCCACTTCTATTTTCTCAAAAATATTCTCATGTCTTCTTATTTAATGCAGGTTAAAATGTAACAGAGTATGTAGAATTAGAATAAAGTATAATCTCAGATTTTTCTTTGCCTTATAAAATAACTTAAATGCAAAATATCCCTTATGAAATAAATGTGTATGAGTCAACACATGAGTGCAAGGATGGGGTCTATCTTCAAGACAGGTAAGCTTCTTGTTTTCTAGGAGTTTGAATTGGAGTGTGTGGTGAGAGAGGGGAAGAAGAGGAAGAAACACTGTTCAGAGAAAAACTGGTTTTTATTTAGGATGCTTAATGCGAACAGGTACATTATCAGCTTTAACATAATAATGAAAACAATCTGGCTTATTTACTTACTTTCTGACAGCATTACTTTACCATATCAAATATTTTTCATCAAATGCCATCGATTTATTTAAACCCAGTCTATTTAATATTTTAAAAATCATCAGATAATATAAGACAAGACTAAGCGGGAGAGGGGAAATTTTCATTCACCTTACATCAGGGAAGCACTAAAATATAACCATATATTTATATTTATTTATATAATAAAGTTTTTAATAGAGAAGGTTTGCAAACAATCTTATTCTCACCTTTATATTCTTTGTAAATATTGAGAAAACAGAAAACTAAAGTTGGAAATAGACAAAAACTGAACTCATGATCTCCCATGTTGACCATAAATCTGTCTCCTTCTTCATTCAATATTTCAATGTTAAATATCAAGCACTCACAGCAAAGATTCATAGTTAATTTTGTCCTCAGTTTTAAAAAGAAATTCAATATGCACTCATACATGAGGTAGAAAAATTGATACATGTACTGATAAAAGTAAGATCAGTTCCAGTAGCTAGAACCTTTGTGAAACAGAAGATGAGAAAAAACTGAGACTCTAAGCATGGAAGAAGGTAAAGAATGCTAAAAATAAAAAAATAGCCTGCCTCAGATCAGAACAGAAGCGCCAATTAAAAAGTGAAAATTTCAGCCAAATCATCAGTTTGAATGTGGAGTTTTTTTCTCTGTCAGAACGTATTTTGACATATTGCCAAATAACTATGGGTTTTCTTCCCCCCTTAACTGAATTGACCAAGTTAGCTGCTTGCTTCAGTTTTACAAAATTTTAACCCAAGTTTGGAGAACATTTCAAAAATTGCAGGTGGATTGTTTCTACTGTCTGCTAAACAAATGTGTTGAACATCTTGTGATTTGTTCATCATGTACAGTATGAGTGTTCTTTTTCTTTTTGTCTTTAATTGCTTCTTGAGCTAAATATAAAGCTAAGCTAGCCTGGCTATTGTTGCACAGTGTTATTATATCAGCTTAATAAATTAGTTTTTGGGTGGGAATCTGGGCAGAGATCCATGCGTGTTACTGTTTCTTGTTGTGTTTTGTTTTGTTTTCAATGTATTACCCCCAGTTCTGTTCCAGTTTGTCCTTTACCTGTCTTTGAAATATGCTGTCACTCAGAAAAGCTGGTTCCTTCTCTTGGCTCCTCTGCCTGTGCATATTCAGTTAAAAGGAAGCCACGGAATGGCTACATCCTGTTGCTAGCTAAAAGTTTTGGGGTTTTACATTTTGAACTACTCTAAGATTTACACCAGAGCAAAATTAAAAAAAAAAAAAACAAAACAACAAACAAACAAAAAAAAAAACAACCAGACATGCTACAGCCATCTATTCATGTAAAACAGGAAATGTATGTTGAATTACACAGAAATCTTTCCTAGGGATCTGAGTTGTTATATTAGTCTGTTCTCACATTGCTACTAAAGACTTACCTGAGACTGCGTAATTTCTAAATGGAAGAGGTTAAATTGACTCACAGTTTCACATGGCTGGGCAGGCCTCACAATCATGGCTGAAGGCAAAGGGGAAGCAAAGGCATGTCTTACGTGGTGGCAGACAAGAGAGAGTAGGAGCCAAGTGAAAGGGGTTTCCCCTTGATAAAACCATCAGAGCTCATGGACTTATTCGCTATCACGAGAGCAGCATGGGAAAGGCCTGCCCCCATGATTCAATTACCTCCCACCAGCTATCACCAGCCACATGTGGGAATTGTGGGAGCTACAACTCAAGATGAGATCTGAGTGGGGACAGAGTCAAACCATATCAGTTGACATTTCTTATTTAAAAACTAGGGGGGAATAATACAGTTGACTGTCCTTGATGTCATTTATAATTAGTCAATCAACAAACACATTTTTGAAGCTCTAGCAAGTGGAAAGTACCATGCTGGGCTTGAAGTGAAGGAGACTGGCACATTTATCTTTGCCCACAGGACATTGCCAGGAAAAAGTATGGAAAGTAAGAGAGGGCTGAAGATTAATTTTCGTGCTCTAACACCTTCACTTTTCTAGTAATATGACATTGGTAAAGTCACTTTTCCCTTTTAAACCTCAATTTCCTCATCCATAAATTAGAAAGCTTATTACCTCACAATGACTTTATGAGCATCAATAAAATAATGCATGTGAAAGTGTTTTGAAAATGATACAACTCTTTTCTGATGAAAATTATTATTTTTATTGACATCATAAGCCAGATAATTCTTCATTGCAGGAGCAGTACTATGGATTATAAGATATTTAGCAGTACCACTGGCTCTACCCTGTAGATGCTAGTAGTAGCCCTGTCCCCTAGATTGTGACAACCAAAATGTCAAATTGCCAGATGTCCTCTAGCTGGGGGAGGGAGCTGGAAGGGCAGTGCTGTGTTCCTGCTTGAGAATATTGATACACATATAAATGTAAATATACACAGAGCAAGGATTGTAACACTTAAGGCCATAACACATTTAATATGTACAGATATCACTTTAACAATCAACATAATAAAGATTCACCAAAGAAGAGTACATTTTTTGCACTGTGGTGCAAAGGGGGCCACTTAATTTCCTGAACAATCAATAGTGCCTTTGTCTGATGGAGGAGATAACTGGTCATATCTTCTTACTTTCTCCTACCAAGGTGGCCTCGCTAGAAAAAAAAAAAAAAAGATTTCCTAAATGACAAAACAAGTTAAACACTAAATTCAATTTTTATTAGCTTTATAAAAATATCTTTGAAATGGATAATACAGTGAAGTGGATCAAAACACCTATGGAGTGTTTGCATTAGAAGAACCATCTGGGTAGGGCCGGGCGCGGTGGCTCGCGCCTGTAATCCCAGCACTTTGGGAGGCCGAGGTGGGCAGATCACAAGGTCAGGAGATCGAGACCATCCTGGCTAACACGGTGAAACCCCATCTCTACTAAAAGTACAAAAAATTAGCCAGGTGTGGTGGCGGATGCCTGTAGTCCCAGCTACTCAGGAGGCTGAGGCAGGAGAATGGCATGAACTCGGGAGGCAGAGCTTGCAGTGAGCCAAGATCACGCCATTGCACTCCAACCTGGGCGACAGAGCAAGACTCCGTCTCAAAAAAAAAAAAAAAAAAAAAAAACCATCTGGGTAAAGATAGTATAAAAGATAGTATGAAAGGAGGAGGAAAGAGCTGAAACCAAGTTTAAAAACCTTGGGCCAGACACTATTCTAAGCCTCAGTTTTCCCAATTGTAAGAATAAAAAAAAAAATACAATCTTCGCAAAATATTGTGTAGATATGGATATGCAAAGCTCTCAGAAAAAGTGCCTGGAATGTTATATCAACCCAATAAATGTTACCTTTGCTTTTTTAAAAGAACAATAGACATGTTTTATAGTTTTCTATAGTTTTTAAAATAACTCTATACAACTTATTTCATTTCACTCCGAGAAAACAATTCGGTGATATAGATATGTTATTATTTCTGTTTTATAGATGAGGACACCAAAGCTGGAAGAAGCTCACTAATTTGGCCAAAGTCATAGAGATCATATAAATCAGACAAAAGATTCAAACTGGTATCTTCTGGATCCAGTATCCATTAATTTCTCCTGCTTCTGTCCTAAATCTGTGAGCACCCTAACCGTTTGCCTTCTCTAGGACTCAAGTTTTTCTATATAAAAATATAAAAATTAAACGTTATCAAATGTATTTTCTAACTCTAAAGAATCTTTCCATTTTCTCTACCTGATACTATTCTAATGTACACCAAGGCCAGTGGTGAGATTACCACATATGTTAGCCACTGGCATTTATTTAGAAACTAATTATAAGCAAAGTGCCAAGTGATTTTACATTTATCTTATTATTTTTACCTAAGAATCTCTACCAAACAAAAAAGGGGTGCATTTAAACCTTTCTTTTTTAAGTTTGAGAGTCCTGGTGTGTTTCTGAAAAAAAATAAAATTATCTTTGGTTCCAAATTCTATGAATTACAATTTTGAATTTTACCTCTGATCATTTCCTTCCATGAAAATGTGTTGGTTACTCAGGAGTTAAAAATCTCTCACTTTTGCAATCCAGACAATTTATGTATTTCTGGTTTAATGTGTGGCTATCTCAAGAGATCTAAGGTGCCATTAGTGAATGCAGAGCTATTGCTGAGGAGATGCTAAATAAAATTAATGTCTTCAGATTTACTAACCCCAAACACAGCCACATTCCCTGGGCATGTGACGACGGAGAGGCTATGCATATGAGCCTAAAACCCTGGAGACCTCAGCCTTGTACTATAAAGAAGATCACAATTTAGTAACATCTGGTCTGTTTGTTAGGCTGAAAAAGGTAGAGAAGATGAAGGAAAGTGCTAAAATTAATTTGAGAAAGATGACACAGCAGTTGTGATTATTTCCTTGAAGCATTCTATCCCGACTTAGGCTTCTGATAGCTAAAAGAAGAATAAACGCAGTGACTCTCCCAAACTTAGGCTATAAATGAAGGTAGAATCCTTTTTCCTGTAAGATCCATCTAGGAGTGGAAAGAAATACAAACAAGCTGCTATGGGAATCTCTAGTTATTCTTCCAAAGAAAAGTGATAAACTGCAGCTTACAATAGAGAAGCTCCAGAGAGCTTCCAATACTTTAACAAATTGCAACCCCCCTTTCCCTGGGACTGAGGAAAAAGTAGACGAACAAGGGGATCAGAGTGTAGATTTGTTCGCTACCACTTTCTCTCCAGGGAGACTCCTCAAACTCTGAAATTGATAGGTTCAAGACAAAGGATGCCCCGTCATGCCTCAGAGTCAGCATCCACCGCCCGACTGGTTTCTTCTGTCTCATTCTTTCTCCCCACCAGTGACTCTGATGCTTCACTTCACACAGCTGTAGCCCTGCCCAGTTCACAAGCAGCCTTCAACAGCCAGCACTCCCAAGCCTCATGATTTGCCAATAAGGAAGAATGGGAATTTTAAAACAAAACAAAACAGAAAACACTGAATCATGCTTTCCAGATACAGGATATGGTATCTCAGCAAAGAGCTTTGCATAGGGAATGCCATTCATGCCTCACAGTCTATCTGACGCTGATCCCATATACCAGGTATAAACCATTGTCTAGAAAAAGGATCTGCTTCAAAATTCTTTATATCTTTTATCTGAGCCTCATTATTTTTTCTCAGGTGTGTCAGTTATACTGTTTAGCCCTCCATTCCTTTTCTACCCTAGCTTAATTCTGAGTATCCTCCATAGCTCTTGTCAACTCTCCATTTCTGCATTAGATTCTCCCCTCTCTCTGTGACTTACTGGTTGGAGGTCCCATATCTGAAAAGGTGTTTCAAAGCCTAATATTATAGCCTAAATTCATTAAGCATATGATACATGCCATGTGCGTTACATGTTGTTTTACATATTATATTTTTTCCTTACAATAACTGATAATGGATAAGTATTATTCTTCCCATTTTCTAGATGAACAAATTAGAGCTGAGAAACATTAAGCACGTCACCACTATTATAAACCTTCTCTCCTCATCTTTAATAGATGCATTCTTCTGAAAGTCTCAAAATATTGAACGTAAGACAATGACCAAAATAGCTCATAAGATCACTGTGAATTTTAGCATTTGAGTGATGCTAACCCAACATATGGGGGGCAGCAATATGGCATCTAACACCCATGTCAGAGATGAAAACTTTTACAACTATTTTCTTGGTATAACTATTCACTTCACAACATGTAAACAACTTTTACAACTATTTTCTTGGTATAACTATTCACTTCACTTCCTCTGTTTATTACCATAACAACCCTCATCCCTTGCTAAGCAGGATTTCTTTTAAGAGAGGATGCAGAAGAGTGGAACTGTTGATGTTTATTCATAAAGGGGTCCTTCTGGTACAAGGCCCTGACATGTTATAATTCAATTAACATTGAAAGATTTCCAGATATACCTTATTTTTTCCAACGTCTATCATTAAGCACAACAGTTACTCCAAACCTCTGTTCTCTCTAGTTTCAGCAGCCAAACTTTAAAATAAAGTTCGTGCCAGGGGCAGTGGCTCATGCCTGTAATCCCAGTATTTGGGGAAGCCAAAGTGGGAGGATCGTTTGAGACCAGGAGTTTAAGACCAGCCTGTACAACACAGCGAGACCCCATCTCTACAAAAAAATTAAAATTAAATTAGAAATTTTGCAGGATGCAGTGGTATGCACTATAGTTTCAGCTATTGGGAGATTGAGGCAGGAGCATTGCTCGAACCCAGAGATCAAGGCTGCAGTGAGCTATGATTGCACCAATGCAGTCTAGCCTGGGTGACAGAGCAAAACCCTGTCTCAAATGAAAGAAAGAAAAGAAAGAAAAGAAAGAAAGGAAAGAAAGAGAAAGAAAGAAAGAAAGAAAGAAAGAAAGAAAGAAAGAAAGAAAGAGAAAGAAAGAAAGAAAGGTGGAAAGAAGGAAGGAAGGAAAGATGAGCATCTAAGATACAGAATTTCAAAATAGAAATAAAAGGAAAAATAGCTCTACAATTTCTAACAGCCTGAGTGACAGAACAAGACCCTGTCTCAACTAAATAAACAAATGAAAGACAGGAGGGAAGGAAGGAAGGAAGGAAGGAAGGAAGGAAGGAAGGAAGGAAGGAAGGAAGGAAGGAAGGAAATTATAGCACCTAAGATGCAGTCCTAAATAAACATAAAAGGAAAAATAACCCTCCAATGTCTAATGCCTTTGCTGCATCCCAGTTGTGCCCATATTTTTTCCTCCTTGACTGCTACTACCCAGTTCACGTCACCACTAAGCCTCCCCAGACCACTGGCATATCTTCCATTCTGGCACCCTTGCTTCCTATCCTTCCCCTACAAGGCCTCCAAAGTGATGTTTGACAGACAAAAATCCAAATCATGTCATTCCCCTACGTACAATCTCCTTGAAAATTCCCAATATACTTCGAGGGCAATAAAGACTTTTTCCCCTGGCTTGCAAAGTGATCCTACTCCTACATCCTTTCCTCCAATTGTCCATTCTTTTACCTACACTGGTCTTTCTTCTACTGGCGAGCACCCTGTGTGAGGGCCTATATACAGCCTGTTCTCCATGCCTTGGATGTTTTTAATGTCAGCCCTCCTAGAGTCACTCCTTCTAGTTATTCAGATCTCAACTCACTCCATCCTTTTTAGAACAACATTCCCTGATGACCCGATTGATAAGAGACACCTGGTAACTCTATCACGTCACCCTATTTTAATTCTCTGCCTCGCATCTATCACTGTATAAAATGTGTTTTTCTCTCTTCTCTTACTGTGAGTGGGGGTTTTGTCTGTTTTTTTTTTCCCCCCAGTGCACGCCTGAAATGTAGTAGGAACTTAGGAAATAATTTTGAATAAATGAGTGAATGATTCTCAGCCAGTAAGAGGCCGAAGATCTGGTGGGCTAAAAGGGAGGTCATCCACACCTTGAATAAGTAAATGAAATACAATGAGGAAACCTATTGAGGGGTGGGGGGACTAAAACAAAAACACAAAAAAATCCTTAACTAGTTTAAGAATAAGGAAATAAGGCAAAAGGATTGCTTTCTAATGCCCTGCCTGACTTCCAAGTAAGAGAGCTGATAGGAAGCTCTTATTACAGTTCTCCAAATCTTGGATTGAAACTCTCCCTCATCTCCACCCCAGATCTTGCTATAATCCTGCCTGAGTTAGCAATAAACTTGAATATTAGACCACCCAGCTTCCTTGACCAAGCCCAGTTTTTGCTTCCAAGTTACTGTTCTTGTTATTATAACTTAACTTTAGGGAGGGGAGTTCCGAATCAGTCCTCTCCACCAATCCCAAGTTACTAAATTTCATACATAAAATCTGTACTTAATGTTTTTAATACAGAACCTACAGAATGTCAGCACCTCAAGTAATGTCATATAAATACTTTATCTGTCTGCCTTTCTGGCAGCCCTTCTGTACCCAGAATGAAGTGTTTCAAATGTCCTGAAGAATTCAGGGTCCCCTAGGACATGAACATCCTTAAGAACCAAATATTAATGGCCACATATTCCATGCTATTTTAATAAAATTTTTATTGTAAAAAGTACATGTGGTGCACAGCCACTCTGGAAAATGGTTAAACAATTTCTCATAAACATGTTCTTTCTATGTGATCCAGTAATTCCACTCCTAGGGATTTGCCCTAGAAAAATAAAATGACCACAAAGAACCTGTATGCAAATCTTTAAAGAAGCTCTATTTATAATTTCTTAAAACTGGATATAACCCAAATGTCTTTCAATGATGGATTGATAAACTATGGTAGATCCAAACAATGAAAACAATTTAGCAATAAAAAGGAACAAACTAGGCCGGGCGCGGTGGCTCACGCCTGTAATCCCAGCACTTTGGGAGGCCGAGGCGGGCGGATCACGAGGTCAGGAGATCGAGACCATCCCGGCTAAAACGGTGAAACCCCGTCTCTACTAAAAGTACAAAAAATTAGCCAGGTGTGGTGGCGGATGCCTGTAGTCCCAGCTACTCAGGAGGCTGAGGCAGGAGAATGGCGTGAACCCGGGAGGCGGAGCTTGCAGTGAGCCGAGATCGCGCCACTGCACTCCAGCCTGGGCGACAGAGCGAGACTCCGTCTCAAAAAAAAAAAAAAAAAAAAAAAAAAAAAAAGGAACAAACTATCAACACAGGCAACATCTTGGTTGTATTTCAAGGGTATAATGTTGAGTGGAAAAAAGCCAGCCTCAAAATATTGTGTCAGAACAATGGTAACCGTGAACTGACCCGTGGTTGTCAGGGGCTATGCAGAGGGGGAGGGTGTGACTGGAAAGGGATCGCATGAGGGGGTTTTAGAATGATTAAATTATTCTGTATCCTGAGTATTATGAAGGTTACGTAAATCTAGACATCTCAAAACTCATGAAATTGTATACACAAATAATGTAGTTTGCCATATGATAATTTTAAAAACAAAAACTGCATATACCTATACACACAGGGGTGTATGTGTGTGTGCACCTGTGCGTGTGTGTGTGCATTGCAGAACATCTAGACAGGAGAAAGTGTGTAAAGAAAAATACTGAGTCTCTTCCTCCCTTCCTTGAAATCCAAATTCTACTTCGAATTGGAAATGCCTCTCTCTTGCTTTCTGTGTGTATGTGTATATGTGTGTGTGTGTGTGTGTGTGTCTCCTCTCTGTATACTTATTTGTATGTACATATATGTATATCTGTATAGATTATGCATAGCTGTAGATCTAGATTTACATTTATAAATATGCATACCTATAGACCTAGATCTATAAATCCATATAGGTGTATCTATATGTTTGTGTGTGTGTGTATGTGTGTGCACGCACGCCCAAATTTGGGCAACACAAATCACACTCTATTGTTATGTATGTTACCTTTTTCTTTTAACACGACCTCATGGTCATCTTCCTATATCAACAAAATCAAATGTAATATTTTTATTTTTATAACAATTATATTCTAATATATGGAAAACATGTTTATTTAGAAGTGCCTGATGATAAGTATTTTGATTGTTTCTAGGTTTTCAATATTTTCCTTTATGTTTGTTTTTACCATTTTAAGTAAGGCTAGAGTGAATATTCTTGACATATATTTTTTGTCATACATGAATGAGTATTTTTGTAAAAACAATTGAAGAAAGGAATTATTGAGCAAAACGGTATATTCATTTTAAGTTGTTACAGGCATGGCTAAATTTCCCTCTATATAATAAAAGAACAATTGAGATATAGATAAGGAGAGCTTTATTCAAAATACTATTGTTTAGAGGGAGGTGGACTATCATACTATAGGAAGGGGACTATTGCAATAGAGGGAAGAGGTTATTGCAGTGAAGAGAGGGGGGTGACTGCAGCAGAGGAAAGAGGACTACTGTAATAGAGAGAGGCACTATTGCTAAGAGAGGGTGAGTGACCACTGCAATACAGGGAGGGAACTATTGTGATAGAAGGAAGGGACTATTGCAGTAGAAGGAGGGGGACTATTTTAATATAGAGAGGGGCTACTGCAGTAGAGAGAGGCGACTATTGTAATTGAGAAAGGGGAATTTGCAATAGAGGGAGAACTCAAGGACGCTGGGATCTGCAAGCATCTCAAAGGTCTGGCAAAGAAGAGCTACTTTTTCATAGGGAGGAGAAAGCAAGGTAGTTAAAAACCAGGTGTTGGGGAGTGGGCTGAGCTAGTGGCATAATCTGACAGTTGATCAAGAAATGTTTTTCCCTGAAGTCAGCTGATTCTTGGGAGAGGACGTCAAGGAGGGTTGTTCTACATGGTCCGATGTTCATAGGTGGATCAAAATTCAGCTGACTGGGGAAAGAGGGAAGTCCAACTAAAGTTTAGTAAGGTTAAGGTAGGGGGCATTTTGCCCAGCTTGGTCAATGGGGACAAACAGTTCAGCCAGTCATTTGTGAGACAAAACCCAGAAATCTGGAAGGTCCTGTCTCACTCTGTTATGGGTAAACGGGGTCATTCGTGAGTCTTATCTAAGTCACATGGGGAAGGATGGTTCTTTGCAGTAAGCCATTAAAAGAACACAAAAGAGTGGTGATGAGTGGTTTCTTAACTACTGATATTTTCTGGGACCACAAAGCTTAAGTAAACTTAAACACCATCCCCTCTAACAAGGATTGTATTGATTTTCTCTTCTCAGTAATTGTATCTATTAAATACACCCTAACCAATATCAATATTAAATAGATCTCTTTCTTTTCTTCCTAAGTTATATCAAGCTTCCTCTATGTGACTTATGGCATGGCATGGACAGTTCTGCTGTAGGTACTGTGACTCAGAAATAAAAACTATAAAGTGTGCAATCTTATGCGAAACTCGAACTCCTGAGGCTTCAGGAGGTCTCTCCCAACAAAAATGGTGTAAAAGCTACAAACATGGGGCTCTGAGATCCTCTGACTTTGTTAACTTTTTTCTCTACTCAGGCTCCCTTGAGAAATGAACCAAGAGACAATCTCCCTAAGGAATATGGGTTGCTTGGGAACTTGTCTACTCAATTGTATTCTCATTTCATGCATATCCACTTTAATTTCTTCTCTGCTGGACCAGTAAGATAGGAATACAGGTAACTTAAGCATGGAGTCATCCTAACCACTCTTTAAAATTGAACCAGACATTGAGGTCTAGCCTAGGTCCTGTGTGTGTCAGACACAGATTTTTTTTTTTTCTGAGTTAACTATTTACAACTTTAAACTTTCTGTTTTAAATTTAAAATGTTTTTGTTTTTCTATTGCTTTTCATCTTTATTACTTTTTTATTTTTTAAATGCAACAAATTTGCCTTTTCTCCTCATATGTATTGAAAATAAATTTCCTGCAGCTTAACTTTTGCCCTTTAAATATCATATAATGGTGTTCTAAATTTTGGTAGACAATTTTTCAAGTTCTTTTCTTCATACTTTCTCAGTTTGAGATCATATTTATGAAAGTCTTTTCTGCTCTAATATTATAAAAATGTTCAAATATTTTCTTATAAATACTAAATTCATATAATTACATGATTTTTATATTTGTTAGAAATCCATTGTTATCTTTACTGTAGTCATTTCTAGAGTGAACCCCAAGATTATTTTACCAAATTATTTACATTTTATTTTTCTATAGGTAGGAGCTGATGTTTTATCATAGTTTGCTATCTTAGCTTCCTTCTTATTTCCCTAGTTTGATGAAATTATTTCTAAAATAAAGTTAAAAGAAGATGTTTCGGCCTCACTTTTTAAAAAATTTGTGTTGCCATTGCCACAATCCACAGCTGTTCAATCTTCCCCCAAAGGTTTCCTGGTGCTGTCACTTAGAAACAGGATATTTTCCTGACTCCTTTGCAGGACTTGCAAAAGTGGTGCCTTGTTGACTCAGCCCACCACTCTCAATTTTTCACTGGAGGGAGCATGTGAGCAAACGAGGTAGAAACTGGAGTGCATGAGCGCTGGAACCAGCTGGCTGCTTTGGCACCGGCAGGAGTGAGCTCCACTCACTTGGACCTGCTGCGTTCCACCCTCGTGGCAGGGAGCGCACAGGTGAACAGGTGCAGGAGCCAGGTGAGCGCTTATGAACCTTGGCAGGAGCAAACTCTGTGCAGACCCCATGGCAGCATCTGAGGGGTACCTGTGACTCCTAAAGGCCCAGAAGGCATGTTACAGTGCTCTTTTAGCTCTGCTGTCTGTGATGGCTTAAATGTTAACAGCTCAGTGGGCCCTTTACCTTTTTTTTTTTTTTTTTCAGACGGAGTCTTGCTCTGTAGCCCAGGCTGGAGTGCAGTGGCGCGATCTTGGCTCACTGCAAGCTCCACCTCCTGGGTTCACGTCATTCTCTTGCCTCAGCCTCCCGAGTAGCTGGGACTACAGGGGCCCACCAACACGCCCGGCTAATTTTTTGTATTTTTAGTAGAGATGGGGTTTCACTGTGTTAGCCAGGATGGTCTCGATCTCCTGACCTCGTGATCCTCACACCTCGGCCTCCCAAAGTGCTAGGATTACAGGCGTTAGCCACTGTGCCCAGCTCTCAGGGGGAAGAACAGAAGAGAAGACAGGGCAGGAAGGTAATCTTCCCCTGAAGTCCAGCCATCTCCAGCCAGATTCCTCTCCGAAGTTGCACCCTCAAGCTGTCCAACTGAAGCCAAGCCGCTTCTCTCCGATGTCCAGATGTAGTCCCTGACATCCAGCTGCTTCTCCTCTCTGCCTGCTGAGTCTGGGGTCTTTATAGGCACAGGATATGGGGAGCGGGGCAGGCCATGGGTGGCGTAGGAAAACAGGGATATAACTTCTCACTTTGGGCAACGATCTCAGGCTATCCGGCTTGAGGGTGGGGCTTCTCCCTGTCTGCCTAGAATTTCCCTGCCCCCTGTCCCTACCAACTATATAGGCACACCCACCACTTCCTCCTACATGCCCAACTCCCTGACACGGCTCCTCTGTTCTCCACCTCCACATTTATTCAAACATTTCAAGAGTGTTATATAAATGCAATGATAAAGTATGTAACTTTTTGGATGAGTTTCACTCAACATAGTTACTTGCAGAGCTATCTAAATTGCTGCATGAATCAGTAGTTTCTGTCCATTTTTATTGCGTAGTGGTATTCTGTAGTATGTGGGTATCACATTTACTCATTCAGCTGGTTAAGAATATTTAGGTTTCCAGTTTGGGATTATCACAAATATAACTGCTACAAACACTTGTGTACCCATTTTGTGTGGATTTAAGTTTTCATTTCTTTGAGATAAATACCTAATTTTTCCAGTGTGGCTATACCATTTCATATTTTCACCAGCAATGTATGAATGATCACTTCTCAGCCTCCTCTCCAGCATTTGATGCTATTGTTGTGTTTTTTTTTTTTTTTTTAGCCATTCCGATATCACTATCACTAGGTTATCACTACATTTGGTTACCACTACACCCAAACTCTTATTTTGATTTTAATTTGAATTTCCTCAAGGACTAATTATGTTGACCATCTTTTCCTGTGCTTATTTGCCATCAGTATATATTCTTCAGTAAAATATTCTTACAGTCTTTTGCTTATTTTCTAATTGAACTTTCTCTAATTGTTGAGTGTTGAGAGTTTGTTATATTTCAGATGCAAGTCTTTTGTCATATATGTAATTTGCAAATATTTTCACCTAACATAGACACACCACTGTTTAACTTGTCTTTTTATTCTCTTAACAAAGCTAAAGTTTTTGGTTTTATGAGGTCTAATTTATTAAGCTTTCCCTTTATGTATCATTGCCACCGGTGTCAAGTTTAGAAGCTATTTGCTTAGTCCTAAGTCCCAAAGATTTTTTCCTGTATTTCCTTCCAAAATTTTTGTAGTTTTACATTTTACATGTAAGTCTGTGTAATCCATTTTGAATTAATTTCACTGCAAAGTGAGAGGTATAAATCAAGGTTTCCTTTTTTCTTCTTTCTTTCTTCATGTTCTTGCCTGTGGATGTCCAGTTGCTCTAGTACCATGTGTTAAAATGTTGTTCTCCCTTGAATTGCTTTTGCATTTTAATTGAAAATCAGTTGGACATATTTGTGTGCATATATTTATGGGTACTCTATTCTGTGACATTCATTAACATCTCTATCCCTCTGCTAATAGTAAACTGTATTCATAGTACAGCTATATTACAATCTAGTAGAGCCTTAAAGTACAGTAAAGCCTTAAAATCTAGTAGACATTTATTTTCACTGTATTCTTTTAAAAATTACTTGGACTATTCCAGGATTTTTTGCTTTTTTATATAATTTTTAGACTAAGTTTGTCTATTTCTACAAAAGTCTTCGCTGATATTTTGATAGGAATTAAAATTAATTAATTTGGGGAAGTATTGACATCTTCACTAATGTTGAGTTTTCTATTTGTTGAACGTATTATGTCTTCTTTGATTTTTTTTCAGCAGAATTTAATTTTCAACATAAAAATTGAAACATTTTGTTAGGTTTAGTTAGAGGTATTTCACTTTCTTTAAAGCAGAATAAATGGTTTTTTAAATTTCTTTTTTTTAACTTCAGTTTCTATGTGTTCACAAGTAGTATGCAGAAACACAATTGATTTTTATCTGTTAATTTTTTATGCTACAACCTTGCTGGACTCTTATATTAGTTCTAAGAATTGTTTTGTAGATTCCTTTGAGTTTTCTGTATTGACAGTAAGGCATCTGCAAATAGGCACAATTTTATTTATACCTTTTCAATCTGCCTTTTGTTTCTTCTTTCTTTTTCATCTTTTTTTTTCCTTATTGTACTGGCTAGAATTTAGAATTTTTTGTACTATTTCAAGTAAGTCTAAGAAATGCAGACATTCCTGTCTTCTTTTCCATATTTAGTTGAAAGTACAGAGTTTTCCCACATTAAGTATGATATTAGCTTTAGTTTTCTACATAGGCAGTTTTTTTTTAATGAATTGGAAGAAATTCTTTATTTCTACTTCACTTACGATTTTTGTCATGAATAGATACTGAATTTTGTCAAATGCTTCTTTGCATCAATTGCTGTATCTACATGATTTTTCTTCTTTAGCCTATTGAAATGGGCAGACTACATTGATTAATTTTTAAATATTGCCTCCATTCATCTATAACTATAATAAATCTCTTGATCTTTACGTGAAAGTCTGTTTATACTTTGCTGGATTTGGTTTCCTAATATTTTGTTAAAATTGTTTAATTTAAGCTCATGAGAGACATTTGTCTATACCTTTTTTTCTGGCTTTTGGTATCGGGGAAATACTGGCCTCATAAAATAAACCTGCCTCACAATTTTAAAGCTATCCAATTACGGAATTTTCCTGACTTTAAGAAGGCTATGTCAATTTTGTTAAATGAAAAATGTATAGTACAGCTATGACCCAAGACATGTGACATTTTGTTTTACCAGTGTTGTTTTAATTCTAACTGGCATTTGTAGAATTTTTCTAGTTTCTTTCAGCAAGTTTATTTTTCTCACACCCTATCAACAACCATGTTATGATATTATATGTATTGCTGACCTGTTGTTCTATTTAACACCAGAGAGTTTCATTTTAGTAGTGAATGAAGTACTATCCTAGAAATCTGTGGCATGAAAACAAGATAAATCACTAAGCAACTTGTATTTTTGTCAGGTGCATCTGGAAGCACCATTATTTCACAATATCAATTGTATTAAATATTTTAAATAATCAGGGAGGTGGCTCATTAGTCATAGTGTATGTGGGCATATGTGATGAATGCAATTCATTTAAGTATATTTTATATTGTGGACAGAGTACTGAAAATGGAAACAGAATATCTGAATTCATGTCTTCATATACCAGCTCTCCTGCTTACTAGCTATACTTGGGACAAATCAACTAGTTTTTCATATGGATATAGTAGAGATATTAACATTCATCTTATATATAAGAAACTTAAATAAGGTCATTTTAGAATTAATACGATGTAAATTTCTTACTGTGACTACCTACATTTTACTATGTCCTTACATGGCTTTGACTATAAGCTTTATGCAGAGATACATTTCATTGATGTTTGCAAACACAAAATGATTTTGAAATAAGGTAACTCAAAACGGGATTTTCAAATTTCACTTCCAAGTTGGGAAGCTCAGAAGGCTATGGTTAGGCAAACTTTGAAAGAAGAAAAATGTTTTCTACTAGAAAAATATATAGTAATACTGAAAAATACTTCTGGAAAAAAAATGAGGAGACTAGAAGAATGTTCTGAGTTCAAAAAATGTTAATGCACTTCTAAATGCCATTCATTTTGTGTTTCATAATGCACACTAGTCACCAAGATCTCCAGGAAATCCTGAAACAGAGAAACCAAGATAGCTTAATTTAACCTAGCATTTTAACACTTATTTAAACATGAACTTTCCCTTTTAAAAAATATTAAAATCATAGACAATTTGTATTCTCCGTAAAACTCTGTGGAACATTCAGTAACATAGTCCTTTACTTAGAGGAAAGCAAAGCAAAGACAACAATGCAAGAAAATGGTACCTGTGAAAAACACCTTTTCATGCTAAAATTTAAAAAGAAAACTGGATTTAGATAACTGAAATCTAAAAGTTTTAAGATTTGGGGAAGAGATAGGGGAGCCATGTGGATTTACACAAATCACATAATTTTTGAAACATTTTAATGTACTGGATTTTTAACACTTTTATATATACATATTATAGGACAATATATTATATATAATACTGTGGCTTAGAAAAAAACAAGTAATATGGCATTGGCTGCATTAAAAAACTTCACCTGCATCCTTCCACAACCACTATTATTTTGCCTAAAATATGTGCCACATGAGGGAACTGTTATATCCCAAGGACCACAATACCAAGTAGTTGAGGTTAACTTTTTATTTGAACAGTAGCCACGCATGTGACAGGTAATGTTCACAAGCTTGCCATGTTTCCATATATTTAGTCATATATTAAGAAAACCTGAAAGTTTTTGCACTGAATTTAAAAGCTGTCATAATTTTCAGTCAACATGAAAGCTAATAATATAAAACATTTACATCCTATGTTCCATGAATTTATGCTGATACAAATATCCACTCAGCAAAACTGAAAAAAAGAGAAAGAGAAAGAAAAAGAAAGCAAAACAAAAAATGTAAATAGTGCTATTGATTTCTGCCTGTCATTCAGCCTGTGTAGACCGCACAGTAAACACAGGTGAGTTTGCTATGCCTATATACCTGTGACCCATTGACTATTCATACCCTTCTGCCACTCTGTCACCTCCAAATCTTAGTGTAAGCCTCTCATCTGGCTAAATGTGATTCATACCATCAAGTGTGTTGTGCACGTGCACACATACACATGTAAGTTAGAAACAGAAATCTATTTATTACAGTGACGAAAAAACTGACTTTGTTGGACTTAATAAGGAATTGTGTATGGTGCACTTAATTCACCATATCTAAGCTCCTGGGAGTTTTTCTCACCTGGAAATTGAAGATGATACTCATCCTATCTCCCTCACAGTCTTAATGTAAGGACCAAATGAGGTACTGCATATAAATATTTTTGCAAATTTTGCAGCATTATAAAACATGAGATATTGCTATGCAGCAATGTCAAAAATAGGTCTAAAAGTGATGCCACACAATTGCACCAATCATTAATTATGTTTTCTTGCTAAGGTATTCTTATGCTATAAAAGTCTTAAATATAAATTATATTAACCAATCAATGTAAGAATAAACCAGTTTTCTAAAGTAAAGAGGATTTGTTAATTGTACTTAAAGAAACCAGCCTCCAATATGAACCCCGGTGATCCTTGCCTCCTGACACATATTCATATTCTTCTATAGTCTCCTCCTGTTGAGTGTGGGTTAGATGTCCTGATTCACTTCGAATAGAATAAGGCAGAAGTGACCCAGAGACTAGGTCATAAACGCAGTGTGATGTAACTCTCTTTGCTATTCAATCATGTGTTCTGAGAGACACCAGCTGTCATCTCATCTACAGCCCTATGGAGAGGTCCATGTGGCAAGGAGCTGGGACCTTTTGCCAACAGCCATTTGAGTAATTTTGGAATTACATTTTCCAGCCCCAGGAAAAGTTGTAGCTGACTGCAGCCCCAGCCAACACCTTGAGTACAAACTCATGAGAGATCCTACAGCAGAACCACTCAGCTAAGCTATCTCTACATAAAATTGGCAAGGCAAAGTTAAACTAAACTCTTAACCCTGGGTTTTCTGTACTCATGTAATTTTATGTAATATACCTATCTCTGTGCATCTTCATCAAGGCCATGCAACTAGGATTTCTCGACTGTATTTTTCTCTTTTAGCCTTTGATACCTATTGATATATTATTTCAAGTAACTTGTGTCTAAAGAAAAGTGTCATTGAAAGTATTTTTTTTATCTCATGCATGGATGTGTTTTCGTGATGTTACAACCTAGAGTTGTTCCAATCAAGCTCTTAAATGAAGATAAGTTCTTGCATTATATAGTATGAGAAAAAAACGCAGATTTTCGCAAAAGTTGTTGTTACGGGATAAAGATTTTCCCTTGCCAAAAATGTTTTTTTTCAGTTGTAGCAAATCAAGCATACATATATTCATTAAATTAATGCAGATATTGTATCATAAACTCAAATGGAGGGAAATCAGCCTGCTAACTGAAAATTATCTTTACTTTGGTCACTCAAACAACCAGCATATTTGTGGCAACAATAAATCACCAATTCATACAAAGTGAAGGATGATCTAGAATATTGATTCACAAACATTAGTATGAATCAGAATCCTGTGGAGTTTCTTTAAAAATCATTTTCTCAGGGCCAAACCCCAGAAATTCAGATTAAATGGGTCTGGAGCATAGCCCAAGAATCTTGATTTTTGTGAATTCTTGAAATTAGAGACTCCACTTTGATAAATGCTGGCTGTATCTTCTTTGAGGTTCCTTTCAAGATGAATAATTTTAAGTAGTAAAGCAGCAGATTTCAAGGTCCGCTCTACTTTCAAACACTGCACTGTCTTAGGCCAAGTGTATGTCTCCTTGCCACAGGCTGCAGTTTGAACATATAGCTGATTTTGAATTCTGAACAGGATCTTTCTAGCAATAGAGAACGTGAAAATAACTCTAAGCCATTAGCACCTCATTGTCAAATCACCTGATCTGTCATCACACCACTTTTCTCTTGGAAAGGTCATTGCTCAGCTGTGAACCTGATTATTTTTGAAATGGTTGAAATAAAGAAAGTATGGGTTACTGCTTCTTCTTCTTTGGCAGCATGGATTTTCTTTCAAGTACTTATGCTTTATAGGCAAGGTGATGTTTAGCTTTACTGAGCAAAAGTCTTGGAATATGAGAGGCCTTGGAAACTTTTATGAGAAGTAATAGAGGAGGAAACAAAAGTTAGTGGCATTATTACAGCTGTCAATAGCATTTTCTTTACAGAAGTTTTGTATAGGTTATTGCATATATTTTTGCTATTTAAATGGCAATCATATACATATCCAAACATGTTCGTTGGAATTGAAAAAACAAACTTTTATCATGTGCTGTCTTTGCAACAATGTTACAGAGATGTTAAAGTCCCATGAAACATATGTAACTTCTCGGACCACTGTTATCCAGTAACCCAAAATGAGAAGATGAGAGAAAAAAGGAGAGAGGGCAAGAGACAGACAAACAGAGACAGATTGTGCCTAAAGTTCCCAAAGGATGATCAGAGAAATAAGAGACAATGGCATTTACTAAGATTTGATGACATGATTGTATATCTAGAAAACCCCATCGTCTCAGCCCAAAATCTCCTTAAGCTGATAAGCAATTTCGGCAAAGTCTGAGGATACAAAATCAATGTGCAAAACTCACAAGCATTCTTATACACCAATAATAGACAAACAGAGAGCCAAATGATGAATGAACTCCCATTCACAATTGCTTTAAAGAGAATAAAATACCTAGGAATCCAACTTACAAGGGATATGAAGGACCTCTTCAAGTAGAACTACAAACCACTGCTCAATGAAATAAAAGAGGATACAAACAAATGGAAGAACATTCCATGCTCATGGGTAGGAAGAATCAATATCATGAAAATGGCCATACTGCCCAAGGTAATTTATAGATTCAATGCCATCCCCATCAAGCTACCAATGACTTTCTTCACAGAACCGGAAAAAACTACTTTAAAGTTCATATGGAACCAAAAAAGAGCCTGCATTTCCAAGTCAATCCTAAGCCAAAAGAACAAAGCTGGAGGCTTTGTTCCTGACTTCAAACTATACTACAGGCTTTGTTCCTGACTTCAAACTACCGACTTCAAACTATACTACAAGGCTATGGTAACCAAAACAGCATGGTACTGGTACCAAAACAGAGATTTAGACCAATGGAACAGAACAAAGCCCTCAGAAATAATGCCACACATCTACAACTATCTGATCTTTGACAAACCTGACAAAAACGAGAAATGAGGAAAGGATTCCCTGTTTAATAAATGGTGCTGGGAAAACTGGCTAGCCATATGTAGAAAGCTGAAACTGGATCCCTTCCTTACACCTTATACAAAAATTAATTCAAGATGGATTAAAGACTTTAATGTTAGACCTAAAACCATAAAAACCCTAGAAGAAAACCTAGGCAATACCATTCAGGACATAGGCATGGGCAAGGACTTCATGTCTAAAACACCAAAAGCAGTGGCAACAAAAGCCAAAATTGACAAATGGGATCTAATTAAACTAAAGAGCTTCTGCACAGCAAAAGAAACTACCGTCAGAGTGAACAGGGAACCTACAGAATGGGAGAACATTTTTGCAATCTACTCATCTGACAAAGGGCTAATATCCAGAATCTACAAAGAACTCAAACAAATTTACAAGAAAAAAACAAACAACCCCATCAAAAAGTGGGCAAAGGATATGAACAGACACTTCTCAAAAGAAGACATTTATGCACCCAAAAGACACATGAAAAAATGCTTATCATCACCGGCCATCAGATAAATGCAAATCAAAACCACAATGAGATAACATCTCACACCAGTTAGAATGGCAATCATTAAAAAGTCAGGAAACAACAGGTGCTGGAGAGGATGTGGAGAAATAGGAACACTTTTACACTGTTGATGGGACTGTAAACTAGTTCAACCATTGTGGAAGTCAGTGTGGCAATTCCTCAGGGATCTACAACTAGAAATACCATTTGACCCAGCCATCCCATTACTGGGTATATACCCAAAGGATTATAAATCATGCTGCTATAAAGACACATGCACACGTATGTTTACAGCGGCACTATTCACAACAGCAAAGACTTGGAACCAACCCAAATGTCCAACAATGATAGACTGGATTAAGAAAATGTGGCATATATACACCATGGAATACTATGCAGCTGTAAAAAATGATGAGTTCATGTCCTTTGTAGGGACATGGATGAAGCTGGGAACCATCATTATCAGCAAACTATCGCAAGGACAAAAACCCAAACACTGCATGTTCTCACTCATAGGTGGGAATTGAACAATGAGAACACATGGACACAGGAAGGGGAACATCACACACCGGGGCCTGTTGTGGAGTGGGGGGAGCGGGGAGGGATAGCATTAGGAGATATACCTAATGTAAATGATGAGTTAATGGGTGCAGCACACCAACATGGCACATGTACACATATGTAACAAACCTGCACGTTATGCACATGGCCCTAAAACTTAAAGTATAATAAAAAAAAAATTAAAAAAAAAAGATTTGGTAGTACAATGATAGTTTTGTTGTACATTCATAAAGTCCAAGTTAAAATATTTTAAGGGTGACTAAAACTTGGTTTTACGTCAAAAGACCTGATTTTTACTTTTTGCCACTTACTAGGGGAATAGCCTTAGGAAAGTCTCTTAACCCTGTGAACTTTAGATTTCTCAGCTAAAAAAAAAAAAGGGCAGGAGGTGGTATGTGGGACAAATGAAGCATTCTACCCTAGGCTATTATGCAAATTAAAGAGATAATGTTGCCTGGTGCAGTGGCTTACACCTACAATCCCAGCACTTTGGGAGGCCGAGACAGGTGGATCACAAGGTCAGGAGATAGAGATCATCTTGGCCAACACGGTGAAACCGTCTCTACTAAAAATGCAAAAACTACCTGGGCATGGTGGCAGGCGCCTGTAGTCCCAGCTACTCAGGAGGCTGAGGCAGGAGAATTGCTTGAACCTTGGAGGCAGAGGTTGCAGTGAGCCGAGATCACGCCACTGCACTCCAGCCTGGCCGACAGAGTGAGACTCCGTTTCTTCTCAATCACCGTCATTACATTTGCTCTTTAGGTGGTATAAATAAAAAGACAAGCATTTCTTAAATGCTGAAGTCAAGAAAGTGTCTACAAAGGACATGTATTTTTAAATTCAGGCAGCCCTTATTTTTCTATTTTAAATCTTTAAAGCCAAGATAATTATAATAATAATAATGTCTATGGTCTAAAGTGTATGTATTTTTTATTCAATTCAAAAACATAGTGGAGACCAGATGCTGAGTCTACACTAGGAGTCCTTCAAAACTGAAACAAATTTAAGTGAAAGAAATCTTATACTTAGAGGGGAACTAATCCTTGTTAGATCTAAAAGATCCTATACATTAGAAGAAAACATTGAAGCCAAGGGCTTAAGAGTGGACAGAATGTGGCAAGAATCCTCTTCTCCCATCTCCCTTCCCCATTCCCATTTCCAGTTGCTTAGCCATAGTTTTCTTTGTGCTGTAGCCAACACAGAGTTTTTGTATCAATTTTCCTAATACAAAACCTAAATTTATAGACAAGATGTAATGGAAGAGTTGTATCAAAATCTTCTGGGGAGTTGTTTCCAAATTATTAAGTGACTTGCACATTCTTCCCCTCCCACCTGTCCCCAACACAGATTCTGATATTCTAACATGCACAGAAAGACATATATCCCCAGAGAAACCTAACCTGTTATTGTCAGGGAGGAGAGTAGTCAAGTTAGGCTATGGGACAGAACATAAATACCTTGTGTTCTGACTTATAAGTGGGAGCTAAGCATTGGGTACTCATGGACATGAAGATGGTACCAATAGACACTGGGAACTACTAGAGAAGGGAGGGAAAGTAGAAGACAAGAGTTGAAAACCTCTTGGCTGCTATGCTTGGTACCTGGGTGATGGGATCATTCATACCAAAAATCTCAGCTTCATGCAATATACCCAAGTTATTTCCATAGACATCTTCTCCCATCTTTACTTTCACTTAGATGGGTATCATAGCTTAGAAAATGCTCAACTTAGATTTCTCTGTAGTCAATAGTCTTTTTAGAATGACTGTTTTTAAAAACATAGTGTTTTTCATACAAAATATGGCAGTGTCAAGACTGTATGATTTTCCTTAAAAATGCACACCTGTATTATTTTAGATCTATAAACTCTTATCCAAATAGTGTGTGAACTGTGTTTTTTTAATTAGATAGATAATATATAGTCATGCATTGCTTAGCCATGGGATACATTCTGAGAAATGCGTGATTGGGTGATTTTGTCTGTATATGAACATCATAGAGCATATTTCCACAAACCTAGAAGGTCTAGCCTACTACACACCGAAGCAGTACGGTATAGCCTATTGTTCTAGGTTACAAACCTGTACAGCATGTTACTGTACTCAATACTGTAGGACATTGTAACCCAATGTAAATTTTTGCATATCTAAACATAAAAAAGTATAGTAAAAATACAGCATAAAATATAAAAAATGGTACACCTGTATAGGGTAGCTTCATTATAATCTTATGAGACCACTCATGTATATGCTGTTTGCAATTGACTGTAACACCATTATACATCACAAGAACTGTATTTACTGTAGTGGCAAATATAGTACAACTATACAAATGAGCCTGTGCTGAACATAAACATTTTCTAGTTTATATGACAAATGCTTCACTGACATTGGCATCAAGACATTGACATGGCAGAGAGAAGACAGAGTAGGTGTACAAAAATAAGGACAGTAAGAGAGAAAAAGAGACATTCAGAAGAGAAATAGCATCTTAAAACAAATATGTCTAAGTGCAATTTAAAAGCAGGGTTGTTTGTGATTAACCTCAATGCAAGGATAAAGCGATGCCTCTATTAAGTACATATTACAATCAGAATATTTGCTATCATCTAGAAAAGGCCAGGTACTGATTGATCTTCTCTGGAGAGCAGAGACTAGTAGCAGGCCAGATAGGCTCCCTGGCCAAGCAGAAGAAAAAATTTACACTTTTTTTTTAAACAAGTAGTTCCCATGAATGACTCAGTTTTGTGAAGGAGGAGTGGAAATAAATTAGAATCCTCTAAATATTGAGATTCAATTGCCATAATATGCTTAGGGGCATTGTCATGGAATTGAGTGCCTGGAGGCAGATGAAGGATTTGACCCTCTGCCCTTATCCAGCAGCCCTCCAACTCCAATCTAATGAACACATAGTCATAATTATTTCTCAAATCGTTTTTATCTAATTTTAAAGTGGATAATTTATACCACTTGTATAAAAACGCATTAAGTTTCATTAAAATATTCAGCATTAGTAGAACTTTGAGCAGAATATATTTCTTACAGTTTCAAAAAGTCATACATATTTATAATATTAAACTCTTCAGTTGCTTTAATAATAGAATCTCTATCCCATAGATCTGAATACTAATTTTAATATGCTCCTGTAGTAGAAAGCTATGTGCACAAGAAAATGCATTTGCACTATATACTTTCTAGTTTTGTGCTTATTTCTTTCTTATTAGACTTTCTTTTACTTAAACTTTACTTTTCAGCAGAAGTCTTTTTCCCTTGTTTTTTCTTTTATTTTTGTAAGTTAAAAATACAAGAGCTTGTTAGACCACATTCCGTTAAGGAAATCAGGAGAGGCGCACATCTTAGCCTTCCAGCGTGGTTTGCATTATTTTGATGGGCTCCCTTTTAATTCCAGGCTTTGCCTAATGGGTCATTCATTTTTGAGAATATAAGCATTTAGAGTGAATAATCACGTATGCCCATGCATTGCTAGTCTTTTCTGGCAACTCTGAAAAGAGAAGTGGCCGAACACCAAACTGGCAGAGATTATTTCTGGTGCAAGCTGCCTTCCACAATTCAGTCATGTCAGAGAGCTTTATGAAGTAATAAATTAAGTACTCATAATGCAAGGACTCTAATCAAATGAAGCTGTGATACATCTATCATCTATCTGTCTATCTTTAGAACCCATATCTAAAGTGACTGACGCATAGCACTCTCAAAAGCAGGCAAGTATACATGCATCATAGCTCCCGTTAGCTTGGGAAATTAGACAGCCAACTTTATTGTGAGGAAATATGCTCCATGACACCGGAACTATAGCTCTCTCCTTCCTCAAAGTGCCGTGCAGTCTTTAACTTCTGGCTCACATTGTTACAGTTTCAATGAGAATATAGTGTGAGATTAAAAATATTCCTCTAAAATAATAAGTAAGCTAACACAGAAATCCTGTTATTCTGATCTCCAAGAAATCCAGAAACACAGAAACCTTAAACTATGAACCCTCAGTGGCCTTGTAAAGTAGGGGTATGGAGGATAAATGTGAATATTTGTCACCACATCTTAAAATAGATTTTTCTCCCAGGCTTGGTTAATGTTGAGACTATAGAGGGGTCAAGCACTCCTAGCTTTCAAAATGAGATGCTAAAACATCTAGATGAACCTTGCAACGTAGTAGAGACAACCCAGATTTGCGACACTTCTGCCTTTGCGCAATCTTTACCAATGACTTTAGGGTATAAAAGGATTAAAGTTGGCCACCACAGGATAGTTGAAAATTAGAGAGAGGATTTCCTTAAGGGAAATTCTAAATATGAGAGGATTTTCTCTACTCTCATGGAAAGTAAGATAGGATACTTCAGTTTCACCCCAAAGTTTCGAGAAGACTAAATAGTAGCTGTGATATGTGTGTCTTATGGTTTGTGGCGTGCTGTGGACTGGTATATGTCTCTGCCTAATAAATCAAAAGGGCAAAGGGCTGTAGCTAGAATTGTTCAAGCAGCTAAATGAAAACAGGGTTGATGATGGGTCAAAGTGACCTAGTTATTAGCCTCTTTAGAACTCAACCAAAAAGGATGTCTGGATGTATATAGTAAAGCCCTAGATAAAAGAAGGAATAATAATTAATCAACTGGAGTAGAAGTGTTTGCCTACTTTAAGTGATTTGCTGGTGTTAATTTTCTAAACTCAAGGATGTGATCATAAATTTTATGTGCCAACTTGGCTGAGCTAAGGGATGCCCACATTGCTGGTAAAATATTTTCAGGTATATTTGTCTACTTGCATCCGTAGACTGAGAGAGGAGATCTACCCTCGCCAATGTGGCAGGGATCATCCATTCCAATGGGCCTGTTGAGGGTTTGAATGGAACAAAAGGCAGAGAAAGAGAAAATTATCTCTCTTCTTGACTTGCGACATGCATTTTCTCCTGCCTTCAGGCATCAGAGCTCCTGGTTCTTGGGCTTTAGGACCCTGGGACTTACACTAGTACCTCCACTGCCCCTTCGGATGCCTTTAGTCTCAGACTGAATTACACCACCAGACATCAGATCATGGGAATTCTCATCCTTCATAATTGCATGAGCCAATTCCAGTGTAAAAAATTGGAATTACAACATTTAATTTAAATTTTAAAAATCTTATTTATCTATATCTACATATAACCTTTTGGTTCTGTTTCTCTGGAGAACTCTGACTAATACAGAGTAAATCTGAAACACCTAAGAAAGTGCCCTATAAAAGAAAGCACAAACTTTAAGCATCTGCCATGACCAAAGGAAACCACAACTAGATGGGTACCTGGCCAGGAATGTAATCCCTTTTCTGTTTCCTCAACTCTTTCTTCTTCAACAAAGGAAATGGCATGAGCCAACAAATTGCATACACTCTAGAGTGGGAATTTGGGTGGGAAAATGAGTCATTTTCATCTTTTCCAGTACTCATTTCCTGCTTTAATTTGGGAAGTTTCAAGGTTTTGATTATGACACAGAACTTGACAAGTGAACCCATATTATGACTAAAAGTAATCGGACTTTTAGAAATCTATGAGAGACAAGGAAATCTGTGAGACCTGCTCTAGGTTTCATCTAGAGGCTGGAGAGGAACCAGCCCTTAAGAGCGTGTTCAGATGGTTGGTGTGAGAATGGAATGAACTTGCTGATTATCCTACATATGTCCTGCTTAGTCAGTGTGCCAGTTTCATAGCATTTCCTCTTCTGAGCTGCCAGGGACATTATGAGGACAAAATGAGATAATGAATGTGAAAGTCAGGTTCACTGTAAAGTGTCAGGTGTCTATAACGCACTTTTCAATGCAGTTGAAGAATGAGAGTTGCTTATTACAGTTAGGATCCGATTTACCACGGGCTGTTTTAGTAACAGATACATTTGCAGGAATCCTTTGATGTACAGAGTTCAAAGGAGACAGTAGCAACAATACACAATGAATACTCCCTAAATTCTAAACCAGGGTTTTTCACCCCAGGCCTATGGAAGGGCTATGGTTTGAATGGTGTTTTCAGCTGGGTTCAGAGAAAGACAAGTCTGCCTCTCCAGCGGTTTAACAAGTGAAAGGTGGGAGTGGTCTGTTCTGATGAGGAAACATTCTATCAATCCCATTGTCTAGAATTGCTGGTGCAGGGTAAGTAAAAAGCAAACTGATTTTTTGAATCAGGTTTATTTTTGGTTTTAAATTTTTAATACACAATGCAGTCTCTTATTGCCTGCACTTGGGATGGACTGCTCCCATTGCCTCTCTCTCCTCTATCTTGATAAGTCACCAGGTCAGAACATTGATTTCCTCCACTATTCTAATTCAAGAGATGAAATATTGCTAAACACATTAGCCTGGGTGTGGAGATGAAATGTGTTGAACCTTTGTAAATTCATTTGCTAGATCTTTCTAGCACCTATGCTAGCTAGGCAAGTCTCCTTGCTCCTCCGCTGCTGCCTGCATCTCTCCACATTATGGTACATCTTCATTGGTGAGTATGGTCTTCTCATAATAGGGATAACTGTCCTCAGCCAAAAGCATACAAGTAGCTCCAAGCAAGGGCTCAGGTGGCCTTTGTGAGAGTCAGAAATCTTCCCCTGGCAAATTCAAGTTCAATGGCATTCCAGACATGGGGCCTGTAGTAAAGAAAAGAGTCCAAAGAATAAAAAGACTCCTCTTTTATAAGTTTTTCACATCCAGAGGCAATACTGTTGCACTGTCTGTCAGCACACAAGAGAACCATATTCATTTATGTCCAGGAGATGTCGTGGACTTCAATTGTCTTGAGAAGGGGGAGTCTGGGTGATGGAAAGAACACAGGTTGCAGTGGGCATTACCATCTAAGTGTGAATTCAGATATTGCCATTTACTAGCACAAGGAAATTGTGTTGGTTAATTCATTTATCTGACTAGTTTCTTCGCCTCTGTAATGGTGAGAATAATTCTTGCCTTGGAGCTGCCTAAGGACTCAATGATACAATGGAAGATAGATATCAAAATGACTAAGGTAGTTCCTGCCACTAAGATAGGTGACTGGAGTGCATTTGCCTAATGAGTTGTACTCAAGATCATGCTTGCCATAGAGTAGACACTCAAAAATGCTTTGCCTCCCTGCTTTATTGGAGAGTATATAGTATATCAGACAGAATATAAAAGCATAACATTTTCAGGCAATGTTTTACAAAGAAAGCCAGTTTTTAATGGCCAAGTGAAAATTTCATGCACTTTAAAATCATCACTTTGGTATTTGTATCAGCTTGAGTAAGTTAATCTCTCTTAGTCTTTTTTTTCAACATCTGTAAACAAGAGATGAGAATGCAGGTTTTTTTTGGGGTTTTTTTTTGTTTTTTTTTTTTTTTACAAAATCAAATGATCTATACAAAGCATCTAACAGTGCTTTGCAAACAAAAAGTTTTCAATACAAGCTTTATTTTCCTTATTTAAGTGCTTCTGCTCCATGGGGGTGGAGGTAGAAACAGGATGATCACTGAAGCACAATACTATTTTTAAAATACTTTGGTAATAAAATTATCAATTGGCTGTGGAAACACCTTAATTCTTCTTGGTGTACTATTAATCAAAAATTAAAACCTAGGTTGTCAGTGGGGTAGATCAAAAGCGGTTAAGTCTACAGGGAAAATGATATTCCAGAGAGATAGAGTCCTGTGTTGAACCACACAATAACCGAAGCTGACTATTTTTCATTGGTTTTCCATGAAAATAAAAGACAACACACTGACTACATCAAAATTGTGAAGTGCAGCTGTAGTGAAATCATTACTCAATATATATGCTGATGCTTACTTAAAATGGCACTCCTCCTTAATGCTAAGTCATTGTCAAACTACACATGGTTAGAAATAGAGGGGGACTGTCATCTGCAGATGGTCTGCCATGTTTGGGCATTTTTCAAGTGGCAAGCAAAATGGTCCATTCCATACTTTTTAAGAATGAAGAATTGTTTTTCTCATGGAAATATGCCTTATAGAGATGAAGGGATGATAAGAGATGTTATCTTTGCCTGGAATTGATCAATGAGGAGGCTAAAGTCAAACAGAAAACCCATAGATCTTCTTCAAATGTGCTTGACAACTGAGTTAGAGTCTTTGTGATTGCTTCTAGGCCAACCACACTTCAGTTCAATTTGGCTAACTTTAATGGGCACTTACAAAATACTCTTCCTTAGAAAAGTAGCAATAGGCTTTCAAAAACCATCTGTAAATAAATCTTTATGACTGTATGTAATACATGAATCCAGTTCTATTAAGAAAAGTCCTTAGAGTTACATTTCCATATGTGCTCAAGCATCGACCATTATTTTGTTTGTTTCTCACAACTATTCTTTAACTGAGACATAGTCTTTTTAAAAAGAAAAAATGTTAAAAACGTACAAAAACTAAGGTTCACCTTCTTCCTCTCTGTTTCTTCACATTTACTTACACATGATCTTCCTAGAATAGATTGAGAAGTATGAACTTTCTAATATTTATGGTACATACATACTTCTTTACACTTTAGTAGCTGCAGAGTTTGGAATGAGAGAAATTAAATATTTGATGCTTTATTCACATTTAAACTAGAATATTTTAAATTTCTTCATTTTCTGTAATTTGTTTGCCAGAAAAAAAGTTGTTAAAGAAATACATATACCTACAGGGGGGAAATATGTGTATATTTCCTCAATCTACCTACTACAAGTAGATTCTGATATCTAGAGGCGATCTTTTTTGGCTAAGAACAATTTTAACATATTGCTTCATTGTGAAGATAACATTGATTGATATGTGAATATAAAATTAGAGAAGTCAAGGTCATTAAATTTTCTTGAATAAGAAATGGTGAAACCTAAAAGGATTCAGGATGGGATATTTAACACTAGAGAAGTTGGAGGAGGAGGGACTGGAAAAGAATAGGTGTTTGGTGGCATTTGAGTAAGAGAAATAATCATTCAAATGATGGATAAAAATTTTCTAGTTTGGGGAAGGTAAAATATTATGAGTGGTGCAATAAAACTCCCTTTCTTCTTTTCCCCTATGAAATCTTTAGTAAAATAACTATTTTTTCTTTAGTTCCTAATAGAGTATTTTTTTAATAGAAGTGCTGAGCCCCACTCTCACATTAGAGCAGAACTAGTATGACAGGGTTACATTTATTCAACTATTACATAGATAATCATTTGAAAGCAATATTTTATTCTGACTAATATCAGGAACTATGCTTAGAAGGGAAGAAAGGAAGGAAAGAAAGCTAATAAGAATGTCAGCGATTTTAGTTGGAATTCCAGTATTTCAGTTGGAATTTCAATAAAATAATTGGATAGTTATTGGATAATTGGATATAGTCAATTACATATCTAATTTATATGTATTAAGCATTAATTGTTAATGGTGAAACGGTAAATAGTTCAAGTAGAGACTGATTTTTGAATCTGAAGACACAATCTCTTGAGAAGTGCATAGTTAATAAATTTCAAAATATCTTTCAAAATCAATCTCCTTATTATAGGTAGTCTCAATGTTTTTTTTTTTAATTTTAAGATCAAGGGTATATATACAGGCTTGTTATATATGTAAACTTATGTCATGGAGTTCATTGTACAGATTATTTCATCACCCAGGTATTAAGCCTAATACTCATTAGTTATTTTTCCTGATCCTCTCTCTCCTCTCTCCTCCCATGTGTTCATGCATCCTCATCGTTTAGATCCCACTTATACGTGAGTACATGCTGTATTTGGTGTTCTGTTTCTCCATTAGTTTGCTAATGGATATGACCTCCAGCTTCATCCATGTTCCTGCAAAGGATATGATCTCATTCTTTTATGGCTACATAGTATTCCATGGTGTATAGCTACCATATTTTCTTTATCTAGTCTGCAGTTGAGGGACACCTAGGTTGATTCTACATCTTTGCTATTGCAAATAGAGCTGTGAAAAACATACAGGGGCATGTGTCTTTTTGGTAGAACAATTTATTTTCCTTTCAGTATATACCCAGTAATGGGATTGCTGGGTCAAATGGTAATTCTCTTTTTAGTTCTTTGAGAAATCTCCAAACTGCTTTCCACAGGAGGTGAACTAATTTACATTCCCTTCCAGCACTGTAAAAATGGTCTCCTTTCTTCACAACTTCATCAACATCTGTTATTTTTTGACTTTTTGATAACAGCCATTCTACTGATGTGAAATGGTATCTCACTGTGGTTTTGGTTTGCATCTCTCTGATGATTAGCGGTCTTGAGCATTTTTTTATGTGTTTGGCCACTTGTACATCTTCTTTTGAGAAGTGTCAGTTTATGTCCTCTGCCTATTTTTAAGAGGGATTATTTATGTATTTTTTCTTGTTGATTTAAGTTCCTTATAGATTTTGAATATTAATTCTTTGTCAGATGCATAGTTTGCAAATATTTTCTCCCATTCTATAGATTGTCTGTTTACTCTGTCTTTTGCTGTGCAGAAACTCTTTAGTTTAATTAAGTAACATTTGTCCATTTTTTTTATTTTGTTGCATTTGCTTTCGGAGTCCGCAACATAAATTTTTTGCTTAGGCTGATGTCTAAGAGTATTTTCTAATTTTCTTCTAGGATTTTTATAGTTTAAGGTGTTACATGTAACTCTTTAATCCAATTGAGTTAATGTTTGTATATGGTGAGAGATAGGGGTCCAGTTTTATTGTTCTGAATATGGTTAGCAAGTTTTCCCAGCACCATTTGTCGAAAAGGGTATCCTTTACCCATTGTTTATTTTTGTTGAAATTGTTGAAGATCAGTTGGTTGTAGAAATGCAGCTTTATCTGAGGGGTCTGTATTTTGTTCCATTCATCTCTGTGTCTATTTTTGTACCAGTAGCATGCATTTTGGTTACTGTAGCTTTGTCGCATAGTTTGAAGTCAGGTAATGTGATGCCTCTGGCTTTACTCTTTTTGCTTAGGATTTCTTTGGCTATTCCAGCTTTTTGTTGTTGTTGTTGTTGTTGTTGTTCCATATGAATTCTAGAATGGTTTTTCTAATTCTGTGATAAATGGCATTGGTAATTTGATAGGAATAGCATTGAATCTGTAGATTACTTTGGGCACTATGGACATTTAAATAATACTGATTCTTTCAATCCATGAGCATGGAATTTTTTTTTTCATTTGGTTGTGTTGTCTATGATTTCTTTCAGAAGTGTTTTGTCATTTTTTTTGTACAGATTTTTTACCTTCTTGGTTAGATATATTATTAAGTATTTTATTTTTGTGTGTCTGGCTATTGTAAATTGGATTGAATTCTTAATTTGTTTATCAGCTTGAGTGTTATTGATGTATAGAAATGCTACTGATTTTCGTATGCTGATTTTGTATTCTGAGACTTTGCTGAAGTTGTTTATTAGTCTAGGAGTCTTTTGGCAGAGTCTTTAGGGCTTTCTAGCTATAGAATCATCAGCAAAGAGAGATAATTTGACTTCCTCTTTTTTTCCTACTTGGATGCCTTTTATTTCTTTCTTTTGCCTGATGCTCTGTCCCAGATTTCCAGTTCTATGTTGAATAAGAGTAGTGAGAGAGAGCATCCTTGTCTTAGTCCAGTACTTAGCAGGAATGCTCCAGCTCTTGCCCATTCAGTACGATGTTGGCTGTGGGTTTGTCATAAATAGCTGTTACTATTTTGAAGTATGTTTCTTTAATGCCTAGATTATTGAGGGTTTTTTTTTTATCATAAAGCAATGTTGGATTTCATCAAGTGCTTTTTCTGCATCTATTGAAATGATCATATGCTTTTTGTTTTTAATTCTGTGTATGGGGTGAATCACATGTATTGATTTGCATATGTTGAACCATCCTTGCATCCTAGGAATAAAGCTAATTTGATCATGATGAATTAACTTTTTTTATGTGCTGCTCAATTCGGTTTGCTAGTATTTTGTTAAGGATTTTTGCATTTACATTTATCAGGGATATTGGACTGAAGTTTTCTTTTTTATTGTGTTTTTGTCAGATTCTGGAATCAGGATGATATTGGTTTAGTAGAATGAGTTAGGGAAGAGTCCTTTCTCCTTGATTTTTTGGAATAGTTCCAGAAAAGTTGGTACCAGGTCTTCTTCGTATATTGGGTGGAATTTGGCTATGAATCTGTCCGGTGCAAGACTTTTTTTGGTTATTAGGTTTTTTATTAGTGATTCAACTTCATTGCACATTATTGGTCTGTTCGGGATTTCTGGTTCTTTTTGGTTCAATCTTGGGAAGTTTAGAATTTATCCAGTTCCTCTAGATTTTTTAGTTTGTGTGCACAGTCATGTTCATAGTAGTCTCTGAGGATCTTTTGTATTTCTGTGGTATCAGTTGTGATGCAACCTTTTGTCATTTCTGATTCAGTTTATTTGGATCCTCTCTTTTTTTCTTTTTAAATCTAGCTGACAGTCTATCAATCTTTTTTATCCTTTCAAAGAAAAATCTTTTCATTTAGTTGATCCACTGTATGCTTTTAGTGTTTTAGTTTTATTTTGTTCTGCTCTGATTTTAGTTATTTTCTTTTTTTTGTTGGCTTTGAGTTTAGTTTGCTCTTGTTTTTCTAGTTCTTTTAGGTGCTAGATTAGTGCCTCACACCTGTAATCATGGCACTTTGAAAGACTGTCATGAGAGGATCACTTGAAGCCAGAAGTCAAAGAAGAATCACATTTTTAATTGGCAAAAATTTTATTTTCCAAGAAAAGACAAAGAAAATTACTAGTAAAAACTGTTGAAGAGAGAAAGCAAGATATACATAATAATTGACAAAAAAAATTGATTTTGTAAACTAAAGTTTTAGTAATATGGCTACAGTGTTCCTTTTATGCCATGCCCCAAACAATTTTTATTCTAAATATAAAGTGTGTCTATGTTTAACACCAATGATCTGTTAGATAATAATAATGTTGAGCTATACAAGACTACTGGAATTTTTCAAGAAAATTTTGTGTCATCCCAGTTGGTTTTGCTTCTGAGGTCAAGGGCAATATCTCATTTCCTATTACTGATAACTGAAGTGGAACATTCCTTACATTTTTAAATAAATCATTTAATAAATAAGTATAATGATTATTATTCTGGGTCCCAGGCTAATTTGTATTCTGGTCCTACTAAAGAATAATTTTGTCTTCCATCATGATAACTAAGAAATGTTTCAGGAATTACTCAGTAACAATTTTTGGAAAATGACTGTAGGACATCATAATCAGCCATTTGGGGTATTTTGAAAGCCTTTAGTTTTGTATTTTTCTGGGGAATTTGTGTGTGTGTGTGTGTGTGTGTGCATGTGTGCAAGTGCATACTTGCTTTACATGGCAACTAACACATAGTAAATGCTAAATAATTAATTTATTTTAAAAAATAGTTCTTTTCAGTTTCTGTCCTCTAAATATCTAAGGCTATCAAAAGCATTGCTTTTCTTAGATTCTCAGCCTGGAATCAGCTTGGAATCAGAAAACTCCTTCAAGGGAAAAGTGATCCTTAAAGACAGACTTATCTCTGTCTCATTTTTGTCTTCTATATATTTCTCTCTGACTAGCTTTCAAATGTGTTCTAAGTAGACGTATAAAATTTATATATTTTTTAGTTTTTCTGAAAAGATTGATCCCAATACCAGAAGCAGTGTTACTGAGATTTAGAACATATCCGCTTGTTGAAAGACCCACAGCTAGAGAAACATGTTTAGAGCAATGATTTTAGTTGGACATCAGAAACCCATTGTCCTCTGCAAGTTTTCCTGATTGGTTAGCCCATTGGGCACAACAGGCTTCTCAGATCCCAGCAGTCCTCACACTAGCCAGACTTCCCTAGCTGGACGCACAGGACCCAGCTGATGCCCATCAATCTGATTTACATGATCTGATTAGTTCTTCAATTACATAAGCCTTTATTCAGTTATGATTTAAATGCATTTAGAATAATGATCCTATTTTAATATTTTACAGAAAACCCCAAAGTACACTTATATACCATAGAATTTTAACATTGTGAAATGGCACAGTTAGTTATCTAATGTAAGCCTTTGCCTAACTAAAAACTTTACTGGAAACCTTCCAACATGTATTTACTACCAGTGACTATTTCAGTAAAGCACTCTACCACTATCCAGAGGAACTGCATACTAGTCCCACTAGCATTGAATTCTTGGATGATGTCCATCTTTACTCTGTTTTGGAAATGCCTCCTGAGATCTATAAGAATGATGTTGTCAAAAAATAATGTAAGATCTATGAAAGAAAGAGTTAAGGTTGATAAGTCTGGGGCTAAAAAGCCAAGTATCCCATATGGAATAGGGCCCAGCAAGTAGGAATGTGGGGAGGGAGAGTGGATACAGCAGAGAAAGTAAAGGAATAAAATTGGCAAGGCTGAAGAATATATTACTAATAAGACACATTTCCTAGCAAATTTTGTAGTCTGAGTAGACTATAAATAATGTGTGATCACAGAAATTCTCAGAGTGAACCTATTGCTTTTTAGTAGAAGTGTGGTGGGTTCGGGGGGAGGCTAAATTTCAAGTCAAATGATTCAGTTCTGCCACCAAGGATTAGTATGACCTTGGAAGAACACCCAGTCTCTCTGAGTTTTAACTTCCTTGGCTATATATTAAGGATTTAAATGATCTCCAAGATATTTCCAAGCACAAATATTTTATGATGTCATTCTCTTGAGTCCTTCTATGATGAGAAAGAGCACTCAAGGTAAAAGTCAGATGACTCCATGAAGATGTTAAAAGCAGAACTACCCTAAGCAAAAAGAAGTCAATCTATGTGATGGGATTTAAGAGGAACACAAGACTGTACCTATGCTTTTGGACCTGCTGTAGTGATTTGCCTCCCTCCTGTATGAAAAAATCCTGCAGCATGGCAGCCTTTCTCTTGGTGTTGACAAGATAGAAGCAGCATTTTTAAGAGACCACTTTGGTTGTAAAGCTTATTTATCAAAGACATTTGTCCTTCTTTTTGATCACTGATATTTATATGCTATCAACTTTTATTTTTTGGTACTCCTTGATTATTCTTTCTAATTATTTAATATACATTCCTATGGGATCTTCCCTGGGTTATTTGTGTTTAACTTGTATTTATGACTTTGCTTTTGAAGGGACATTTGGGTATTTCATGAGGTAGTAATAAATTGTTTTAGAATCTTATTTAACACTTGACAGGGAGGACTTAAGTCTTCATCATAAGTCACTCTTCAATATAATGCATTAATAAATGAGACATAAATATAAGTTGATGGAAAAAATAGATATTTTTTCATAAGTAAATTAACAATCTCTAATAACTTTATTAGCATTAGGTGAGTTGATTAATTTTATCTTATTTAAAAATTTCCCATTTTGAATAGTAAAGTGATATCTATGGTTTAAAAAATGCTATTTGTTTTTCTGTCCTTCTTTTTTTTTTTTTTTTTTTTTGAGACGGAGTCTCGCTCTGTCGCCCAGGCTGGAGTGCAGTGGCGCGATCTCGGCTCACTGCAAGCTCCGCCTCCCGGGTTCACGCCATTCTCCTGCCTCAGCCTCCCGACTAGCTGGGACTACAGGCGCCCGCTACCACGCCCGGCTAATTTTTTGTATTTTTAGTAGAGACGGGGTTTCACCGTGTTAGCCAGGATGGTCTCGATCTCCTGACCTCGTGATCCGCCCGCCTCGGCCTCCCAAAGTGCTAGGATTACAGGCGTGAGCCACCGCGCCCGGCCTCTGTCCTTCTTATATTATGTCATTCCCAGATTATCTTGGTTGGTTGCTCCTTTTCAGACCTCCCCTTCTAATTAGTACAGATTTATGCAGACAACGGAGACAAAGCTGGGCATTGCAATGTTCATTGATAACCTGAGGAGTGAGGACGTGGAGGGAAGAGGCCCAAAAGCAGGAACCACACATCCCAAGATAATGGTGTTTTTAAACATATTTTCTAAAGCAATAGATAACAGCATAAATTGTCAAACCAAATAATGTGTAATTTAATAATGTATAGATATATTAATGTGAATTCTTACAAGGGTATTAAACTTATTTCAGATTTAAAAAATCAGCTAAATTGTTAAAAAAAAGTCAATAATAAAACTAATCTGGAAAGTCTAGAATGCCCTATTCCCATTTCTAAGAGTTAATGAGTGTAGGATTACTAGAGAGATATCAAAATGAGGGTGAGGCTATTCAATGTGTGAAGAGGTTGCCACCACTTATTACCTATAGTTTAGTCTCTCTGTGCCTCAGTTAACACTTTTATGAAATGGAATTAATAATAATATCTAACTTTATAAGGAAATTATAAGATTTGATCAATCCATGTAATGCTTTTAAAATAGTGTCTAGCACATGGATTTATTAAATGCTAGCCAGTATGGTTGCCCTTGTTGTAGTTATACGCATCATTATCATATCAGTAAAGAACTGAAGAACATACTCTCTACTTGAGAAATTTAGTGTATGCTATTTTTATTATGGTCTTAGGAGTAAAAAAGATGACACATTCAAATAGGTTTATTGAGAAGAGTTTGATAGAGGGAAAATTTACAAAGTTAGGTAGAACGTATTTTTAAAAAATCAACAGAAGATGGTAGAGTACCCCACGGCTACCAACATTAGGAAAACTTTGTCAAAAAGGAGCAAGAGGAGGGAGTGGTTACTGGAACCCAGAATATGTATCTATAAAAAAGAACGAGGCAATTGTCTGTCAGGAGCTATGATTTTCAGTAGAGCAATGGAGCTAAGCCTTGACAACCTGACAAGGAGAAATTCAGAGAAGGAAAAACCATGATCCTGCACTTACCCATTCTCCAAATACTTGTAGGTGCTTCTCAACAGCCATATCCAAATGGACCCTAAAGGACAAGTGGGTCCTTTCATGCTGTCTATAAAGATTAGCCTCTTGAGCACAAGGAAAGTGGAGAAGGATAGAAAAACAAATGGGAACTGCCCAGAAGAGCTGACCAGACAAAAGGAAATGAAAGTAAATATCAAGGCCATTTTCAAGGACTTTATTCTTCCTCAGAACATGGATTAAGTCTGGGTAGAAAATAAAACTGTTGACCAGGCATGGTGGTTCATGCCTATAATCACAGCACTTTGGGAGGACAAAAATTAGCTGGGCATGATAGCATGCACCTATAATCCCAGCTACTCAGGAGGCTGAAGTGGGAGGATTGCTTGAGCCCAGGGGCAGGAGGTTCAGCTGCAGTGAACTGCGATTGTGCCACTGCTTTTCAGTGTGGGTGACAGAGCAAGAACCTGTCTCACACACACAAAAAAAAAAAAAAAAAGAAAGAAAGAAAGGGAAGAGAAGGGAGAAAAAAAGAAAAGAAAAATAAGAAAAAAGAAAAGAAAAGAAAACAAAGGAAGACTGATATACCAAGGATGGCTGAGAAAACAGATCCCGAGTTCTTTTCTGCCCCAAAAGTATAAGAAAAAGTCTTTTCTAATAGTATTAAGTAAAATTTTATTAATCGAAAACTTAATCCATTTTAAAGCATATATTCTGGGCAAGGCTTTATATTTACATTCCAAAATTCATCTTTTGAGCATAGTAGTTTATTTCTATTAAAATTTTAATACCTCTGAATGGACAATCTATTTAACCAAGTTTTAATATTTTATATTTCCACATGAAAGAAAAGTTTGAAGTCATGTCAAGGATTAAAAGAGAGGAAAGTGGTATCTGGCCTCAGGAAAGAGCACAAAAAGGTAAGCATAGAAAGTCACCTTGCATACTTCATGGTTTCCATAGGTCAGTTTATTTCTTCTCTCATAAAACAATAAACAAATAAACAAGAACTCTTTAGTAGTTTACATTTACTATAAGTTAGGTAATATATGACATGAAAAAAACAGCGCCATGCCATTGAGTTACTCCCAAGTAGACCAATGGCAGAGCTAGAATAGTCTCTCAAGCAAGAGTTCTGAAGAGCACGGCCCTTACATGTTTGTATTGATACCTTTCTTCTCATTTCTTGAATACAATTTTCTAGAGTATATCTATCATATTTTTTCTAAGACAAACATATGTCTGTGTATCTACAATTTTTTCTGATGCATAAGTTGTTTAGTTATACTTTCATTTGTATTGATAGTCTCTTGTTCCTTTTGGGTTTAGGTTTTTTTTCTTATTCATCTTGCTTTTAATTTACTTAATTTATGTGCATTACTTAATTAATAATATCAACACTTAAGGCTCGGAATCTGTCTCTGAGCCTCTTCATTGGGCAAATCTCAAGAGTATATAAATAGGACATTCATTATTGCAATTTCTAAAGTTGTTGAGCTTTACATTTTTATTTTCAATTAGACAAACATGGATATTTTTATCTTCATAGTAGTTGAATTCTTTTCAAAATGTATTTTTCAACTAGTTGGTAGTTGTATTACATTGTAGTCATAAAATGATATCAATATAATGGCTGTTTTCTAGTGGACATATATCTGGTCCCAGGATTTCTCTAGACTCTTAAAAATTATTGAGAATCATAAAGAGCTTTTATTTGCATGGGTTACTATTTATCAATACTTTCTGGATTAGAAGTTAAAACTCTGATAAATGACTTCAACAAAGTTTCAGGATACAAAATCAATATCGCTAAATCAGTAATATTTCTACATATTAATAATGTTCAAACTGAAAGCAAAATCAAGAACACAACCCAATTGCAATGGCTACGTAGGAATACATCTAACAAAGGAGGTGAAAGAGCTTTATAAGAAAAACTACAAAGCACTGCTGAATGAAATCATAGATGAAACAAGTAAATGGAAAAACATTCCATGCTCATGTATTGGAAGAATCAATATTGTTAAAATGTCCATTCTCCCCAAAGCAATCTACAGATTCAATGCTATTCCTATCAAACTACCAATGTCATTTTTCAAAGAACTAAAAAAAACTAGTCTAAAGTTTGTATCAAACCAAAAAAGAGCCTGAATAACCAAAGCAATTCTAAACCAAAAGAACAAAGCTGGAAACATCACATTACCCAACTTTGAACTATACAGTAAGGCTACAATAACCAAAACAGTATGGTACTGGTACAAAAACAGACATATGGACCAATGGAAAAGAACGGAGAACCCAGAAATAAAGCCACATACCCACAGCCATCTAATTTTTTAACAAAGTGGAAGAAAAAATAAACAATAGGAAAAGGACTCCTTATTCAATAAATAGTGTTGGGATAGCTGGCTAGCCATATGTATAAGAATGAAATAGGACCTCTACCTTTCACCGTATAAAGAAATTAACTCAATATGGATTAAAAATTTAAATATAAAGTCTCAAACTATAAAAATCCTACAAGAAAGCCTAGGAAACACCATTCCAAACATCAGCCTTGAGAAAGAATTTATAACTAAGTCCTCAAAAGCAATTACAACAAAAACAAAAATTAACAAGTGGGACCTAATTAAACTAAAGAACTTCTGCACAGCAAAACAAACTATCGACAAATTAGACAACCTACAGAATGAGAGAAAATATTTTCAAACTACACATCTGACAAAGGTCTAATATCCAGAATCTATAAGGAACTTAAGTAACTGAACAGGCAAAAAACAACCCCACTAATAAATGGGCAAAGTCATGAACAGACACTTCTCAAAAGAAGACATATGAGCAGCCAACAAACATATGAAAAAAACGTTCAACACCACTAATCATCAGAGAGATATCAAAACCACAATGAAATATCATCTCACACTAGTCAGGATGGCTATTATTAAAAAGTCAAAAAAAAAAAAACCCACAAAAGATGTTGGCAAAGCTGTGGAGAAAAATAAACACTTATATACTGTTGTCAGAATGTAAATTAGTTCAGCCCCTGTGGAAATGAGTTTGGAGACTCCTCAAAGAACTTAGAACTACCACTCAACCCACCAATCCCATAACTGAGTATATACACAAAAGAAAACAAACCTTGCTACCAAAAAACACACACACACTCGCACGTTCATTGCAGCACTATTCGCAATAGTAAATACATGAAATCAACCTAGGTGACCATCAATGGTGGATTGGATAAAGAAAATGTGGTACATATACATCATGGAATACTATGAGCAATACTAAGAACAAAGAATGAAATCATCTTCTTTGCAGCAGCATGGATGCAGCTGGAGGCTGTTATCTAAAGCAAATTAACACAGAAAGAAAACCAAATACCACATGTTCTCATTTATGAGTGGAAGCTAAACATTTGGTACTCATGGAGATAAAGATGGCAACAATAGACACAGAAACTACTGGTGGAGTTGGCAAAGGTTGAAAAACTAATTATTGAGTACTATGCTCAGTACCTGGATGACAGGATATCATAGTTCTAGAATGTAGTTCTGGTGTAGGATTGCTAGAGAGATATGAAAATGATGGTTAGGATATTCAAAGTGTGAAGAGGTTGCTGCCATGTACTAGCTATTGCTTCATCGCTCTGTGCCTCAGTTTACCCTTTTATAAAATGGTATTAATAATAATACCTGGGATTCCTGGGCAAGATGGCTGAACAGGAAGAGCTCTGGTCTGCAGCTCCCAGCGAGATCAATGCAGAAGGCAGGTGATTTCTGCATTTCCAACTGAGGTACCCAAATCATATAACTGGGACTGGTTAGACAATGGGTGCAGCCCACAGAGGGCAAGCCAAAGCAGGGTGGGGCATCACCTCACCCAGGAAGCACAAGGGGTCAGGGAACTCCCTCCCCTAGCCAAGGGAAGCCTTGAGGGACTGTGCCATGAGGAATGGTGCATTGTGGCCCAGATACTACGCTTTTCCCATGGTTTTCCTAACTCACAGACAAGGAGATTCCCTTGGGTGACTACACCACAAGGGCCCAGGGTTTCAAGCACAAAAAACTGGGCAGCCATTTGGGTAGACACTGAGCTAGCTGCAGGAGTTTTTTGTTTTTTTTTTTTTTTTTTTTTATTCCAGTGGTGCCTGGAATGCCAGCAAGACAGAACTGTTCAATCCCCTGGAAAGGGGACTGAAGCCAGGAAGCCAAGTGGTCTTGCTCAGCAGATCCCACCCCTACAAAGCCCAGCAAGCTAAGATCCACTGGCTTGAAATTCCTGCTGCCAGCACAGCAGTCTGAAGTCAACCTGGGACGCTAGAGCTTGGTGGGTGGAGGGGCGTCTGCCATAAATGAGGCTTGAGTAGGCGATTTTTCCCACACTGTGTAAACAAAGCCACTGGGAAGTTCGGACTGCATGGAGCCCACCACAGCTCAGCAAAGCCACTGTAGCCAGACTGCCTCTCTAGATTCCTCCTCTCTGGGCAGGGAGTCTCTGAAAGAAAGGCAGTAGCCCCAGTCAGGGGCTTATAGATAAGATTATTTGAAAATTCTTATGTATATGAAACCAACCTATCATATTGCACTTTGGTCTTTTTTCTGCTACTTTTTTTTCAAATGTGAGCCTAATACCAATAAATATTAAAATACAGCTATTTTATTAAAAAAAAATCCCATCTCCTTGGGACAGAGCACCTGGGGGAAGGGGCAACTGTGGGTGCAGTTTCAGCAGACTTAAACTTTCTGGCCTGCCAGCTCTGACGAGAGCAGTGGATCTCCCAGCACAGCACTCAAGCTCTGCTAAGGGGCAAACTGGCTCCTCAAGTGGATCCCTGACCCTCATGCCTCCTGACTGGGAGACATCTCCCAGCAGGGGTCAACAGACATCTCATACAGGAGAGCTCCAGCTGGCATCAGGAGGCTCCCCCTCTGGGACAAAGCTTCCAGAGGACAGAGCAGGCAGCAATCTTTGCTGTTCTGCAGCCTCTGCTGGTGATACCCAGGCAAACAGGGTCTGGAGTGGACCCCCAGCAAACTCCAGCAGAACTGCAGAAGAGGGGCCTGTTAGAAGAAAACTAACAAAGAGAAAGCAATAGCTACAGCATCAACAAAAAGGACCACCATGCAAAACCTCCACCCAAGGGTCATCAACAGTAAAGACCAAAGGTAAATAAATCTACAAAGATGAGGAAAAAACAGCACAAAAAGGCTGAAAATTCCAAAAACCAGAATGCCTCTTCTCCTCCAAAGGATCACAACTCCTTGCCAGAAAAGGAACAAAACTGGACAGAGAATGAGTTTGATGAATTGACAGAAGTAGGCTTCAGAAAGTGGGTAATAACAAACTCCTCTGAGCTAAAGGAGCATATTCTAACCTTATGCAAGGAGGCTAAGAACCTTGATAAAAGGTTAGAGGAATTGCTAACTAGAATAACCAGTTTAGAGAAGAACATAAATGACCCTATGGAGCTGAAAAACATAGCATGAGAACTTTGGGAAGCATATACATGTATCAGTAGCCAAATTGATCCAGTGGAGGAAAGGATATCAGAGATTGAAGATCGATTTAATGAAATAAAGTGTGAAGACAAGATTAGAGAAAAAAAGTATGAAAAGAAATGAACAAAGCCTCCAAGAAATATGGAACTATGTGAAAAGACCAAACCTACATTTGATTGGTGTATCTGAAAGTGACAGGGAGAATGGAATCAAGTTGGAAAACACACTTAAGATATTATCCAGGAGAACTTCCCCAACCTAGAAAGACAGGCCAACATTCAAATTCAGTAAATACAGAGAACACCACAAAAATACTGCTTGAGAAGAGCACCCCCAAGACACATAATTGTCAGATTCACCAAGGTTGAAATGAAGGAAAAAATGTTAAGGGCAATCAGAAAGAAAGGTTGGGTTACCCACAAAGGGAAGCCCATCAGATTAACAGCAGATCTCTCTGCAGAAACCCTACAAGCCAGAAGAGAGTGGGTGCCAATATTCAACATTCTTAAAGAAAAGAATGTTCAACCCAGAATTTCATAGCCAGCCAAACTAAGCTTCATAAGTGAAGGAGAAATAAAATCCTTTACAGACAAGCAAATGCTGAGGGATTTTGTCAACACCAGGCCTGCCTTACACGAGCTCTTGAAGGAAGCACTAAATATGGAAAGGAAAAACTGGTACCAGCCACTGCTGGTACCATCGACAAATCAAAATCTAAAGACTGTAACACTATGAAGAAACTGAATCAACTACCAGGCAAAATAACCAGCTAACATCATAACGACAGGATCAAATTCACACATAAAAATATAAACCTTAAATGTAAATGGGCTAAATGCCTCAATTAAAAGGCACAGACTGGCAAATTGGATAAAGAGTCAAGACCAGGACGGGCGCTGTGGCTCACGCCTGTAATCCCAGCACTTTGGGAGGCCGAGGCAGGTGGATCACGAGATCAGGAGATCGAGACCATTCTGGCTAACATGGTGAAACCCCATCTCTACTAAAAATACAAAAAATTAGCTGGGCATTGTAGCAGGCGCCTGTAGTCCCAGCTACTCAGGAGGCTGAGGCAGGAGAATGGCGTGAACCTGGGAGGCAGAGCTTGCAGTGAGCTGAGATCACGCCACTGCACTCCAGCCTGGGCAACAGAGTGAGACTCTGTCTCCAAAAAAAAAAAAAAAAAAGGAATCAAAACCAATCTGTGTGCTGTATTCAGGAGAACCATCTCATGTGCAAAGACACACATAGGCTCAAAATAAAGAGATGCAGGAAGATTTACCAAGCAAATGGAAAGCAAAAAAAGCAGGAGTTGCAATCCTAGTCTCTGATAAAATAGATTTTAAACCAACAAAGATAAAAAAGACAAAGAAGGGCATTACATAATGGTAAAGTGATCAATTCAACAAGAAGAGCTAACTATCCCAAATATATATGCACCCAATACAGGGGCACCCAGATTGATAAAGCAAGTCCTTAGAGAAATACAAAGCAACTTAGACTCCCACACAATAATAATGGGAGACTTTAACACCCCACTGTCAATCAATATTAGACAGATCAATGAGACAGACAATTAACAAGGATATTCAGGACTTGAAGTCAGCTCTGCACTAAGCAGACCTAATAGACATCTACAGAACTCTACACCCCAAATCAACAGAATATACATTCTAGTCAGCACCACATCGAACTTATTCTAAAATTGATCACTTAAGAAGTAAAAACCTCCTCAGCAGATGCAGAAGAACAGAAATCATAACAAACAGTCTCTCAGACCATAGTGCAATCAAATTAGAACTCAGGATTAAGAAACCCACTCAAAACCGCACAATTACATGGAAACTGAACAACCTGCTCCTGAACGACTACTGGGTAAATAACGAAATAAAGGCAGAAATGAAGATGTCCTTTGAAACCAATGAGAACAAAGACACAACGTACCAGAATCTCCGGGACACATTTAAAGCAGTGTGTAGAGGGAAATTTATAGCACTAAATGCCCACAAGAGAAAGCAGGAAAGATCTAAAATGGACACTCTAACATCACAATTAAAAGAACTAGAAAAGTAAGAGCAAACAAATTCAAAAGCTAGCAGAAGGCAAGAATAAACTAAGATCAGAGCAGAACTGAAGGAGATAGAGACACAAAAAACCCTTCAAAAAATCAATGAATCCAGGAGCTGGTTTTTTGAAAAAAGCAACAAAATTGATAGACTGCTAGCAAGACTAATAAAGAAGAAAAGAGAGAAGAATCAAATAGATGCAATAAAAAATAATAAAGGGGATATCACCACCGATCCCACAGAAATACAAACCACTGTCAGAGAATAGTATAAACACCTCTATGCAAATAAACTAGAAAATCTAGAAGAAATGGATAAATTCCTGGACACATACACCCTCCCAAGAATAAACCAGGAAGAAGTTGAATCTCTGAATAGACCAATAACAGGTTCTGAAATTGAGGCAATAATTAATAGCCTACCAACCAAAAAATGTCCAGGACCAGACAGATTCACAGTCGAATTCTACCAGAGGTACAAAGAGGAGCTGGTACCATTCCTTCTGAAACTATTCCAATCAATAGAAAAAGAGGGAATCCTCCCTAACTCATTTTATGAGGCCAGCCTCATCCTGATACCAAAGCCTGGCAGAGACACAACAAAAAAAGAGAGTTTTAGACCAATATCCCTGATGAACATCAATGCGAAAATCCTCAATAAAATACTGGCAAACCAATCCAGCAACACATCAAAAAGCTTATCCATCACAATCAGGTCGGCTTCATCCCTGGGGTGCAAGGCTGATTCAACATATGCAAATCAATAAACGTAATCCATCACATAAATAGAACCAATGACAAAAACCACATGATTATCTCAATAGATGCAGAAAAGGCCTTTGACAAAATTCAACAGTCTTTCATGCTAAAAACTCAATAAACTAGGTATTGATGGGACATATCTCAAAATAATGAGAGCTATTTATGACAAACCCACAGCCAATATCATACTGAATGGGCAAAAACTGGATGCATTCCCTTTGAAAACCGGCACAAGACAAGGATGCCCTCTCTCACCACTCCTATTCGACATAGTGTTGGAAGTTCTGGCCGGGCAATCAGGCAAAAGAAAGAAATAAAGGGTATTCGATTAGGAAAAGAGGAAGTCAAATCGTCCCTGTTTGCAGATGACATGACTGCATATTTAGAAAACCCCATCATCTCAACCCAAAATCGCCTTAAGCTGATAAGCAAATTCAGCGAAGTCTCAGGATACAAAATCAATGTGCAAAAACACAAGCATTGCTATATACCAATAATAGACAAACAGAAAGCCAAATCATGAGTGAACTCCCATTCACAACTGCTACAAAGAGAATAAAATACCTAGGAATAAAACTTCCAAGGGATATGAAGGACCTCTTCAAGGATAACTACAAACCACTGCTCAAGGAAATAAGAGAGGACACAAACAAATGAAAAAATATTCCATGCTCATGGATAGGTAGAATCAATAGTGTGGAAATGGCCATACTGCCCAAGGTAATTGATAGATTTAATGCTATTCCCATCAAGCTACCATTGCCTTTCTTCATAGAATTTGACAAAACTACTTTAAATTTCACATGGAACCAAATAAGAGCCCATAAGGCCAAGACAATCCTAAGCAAAAAGAACAAAGCTGGAGGCATCGTACTACTTGGCTTCAAACTATACTAGAAGATTACAGTAACCAAAATAGCATGGTACAGGTACCAAAACAGATATATAGACCAAAGGAACAGAACAGAGGCCTCAGAAATAACACCACACAACTACAACCATCTGATCTTTGACAAAGTTGACAAAAACAAGCAATGGGGAAGGATTCCCTATTTAATAAATGGTGTTGGGAAAACTGGCTAGCCGTATGCAGAAAACTGAAACTGGACCCCTTCCTTACACCTATATAAAAATCAACTCAAGATGGATTAAAGATTTAAATGTAAGACCTAAAACCATAAAAACCCAGGAGAAAACCTAGGCAATACCATTCAGGACATAGGCAAGGGCAAGGACTTCATGACTAAAACACCGAAAGCAATTGCAACAAAAGCCAAAATTGATAACTGGGATCTAATTAAACTAAAGAGCTTCTGCACAGTGAAAGAAACTATCATCTGAATGTACAGACAACCTACAGAATGGGAGAAAATTTTTGCAATCTATCCATTTGACAAAGGACTAATATCTAGAATCTATAAGGAACTTAAACAAATTTACAAAAAAAAAAAACAAACGACGCCATCAAAAAGTGGGCGAAGGATATGAACAGACACTTCTCAAAAGAAGACATTTATACAGACAAGAAACATATGAAAAAAAGCTCATGATCACTGGTCATTAGAGAAATGCAAATCAAAACCGCAATGAGATACCATCTCACACCAGTTAGAATGGCGCTCATTTAAAAGTCATGAAACAACAGATGCTGGAGAGGATGTGGAGAAATAGGCATGCTTTTACACTGTTGGTGGGAGTGTAAATTAGTTCAATCATTGTGAAAGACAGTGCAGCTATTCCTCAAGGATCTAGAACCAGAAATATCATCTGACCCAGCAATCCCATTACTGTTACCTAAATCAACTCCACTCGCATTCTGCCTCCTGCTTTTATCTCTGAGAGTAGATTCCACCAACTTTCCATTGCTGTATTAATCCACATTCTTTCTCCTAATAACTGTGTTATGAATTGACCCTGTAGCAATAAAATCTGACCCTTCTCATCACATTGAGTTAATATGCATTGAAATGCTGCTTTATCTGATGTTTTATCTCCTCCTTCTTTCCCTTTCATTCTTTCCCTCTCCATTTCCTCTTTCCTAATTTGTTTTGTACATATGTTAGCTTAATCATTTACTCATGAATTTTTTGAGTCACATTTAAAGACTTATTTCTATAATTATAAAAATTAAGAATTACACATTATCTAATATGTTCTCTTAGTGTAAAAAGAGTTAAATCAGTATACTTTTTCTTCCTCCTAAAATTTTGTTATTTTTTACCTTCTAGTTTTTATAAGGCATAATCTAAGACTTCCAGTAAGTTTATTCTTGTCAAGTTATCATTTCTAATATTCTATTTATATATTTTATTCAAAGAACTATTTATGACATACAATTATCTATATACAAGGTATGTTTAAATGAAATATCATTATGTTTAAATGAATGCAATTCTCACATTTACTTCTATAGCATGGCTTTTTTTTTTTTTTTTTTGAGACAGCATTTCGCTCTTGTCACCCAGGCTGGAGTGCCATGGCACGATCTCAGCTCACTGCAACCTCCACCTCCCGGGTTTAAGCGATTCTCCTGCCTCGGCCTCCCAAGTAGCTGAGATTATAGGCATCCACCACCATAACTGGCTAATTTTTTGTATTTTTAGTCGAGACGGGGTTTGCCATGCTGGTCAGGCTGGTCTTGAACTCCTGACCTCAGGTGATCTGCCCTCCTCAGGCTCTCAAAGTGGTGGGATTACAGGCATGAGCCACTGTGCCCGGCCCCAGTGGCTTTTTTTTTTTTTTTTTTTTTTTTTTTTGAGACGGTGTCTCGCTTTGTCGCTCAGGCTGGAGTGCAGTGGTGTGATCTCGGCTCACTGCAAGCTCCGCCTAGTGGCTTTTTTATTTGGGAGTTCTTTATATTGTTTTATTAATCATTAGCCTAAAATAGGTCCTTGTGCATTTTCTTAGTGGAAAGAAACACAGGCATTGTATTTGTAGAGTTTGTATGTCTGATTTTTCCTATTTTCTTACATATTAATATCAACCTTAATGAGAAACTAATATCTTTGCCTTCTTCAGCAGCTTTTTTAAGTTGTGCAGACATTAGTCTATTCTTCTGGCATCTAATATTAAAGAAGAGTTTGAAGCCATAGTTGATATTTATTTTCTTGTAGATAACTTGATTTTCTTCATGAATTCTCATAATACTTTCACATTTCAAAATGCTACCAGGTTGTGTTATTTCTTCACTCTCCCTTCCCCTGACAAAATTTTAGACTTTTCCCCTGACATAAACTGGATGAGATTACTTTTGATTTACCATTCAATAGTGCAGAAATCTGAGGTTCCCTAAATTTTAGCTGAGTGTCGCCCCAGAAAGGAAATGTTGACTCTGTGCTTTCTTCTTTGGGTTTTATGAGCCTGTTGACATAAGCAGAACCTTCCTAAACCTAATTATGTATTTAGTCTAAACTAGACCAGATTTGAGATATTCAGCCTCTTTTCTCATGCTACAGAATGAAACAGCTTCAGATAGAGTCCAAGAGACAGAGAAACCATACGTCTCCCTGAGTTTCCATTTGGTGTCATTATGTTTGCCCCTGAACAATCATTTTCTCAAGAATTTAGAGGAAAAATCACAGGGAACTTGCTGGAAATTTACATTCTTAAGCCTCATACCAGAGCTTCTTAATCAGAATAACTGGGTGTAACTTGAAAGATCTTCAATGTTTTTGGTTTTTTGTTTTTTTTTTGTAAGCAACCCGGGACTAAGTGATGGAAGACAGTGCCCTGGGATCTCACAACAAGAACTAGTTGGGTGCCCCTATTCCGACACCTACCTTTGCCTTTATTTCTTTGTCCCATGGAATTAGGACAAGTGTCTGCCAAATTCTTACTAATGCCCCTCAGCACTACACTGTTTTCCCATGAAAGAGAAATTGTGAGTGGGCCCTTGGTATCACCCTTGAATTCTGCCTCATCTTCATTCTGGAAGAATTAGAAGGAAGACCTCCTTCCCAAAAGAATTTCCAGCAACAAAATAGACTCTTCTGTATTTTCCTAGTTCTTTTATCATTATTAGCCAAGATATGCATGCATGGAACATTAGTAAGTTGAACATGAGTTGAAATTTTATTCTAAAAACCTTCCTAATACAATTTAAAATTTTTAAAAGTTCATGTTGATGGACTGCTGAATGAAGTGTATCTTCCTGTGGAAGACGTTGTTTATTATAATATCAATATCTTTCTACATGCATCAAAATGCCAGGTCTTCTTATGTTCATGTAACCTAAAAATCTTAAATAACTCCTGTTCTATCTCACTTGGACACCAAATGCTGACACATCTTACCTTAGCTAACTGTTATCTGCCACACATTATACATGCTATACATCAATTCTATTTAAGCACAAAAAGAAGAACCAAAAAATTACGCAGATTTTCAGGACATAGTGTTCGATGACATCTTGATGAGAATACCAAGTCCTGGGCGTTGGCAGAATCAGATGTTTTACTGTCTTGTCCAGGTAACTATATGAATGGGATTTCTAGAACTCATCTGCAGTGTCATCACAATAAATGGGCCCACTAACCATCATTAAAGAGACAGCCACCCTACATAGATAGTGTGGGTATTATTATGAATGGAAAGAGTTGGCAAGAAAGAGGGAACAGTGGAAGAAGGAGAGATACTGAAATTCAAAGCCTATTGGCTCAGACAGTAAGACAAAAAAAAAAAAAGAAAAAAGACAAGCTCCAGGAACACTAGCTGACTTGGGGGCCTTGCATGAATTTGGCAAAAAGCAGAAAGCGGAAAAACAAAAACAAACAAACAAACAAAAACAAGAAGTACTGCATTGAAGGCAGGGGCCCAAGTTACCTAGGTCTAAGGGTGGTAATGTTATAATCACACAAAGGTGCAGTATGCAATAGAAGCTTTAAACCTAGGTATCGCATTCACTGAAAACGTTTTCAGCTAAAGTGTCTCCTTCAATTAGTGCTGTTCAAAATAAAATAATTGGGAAAGTACATGACCCATAATATGTGAGGCTTTTAAGATTCTGACACAGAACAAATTACTTTTCGGGTGAAAAATTTTAGGAAGGTATTTTGGTCATCTATTTTTGTATAACAAATTACCCCCAAACATAAAAGTTTAAACACTATCCCTTTTGGTTACTAGCTCACCTTTGTGACTTGGACAGGCTTGTTAGAGAGAACCTGTCTTGGCCCCTGGTAGTGTCACCCATGATGGCTCAGCTTGGGCCATCTATCTCGGACTTCAGTTTTCACTGTTGTTTAGGTTTCTCAGTTCCCCTCCCTGTGGTTAGCTTGGACTTCCTCACAATATGGTAATCTCGAGTCAGTCAGACTTTTTGCATGGTAGCTAGGTTTCTGCAGAATGCAAAAATAAACATTACCAGGTCTTCTTAAGGCATAGACATGGAGCTGGCAAACAGTTGCTTCTGCCACATTTTATTGATTAAGGTATATTAAAGGGCCAGCCCAGAATCAAGGGGAGGGGTCCGAATGAGGACATATATTCGCAGAGGCATAGTTTATTAGAGCACCCAAATACCAATTAACTACAGAGGGAAAAATTTTTCTTTATATCCAGACAAATATGGGTGAGTATTTAGTTGTCTAAAGAAATGTGTCTATATTTTAAGTATTTCTTCAAAAAGTCACGTGACCTAGTACTCAAAGTCATCGAACTAAAATTTATGATTTGATACTATTAATAGCATAAATTTTCTGCAGAAACAGAAAAACCACAAAGGTTTAAGATTGCATTGTGAAAGTAACAACAGCTGTTAAAAAATGAAAGTAGTAAAAATTTAAGCAAGGGTCGGCATAAATTTCATTCACAAACCTCTCAGAAAAGTGAAATAAGTTGATGTCGATGACTCTACATAAAATAGTGACATAAAATGGAATGAAATCAATTGTTATAGATAATCCTTTTTCAAAAAAGCCGCATAATGCATCTCCTTTCTGTTATTTGTGTGTGTGTGTGTGTATCCTTGAGTAATGTAACTATTCAGTTTAGGAATATATTCCCAGACAGCATTAAGAGAGACTGCTTTTTTAAGCCGAGAAGGAAAAAGTCTAAACTCTCAGCATCTGTCAGGATCTTATGGAAAAGAGTCAGACAATTTTTAGGTATTTAAGAATAATAACTAAATTAATATGTAGTCAAATAACAGTGGGACTGAGCTTACATACTGTTGTATTTAAGAAAAAATGGTGTGAAGGCAATTTGTAAAGAAATATAAAATGTATTTTTAAGGTAGTAAATGTATTAGGTATAATAGAACTTTACCCAAATTTGTTGTGGAATAAAGTTCTCTGTTCCACTGAATATTATAAATTAATATAACTTGGATGATTCAAAAGCTTAAAAAGTTTTTGAATAATCATTGTAAGCATTCATTCAAATTCAATACCAATGTAAATATATTTGAATTTTTTTAATTTGCAAAACAATTTTGCTTATATTACCTACATAATGCTTGCAACTACTCTGTAGAGTAGTTCTTCCAATTTTTGTTTTAGTGATCAAATGAAATACTCTCTTAACTGGCCACAGTTTTTTCTCCAATTTTAGAGTTCATTCTCTACTATAAAAGTTCAACATATTATTGTTTGGCACAGTGGTATTGTCTAATACATTTGCCCTGAATCAATAGAATGATGTTACGTGAGGGTGCCAGAAGGCCAATGTAAGGACAGAGTTTACAGGACATGATAAGAAGATTCCAGCACACCGGCTGACTCTTACCACAGGTCCCACATGGCAACAGCTGATTGAGTGGGTTGGCCACTGTTCCTCCTCTTGCAGGGAGCAGGCACGCTTTGAAAAAGGACTTAGGATCTCATGTTTGCTATAATACCACCACTGTATTTCTGGCGATCTTGGCTCCTTTCTTCAAGTTTTACAGCCTCTGACCTAAAGTAAAAATGGCAATTAGAAATTCATTTACTGAAGTTAAATTGTACAAAAGAGTTCATTCTACTCTACCGTTAGTTACAGAAGTCAATTTTTTGACAGAAGATTGGATGAATATGGGTTCTACATGCAGACCAGCCTTAAGGGCAGTAGGCCTGGGTAGGATGTTCCAGTGCTGAGTAAACACTGGGGAAGGAGGCTGAGGGTAAACAGGAGACAGCCTTGGATCATAGACACCAGGAGAAGGGAGAGCTTCTCAAGTTGGAGAGGACACTTGAACAGACAGAATGAAGTCATTAGTGCATGTCAAACATCTTGCTGAGATTTTAGGGGGTAGTCTGAGCCAGGGATAAGATTGATACTGATTTCTCAGTATTTTCCATGATATAATTGTATGTTAAGGAGGTTTGACAGAAAGTTACCTACTTAAATCACATCACTTTCTATTTTGTTATTGTATTTTTTTTTCCATGGGAGCTGATAAAATCTGCCTACAAAAATCAGTTTTAAATAGGGTTAGTTATAAATCTTCTGAGATCTGAAAAATTTGTTACAGAAAGAATTTCTCTGAATTACTTTTTTTCCCCAATCAAGGGTGTATACATTTGACCAAATAATGCCCTTTATACGAAGACTCTGATTAATTTCTTTCAAATCTCTAGACCAAGAAAATACTTGTTTCTACAGAGAAGTTGACACATTTTATTCTACTATGTTTCTGAACGTTTAGTTTTTCTCTTTCCCATGGTTTCTGGGATGCTTAGAGCTAATATTTTTATGAAATTGTGCAGGTTTATGAAACACAAATTTTTGAAATTTTTTTAGCTTTTCCTCACCCTTTGATGACTGATTTGCCCACTTAAAGAAAAACAAATCTCGTACTAATTTGTGTATTACAGAACTTTGGAGTTTTATTGGTTGTTAACTCTCTTCTAGAAGTGTGAATAAATCATTTTCATATACATATTTCTAAATTTTTCCTAGGGATACCACTGAACTCAAAGTAATGTGTTTGACTAATTATTGATAATCACTTAACACAGTTGTCAAATTTCTTTCTTCGGTTTTTGAGATTTGAAGTTAAAAGAGAAATTATGTTATTCCTTGTTGAGAATGTACCCTTTCTGTGTTACTGAGTCAGTCACTTAATTTATCTTGTATTTTCATTTGTAATATAAAATCAAGGATGTCTATTTCTCTGAATTCTGAGCATATCCAATGAGATAATATATTTGAAACATTTTGTAAGCTATAAAGTGGTAACGTAAACTGTTATTATTAATTCCTCATAAATTAAAGCACAGGAAAGCTAACATTTTGACAATTTTATTCAAAATTAATTGGAATTTACAAATGTATGTATGCAACATGTTGGGATTTAAATATCTTGTTGAAATTAATATACAAAACAATCGTTTAAGTAAATTTCTTTAAGTGGCTTAATGTCTGTCAGTCAATCAAAGAAATAACAACCTTTGCATAGGTAGTGCTATCTGCTCAGCCTTAAAGAGCAATGAATACATTTTTATCAATTTCATTCATTTACTTGACTTTTCTCTTTCCTCAAAACTATGCTTCATTTGAACAATATTTTTAATATGTATTTTGTTTTCTATTTATATGGTTACCACTGTATTTCTCAAATGTTCATCACCTTTATCTGAATCAAAGTTGTCTATCTTTAATCACCAGCCCTAACATGCAGAGAATCCATCTACACAATTGCCAAAAACGTCACTTCATAATGATCCAAGCATAAATTGACACATTATAAACTTGATTTGTTAGTAATCATATAGAGGAGTTAACATTTTAAAAATAAAATTAGATCCCTCCTCCTTGCTCTTCTCTGTAGTAGCAGAAACCCAGACCTAATCTACTGATCTAACTAAAATATATTCAAGTGGAAACATAGAGATTTTAATATATGTTTTTGCTACATTATTTTCAACTAGAAGTAATCTTTTAAAAATGCATTTTAGTATCCCAGATGGGAAAGTAGAAATGGAAAATAGGAAAGATATTTCACTTGGTTTTGGAAGGAAAGCACATCAATTAACAGATTTTAAATTATTGGCCTGCTTTCACAAATTAATGTATTTTGAGGCAGTGTGTATATGCAGAAAAGAAGTTTCATAGTATCTGTTACTATTCCTTTAAGAACTGTAACTTCAGTAAGAAAGTAATGAGTTGAAAGAATTAGAAAGACATCAGGAGCTTTCTAACAATTAGAAGAATCTGTTAATTAGCACAGAATATGAATCTTAAGCTGCCTTGCTCATCAAATCATTTATTTTAATGAAGCAATGTTGATCAGAAACCTTACTAACACAAAAAATAATTATAAAAAAAAATTAAATAAGCAAAAGGCTTCAACAGAAATATGGCCCAGGACTACAAGACGTAGATTCACTTAAAATTGAGATGATGATGTTATATTACCTTTCTTTTGATGCTTCTGCCCAAATTAATTAACTGAAATTAACTGAAATTTGATTTATCAATATAAAGGAAGAATGTATCCACCATGCCAAACAGGGTGAAAATGACCCATTAGGCTGGCCATGTTAAGAGATTAGAAAAAATAGGACTGGCTCAGTGTCCATTTAAATAACCATCATGAGAGTTCACTATTCATGATCATTGTGAAGAAATGAGAAAATTGTAACAGCAGCTATTCAGAGTTCATCAATTGATATTTCATTGAATTTTAAAATATCAAGTAGAAAAGAATTAAAGAAGTATTAGTGAGTGCAATGGAGGCTTAGAATATGTGATGGAGAACAGTATGTCTGGCATGTGAGTGCTTTCATAGAATTTATCAGCATATAGACTTAACTGGTTTTATTACCTTGTGAGAATTGACTTTATGTGCCCAGCCTAGTTTTCCTAGTATCTCTCTAAAACTCAAGTTAGCCCTCTATTTTCAGTCCCTCCTTTGGGCTCCCAGAGTGTATATTTATTTTTTGGTGAGTTTTTTCTCTCTGAAGTGTACTACAAAATCCTGGCTTTATACTTTGATTATAAGCAGAATTACTGTGTGTCAGGTCTTATTACCTTCTAACCTAAGAAGAATGCTATGATATGAATGACATGAATCTGAGTTTCACACACGAGAGAGACACAGAGAGAGAGAAGAGAAAGAGAGAGAAATAGGAATTTAGAAGTCCACAAAAATGTTTTAATTTATTTTAACCTCAAAATAAAATTATTTTTAGTTTGAGAAAACACTTTACTACATAATGTTACTATATTTATCTTTATATTGATATTGTCATAGTATATACTTTTTAGTTATTTGTTATTTTTTAAAAGAAAAAGAGGCCCACAAACATCATATTATGGCCTTGAAAGCGATAAAGAGAGAAACAAAGAGAAAATTTACTTCCACCATTGAAGAAAATAACTTTCAGGCTTAGGTCTGAGACCTCATGTATTATGACACCAGGTAAAAATATTGAACCTCCCCTAAACCCAGGAGGTCAGGGATGTTTCTGCTTTTTCTTATTTTCACTATTGCATAAGTTAAATTGGCGGTTCTAGACTACTACTAATGAAGTTCAGGTATTAAAACCAGATGTAAAGACCTAAGTTCAAATACTATTGATAAATAATAACTTATTTATTGAGCATTTACTATATTAAGCTTCTGATAAATTGTCTTGTCACAATAATCCTATGAGATGATTATGATTATTAACAACCATTATTATTACAAATAACAATAACTTAATTATTAATTAAGTCTAAAGACTTCACTTCCCTTAGCTGAAAAGTCATTAATAATAATCATCATCTCATAGATAAATAATAATCTTCACATAGATAAAGGGATCTGTACACCCTTAGCCATATTAGGCCTCAAATTATTTTCGAGATTAAAGGGAATTATAAATTTATTTCATTATTCACCTTTTTGTTGAGATCCTGAAGTGCACATTATTTCAAAATTTTAACTTATTTAACCTATAAATATTTACTTCTATAAATATTTATTTCTCTAAAGAGTTATGAAGTTGAATCCTAAAAAAAGAAGGATTAAGAGCAGTTTAACTTCAAACTGCTAATGTCATATATTGAATTGATGGAAAAGCCGCTGCCTGAGGAAGTATAAATTGGTATAACACCTTTGAATACCACAGTTTGGTAGCACCTGGTAAAGTTGAACATATGTGCACACCAGGGCCCAACAATCCCATTCCAAGGTACACACCCAAAGAAAGGAGTATGCGTGTGCCGCTAAATATTCAAGAATATTAAACTGGAAGGATCACATATATCCATCACAACATTAAGTATATATACATTATACTATATTCATATGATGGAATGCTCTGTTGCAATGAAAATGAACTAACTACCTTCATGCACAAAACCATGGCTGAGTTTTACAACTGTACTCTTGAAAGAAAACTGATACAAAAGAATGCATGTGACTGTATAATTGCATTTTTATAAAGTTCAAAAACAGACAAAATTCAGTTATAGCTCTAGAAGTTGAGACAGTGGTTTCCCTGGGTGAGGGTTGAAGAGATTTTGATTGAAATGGATCACCAGAATGGCTTGTAGATTCCAGTAATGATCTCTTTTTTTGACCTAGGGGCTATTTCACTACTGTGTTCACTATTTGATAATTTATTGAATTTAGGATTTATGAACTTTTATTATGCATATCATATTTCAGTATACAAATATTTTTAAATGAAGGTAAAAATTCATGCTGTTAAAATTCTACATTGTGTTAAACTGCATGCAAATAGAATATAATAGAGGAATAGATAGAACTTTTCTTATGAGACTTGCTAACTTGTGGAGGAAATTATCAAAAAAGAAAGAAGTCTGCATTAGCCTGACATGCTTTTGTAGGACTAACTCAGACAGAATATAAGGGCAGACTTCTGCGATGATAAATGGAGATATAAGGAATTGATTTAATTGAGATGAGGATAAAACCAATACAGTAGATTTACACATTCCCTAAATTGTAAAATCTATGTATTTTCCCTCTTTAAAGACTTAGTTATCTATCCTGAAGTTGTGTTCTGATTTAATTGTAGAATATTGCAAGGTAGAAACTTACTAAATCAATGATTTCTGACCTGTTTTTATAAATTATTGTGTTAAGGCTACCATATATGAGAGGGAGAAAAACAGCGATTATAAAAATAATTTTAGAAGTTAAAAAGCAAAGGGTGGCTTCGAGCTATAAAAATAATATTTGACAAATATTTATAGCTTGGTAACTCTAAATAGTTTAATGTCTTTTGTATTCTCTCTGACACATTTTGGTCTAAAATAGATTAAATAAATGATAAAATCCATGCTGGGCTCTGCTTTAGTCTGCATGCTGCTGAGCAATCATCAAAGTTAACCAGTAATTTAAGAAATAGATCTATTATTATCTCCCAATGATTAGGTCAGATCAGTCAGGTTGGAATCCTCATTAGTGATGACAAGGGTCTCTGTGCCACTGCCCCTTAACTAACTCACGCACAGCAATGCTGTGGATATTTAATCAACTTATGAGCTATACCTTTGTGGTAAGTCTCCTTCCTCTCCAGAATGAGCAAACTGCTATGCTCAGCATGACCCCTTTACAAAGCCCCCTGCCTGGCAGCCATATCTATCTTTGAAATAGAGGACAGACTTCTCTTCAGATAGCATTTCATCATCACCTGGCCTAAAGGATTCACATAAAACTATGGAGAAATTAAAATATTGAAGTATGAGTAGCCTATAATTTAGGATATACAGTATTACCTTTTGGCTCCTAGATGACCTGCCTCTTCTGAGAAACCCATGTATACAAGAGTCACGATCATCCTGCCAAGTGCTTGTCATGTTTGTGAAAAACTAGACAAGGAAAGCCAAACTTTAAGTGCGTAGCCTATCCACCTACCAGCTCTTAGCTGAGGTCTTCATTCTCATTGTGAAATCTATTTCCATATCCCACAGAAACCCATTATCTCATCATTATTTATCATATCAAACACCTCCTTTTAATTTTAACTTCAATAGGTTTCTTTTTTTTCTGGTGGGGGTTACCCTCCCCTTCCACTTTCTTTCCATCTATTTTTATAAATATATTTACAACCTTTGGGAGAAAAGAAAATTGTTTACACGTATAATTGCACCTAGAAAAAATCAGACTACTAATTCATGTAAACTGTTTGATCCAGAACATTGTTAGAAATTTAATTACTTGTCATAAAGTAAAAATACTTTTTCAGTTCTGGGTCCATTAAAGAAGTAAGGTCTGCTAGCAAGAAAGACACGAAAAACTAAACCTTTGATGGCAGTAGAATTTTGATTGGTAGACACTCAAAGGAAGAAAATGTGTAACGACCAATATAAATTCCACAGTGGCTGTTGTCTTTGTGAATTTTTAAATAGAGAATCAGTGGTTAATTTGCATGGAGACGGAAGATTGTGCTTCATTTTCTTTAAGATTACGTCCAAATTCTTTATCCTGAAATCCATGATTTAAGAAAACATCACGTACTTCCTTATGTGATGCCAAAAAAAAGATACACACAAAATGGATCATAGGCCTAAACATACAAGAGCTAAAACTATAAAACTCTTTTAAGAAAACACAGGAGTAAATCTTAGTGATCTTAGGTCTGGTAAAACCTTCTTAAGCATGAGACCAAACACACAAGCACACACACACACACACAAACAAAATTAGCTAAGCTTCATTAAAATTTAAAACCTTAGTGCTTAAAAAATGACATCAAGAAAGTGAAAATAAAATACACAGAATCAAGAAAATGTATACAAAAATCATATATGTGAAAGTGAATTTATTTAAAGAATATATAAAGAACTAACAATAATGAAAAAACAAATTTTCATAAATGGACAGAAGGTTTGAATAGACATTTCTTCAAAGAAGATACACAAATAGGCACCTGAAAAGATGTTCAACATAATTAGCCATTAGAGAAATACAGTGAGATACTAATTCATACTAACAAGACTGGCTACAACCAAAAAGAAAGATAATAACAAGTGGTTGAGAGGATGTGGAGAAATTGGAACCTTTATATAAGACATGTGGGAAAGTAAAGTGTTGCAGCTGCTTTAACTAATTATTTGACAGTTCCTCAAAATGTTGAACATAGATTTACCAAATGACCCAGAAATCTCATTGCTGAGTAAATATCCAAGAGAAATGTAAATATATGTCTATGCATAAAAAGTTGAAGGCAGTCACTGCAGCAAAAAGTGGAAATAACCCCAATATCATCCACTAATGAATGATAAATAAAATGTAAACTGTCCATACAATAGAATATTATTTAGTTTAAAGAAATAAATGAAGTAATGATATGTGCTAAAACACAAATGATTCTTGAAAATATTATGCTGCATGAAAAAAGAGAGTCACGCAAGACCACACATTATTCAATTTATATTAAATGTGAAAAATAGGTTAACCTATAAAGACAGAAAGTAGAGTAGTGGTTGACTGGGGCTGGTGGAGGGAGAAGAGTGAGTAGGAATGTGGAGTGACTTGCTAAGAGGTACAAGGCTTCTTTTGAGCATGACAAGAAGGTTCTTAAATTCACTATGACGATGGTTTTGCAACTCTGTGAATATACTGAAAACCATTAAAGTATGCACTTTAAATGGGTGAATTGTATCATATGGAAATTATATCTCAAAAAAAGCTGTTAAAAAGTAAAAAACAGTCCAGTTGGGAAGGCCTATAAGGAAACCATAGTACAAAGGTTGTCATAGACATATCTACAAGGTGTCCTAGAAGTGCAGCAGAGAAAAATCTAACATTTTTATGCCACTTAATTCTTATTGACTGCCTTGGGTCATTATGTGTGTGCCTATTAGTGCATATATGTGTGTATGTGTGTATAACAGAGAGTCCTGCCTAGACTTAAATATGTCTGGCCCATGGAGTATTGCAACACTTCAATCACCCAGAAGGAACCTGCTTCTAGTCATGCTTTTGCATATGCTGTAAGCAGTGATGTGCTGGAGCCAGCAGATACCAGTTCAAGAGAGCTGAATATAGGCATCAGTTCCCAATTCTAGGTACACACTGGTTCCCTGTAACTAGCCCTGCTGGGAGTATTTACCCCATAGAAATCAGCTAATGCTACAAATCAAGGCCTTCCTCGCCACCCAAATTGTGGTTGTTAAACATTTGGAAGCATACCACTGGGCCGCCCTTTGAAAGGGAACTCACAGTATTGAAGCAGAATATTTCCCTGACCCCTTCATGGGCAGAAACTGGGGTTCATGGGTGCTGGAACTAGTTGGACACTTCGGCACCAGCAGGGGCAAACTCCACTCACTGCTCCAACCCTTATGGGAGGGGGAGCACAGGTGAGCAGGTGAAGGGGCTGGGGCAAATGCTTTTGGGTACTCACAAGAGCAAATTCAGTACCGGCCCCATGGCAGTGTATGGGGCAGGTGCCTGTGATCCCTGAAGCCCCAGAGGAAGTGTTACACTGCCCTTTTAGCTTTACCATCCACAGACAGCTTAAGTGTTAACAGCTCAGTGGAGGGTCAGTGTGACAGCCTTTTGCACCCACACTCATGGCACCTGAGTTCTTGTCCAGCATCCAGGAGGAATGAGGTCACACGAGCAAATTGAAGATGGTAAATGCAGGGGATTTTATTGCTGATGAAAGTGGCTCTCAGCAGGAAGGGGAGCAGAAAAGGGGATGCAGCAGGAAGGTAACCTTCCTCTGAAGTCCAGCCATCCCCAACCGGACTCTTCTTGAAAGCTATGCTGTCAAGCTGTCTCTCTGAAGTCAAGCCACTTCTCTCCAACATCCAACTGTAGTCTCTGCCAACCAGCTGCTTCTCCGCTCTCTGCTGGCTGAGCCTGGGGTTTTTATGGGCACAGGATGGGAAGTGGGGCAGGCCATGAGCAGTTTTGGAAAAGGCAACATTTGAGTGGGAAAACAGGGATGTAATCTTCTCACTTTGGCCATGGTATCAAGCTTTTCATCTTGAGGGTGGTTCCGTCATCAGGAACCTGCCCTCTTCTGCTGAGAACTTCCCTGCTTCCTGTCCCTATCAGTATTATTCTTGGGATTCAGATATATTCATGAATGCCTGCAAAACTGAAAAAGTCATTTAGAAGCCAAATTGCCTGGGTGCACATTACATCTCTAAGAAAGAATTTATCATAAGGGAGTCCAGAATTTGGCAGGATGAGCCAACCTGAAACAGAAGCTGAGAATCAGGAAAAATCAAGTGTTCAGGGTAAAACTCAAAGGCACATTTAGCACCTTGGAAGGAAACAGCTTTGGAGGAAACTAAAAAGTGCCAGACACAAATTCTGGAATGATACAGTGTTCAAGTAATACTGTAAGCTACAAACAGGAGTCACTTCAGGAAGACTGCCCAGCACTCCAAGGGCAGCAGCGGCAAAGGTGAACTGCAGGGTGGGATCAGCAGCAGGGCAGCACAGCCTGCCCCTCAGTTTGAATGGAAGAGGAACTGAGCCAAGTTTCAGGGCCATGATAGTGACAAATTGTGACTTCTCAGAATAAAGTGACAAATAGAAGGACGTCATATAGAGAAGACTAGTGGTACCTACCTAAGTAGAGGACACAGCAGCAGTGTGGCCCTAGACAAACAGGAGACAGAGGAGAAACCCCTCACTTCTAAGTGAACTCTTGAGCACTCCTCTTGGAAACTCCAAGATATTTTAGGATAGGAATCTCCAGAAACAATCTAAGCAAACTGGGTGTAGGTGTGTGTCGGGTAGCTGTCACTACAGCAACTAGATCATATCTCAAACATAAAACTCATATCATATATTAGAATGGTTTACTTTCCTGTTCCTATCTCATACTACACTGTTGCCTTCTTAGGATAAAATTAATTTTATTCCATATTAACTCCCATGGCAATAACTATAAGGTACATTGTAAGTATTTGATGTTTGTCTAATAACAGAGCTAATTACTACTCTGTATAGCATTTAATATGTGCAGGCAGTGTTCAAAGAGTTTTACACACACTCATTTGAAGTTTCTGAAAGGGTACCAACATTTTTCCCGTTTTCCAGATTAAAAACAAACTGAGGCACAGAAAAAATAAGTAACTTCTCAAGGTCATATATATGCCAGATAAATAATAGAGTGATAGATGATTGATTGATCAATTGATAAGATAGATAATGATAGATTGATTTATATGTTATTCAGAAAACTTGGTTTTCTATTCAGTTTCTGCCACTTTTTAATAATGTTCTATAGGTTTTTTTCAAACTGTGAATAGAAGACTTTCGGTAGGTCATGAAATCAGTTTAGTGGATGGCAACTATAATTTTTTTGAAATAATAGAATGAATAGAATAGAATAGAATAGAATAGAATAGAATAGAATAGAATAGAATAGGAGTAGAGTAGAATAGAATAGATCAAAGTGCATTACATATAGCTAGGGTGAGTTGTTCCGTGAAACCTCTTTCTCAGTTGTGCGTAAGTATGGGAGTATGTTTGTGTATAGTGGGTCATAATGTAAAATCTATTTTCTAATGTGGTCTGCTGTAGAAATTTAAGAATCTCTGACCTAAGACATATTATGTTAATAGTCTCTGAGCCTTAGTTTCTGCAAAGGTCATATATGACTCCTATCATAGAATACCCCTTTCAATAAATGGGTATACACCTTTTTCGATTTAATGGGTATTCTAGAAGGCACTTAGCTAAATTCCAGTTCACTGGCCTTAAGCTTTCTGAACTAATATAACTGAAACCTTGGAGAAAAATGTTTTAAATTAATGAACTAAAATATGCTGTAAGTACCACCATGACCTGGGGTGCCTTTTTCCAAAGACATGTAAATAATTTGACATATTATGACAAATGCAACATGTAAGACTTTTAAAATCACTGTGAGAGAACTCTGCTCAAGAAACTGTGGCCCTGGTAATTACTGAAGACTAGAAACTACCCATCCAGTCTGCCTCAGATGCATCACTGAAGTTATGATTGAACCACAACGCTGCTAGCATTTCTACATTGAGAACGAAATGATAATAATAACAATATCAATAACACATGATTAAATCAGTTATCATATCTGAAGCTGTTTCTTGGTCATAGAAGAAGGGCTGTTAGCTACCTCCACTCAAGAAAACAAAAAATCCAGAACTCCTGAGACCTTTATAAGGGAAAAAATTTAAAAAAGATAAATCACCCAAGCAGAAGGCTATAACCAGTGCAAGTAGTATGTAGCTGTTGCTTAATATTGCTTTGAAGAAAAAGATGTAGAGGAATTATGTGATGGGTATTTTCACCACCTGTTTTCCAAAAATGTTGTACTCCTAGCTTATTGTAAAAGAAAAAGAATTAGATATAGCTCAAAAACCATAAATTAGTTCTTATTTTTGCATGTTTCTTAAACAAGTATATACATCTAGATGTTTTATAGATTGTAAACCTTGTGCTAATATTATTTATTTTATTACCTAACTAATGAGAAGATAAAAAATTAGTATTATCCCTTTTTTACATTTGCTTCAGCAGCCAGCAATTCTCAAAAATTCAAATAGACTCCTGATACAGTGAATGCAGTCGAGTAAAAAGTGTTGAATCCTCAAAAGCAAGAATCCATATGTTAATTGCATACCTTAGCTAAAAATTTTGTACAATTTATCTCATTTAAGCCTCATCAAAAGTCTATAAATATAGTAAATATTATCCTGATTTTAGGAAAAGAATGAAATGTTATTAGGCTAGTAAATTGCTAAGTCAAGATTCACACTGATGTTTTTATGTTTCCAATGCCCATACTCCCTCCATTACATATAGAACATTTAAATCATCAAACTACAGGGGGAAGATAAGGATATATACCATCACTCCACAAAGCATAGCCTAGGGATATTTTGCTCTGTTTTCAGAAGTAACATATTATCACAGTGAGAGGGACTGATCCATAAATAGGAGACATTTAGGCACTAGAGTGACATTTCTTTCATTATTTCATTTCATGTCATTTGCCACATGTTTGTCTCTAATCCCGTGCATGTTCCTCTACCTATGTAATATTCAGTGTGAAATTCTATGTCAGTATATTTAAACTTCCAAAAGTCAGTAGGTTCAGAGTTGTGATTCCCATAGCAACCATAATTCCACCCCTTTGTTTTTATATAGCATTTGTATAACTGGGGAAGTTGTTAAGTTTTATATCTTAATATAAATATGCAGTCATGTTGAGTGTCTTTTTATAGTTGCTGTGGGAACCACAATTTAGAATTTTCTGATTTTCTTTGCATTTAAATTCCCAATCAGATTATTGCAATCATTGGCATTCCTCTAATTTTATTGAAGAAGTGGAAATGGGGAAAAGGAATAGTAATTTTATTATAAATTCTCATAGTTTTTATTTTAAGATACTACATAACTGCCAAGAGGAAAAAAACTCTTTAAAAAATGGAAGGAAAGAACACGGCATATTTTAAAATAAAATGGCAAAAGGAAGGAATACTATGGTAAATAAATGTAAAGTATTTTAAAATATGTGCAATTCCCAAATATTTGGAAATGTTATGTTTTCTTATGGTCACAGAGCAGTAAGGATTAAAATAACAGAGACCTATGAAGTTCTTAGATCTCTTGGTAGGCATTTGTGTGCATGTTACGAGTGAGGAGCAATGTGAGTGTGTGTGGTAGTGAAGTGCGTTTGTATAATTTCTCTTTCCACTCAAAATGTATAGTAGAATTAACCTCAATAGACACAATATTTGCATGTGATTCAATATTTTTATGAGTCTTATGGGGCTATGATGTGAATGTGTGCTTAAAGCCCAGGAACCTTTTGTTTAATAAGAGCTTACTAAAGTCCAATATAAAAGTATAGGTGCTATGATTGAAGAAAGGAGTCTGACGTCAGGATGAATATGCAGACAAATGCAGTAACCAAACTTAACTCATAACACTCCCCTCCCCTACAGCAGCCCCAGTGGGTTTTCGCAATATTTCTGAAACTCCAGGAGCCAAGCTGAAATTTAAATATCATTAGTGTAGACACATCCCCACAATAGAAAAGAAGCCATACTACGTGACATGGAAGTGTATTTCTTTCAAGTTTTGTAGATAGCATCTCTGAAGCCACGTAGATTGTAGTGTTTATGATGATGAACAGGGTTTTATTTCTCCACAAGACAAAGAAGGGGGATGGGGTGCTTTGGGTGCGATATTGTTTGCCTCACAGTTGATAAAAATGATCTTGTGAATTACAAAATCGTATTCTTTCACTGTGAAATAGTTTTTATAAATATTTCCTACCGAACTGAACTGACAAAAATGTTGTGGCTTTGGTGAAGTTAGAGAGACAAAACATATAGTGCTTTCTGGCAGGAAAAGAATAAGCCCCTAGCTTATTAAGATCCAGGTAGGACAAGGTTTGTCCCTCAGGTTTACAGGTCCCCCAACTGAATATTTTCTGGCAACTCCGAGCTGAGCAGACTCAGTGTGGCTGATTTACCCAGTTTAATTCATAGGAGATTGGGATATAAATCCTAATGACAATTTCCTAATTTTGTGTTAAAGTATGATTGCCAAGCTGTCTATACTACTGTGTTTCCTCATTAATATATTCTCCCCATGTAAGTAAATCTTCCTGAGGAGGGTCTTTTTAATCAGGTGGCTGCTTGCAAAGCCTGGAATCAGCGTGGAAGAATCCGAATGGCAAGTGCCGTCTCCGTTGGAATTATTTATTGCCAAGGAGCAAATTAGAGCAGATGTTGGTGGGCAATAAAACCTCCATTCCAGGACTAGCCAGTGTGGGTCATATCCCTTCTCTTAAAATCCATCACTGCCCCAGAACCAACATAGCCCCCCTTCAGGCCTTGTGCTTAACTTGAGGAGCAAGACTTTGTCCAGGCCATGAAGGGTATTAAAGATATTTAATATCAGCCGGGTGCAGTGGCTCATGCCTGTAATCCCAGCACTTTGGGAGGCCGAGGCGGGTGGATCACGAGGTCAGGAGATCGAGACCATCCTGGCTAACGTGGTGAATCCCCATCTCTACTAAAAATACAAAAAATTAGCCAGGCGCGGTGGCAGGCGCCTGTAGTCCCAGCTACTCGGGAGGCTGAGGCAGGAGAATGGTGTGAACCCAGGAGGCAGAGCTTGTAGTGAGCCGAGATTGTGCCACTGCACTCCAGCCTGGGCAACAGAGTGAGACTCTCTCTCAAAAAAAAAAAAAAAAAAAAGATATTTAATATCCTTCACAGGTATAGCCCATCACAGGTATGGCCAATGTCAGCTTAGGAAGAGTTTGACTTCAGTCACACAGCCTAGCTCATCCTAAGGCCAGCCTGGGCACCGATATGGACACTGACACATTACTTCAGACAAAACTAACTTGTTTAAGAAATAGTAAACCCTCCAGTAAAACAGACGAAAGAACACTGATTGCCCAAATTTGTCATCAGTCTTGTCGTACCAGCAACTCTGGGTACATGGGGAGGTGGAATTTAGTATCAACTTCCTAAATACTAACCAAATCTAGACACACTGACCATTTTAGAAATATCAACCATCCCTCACAGACACATACAGACATTGCAGGCACATTAACAAACACTTAACACTCTAGAATCCACATTAAGAGAATTATACCAGAAATTTTCTATGTCATCACGGGTCATATTTTACCTTCTTTCTTATAAAATTCATAAATGTTCTCCATAATTCAGCTAAACATAAAATTCTCGAATGTTCATTCAACCAATGAGCATGAAAGCTTTAAAAGAACAAGTAAAAATTAAGCCTGTTTTGTGAAAGTTGACACTGAACATGACATGTATGTAGTCATTATTCATAATAATTATATGCTACTTTTTAAATGTATTTTTATATAGGTACAAATACAAACATATGATTTTACAAAAATGTGCTTGGTGTATACTTTCTTTAATGCTGTCTTTATTTCCTTTTTGTGCTTAGCTTCCCAAAGTTAAAAATACACTACGTTTATTGCCTGTATTATATTTTTACCTCTACTATAGTTCATGGTTCCATATCAGACTAACAGGGATTCTCCTGCCATATCAACTCCCATTGACAGTCCTGAAAGTGAAATTGAGTAACAAATTGGATAAATCAAGAAAATTTGCTACTCTTCGAGAATCTGCAGCAAAATGAATTGTCCTCCACAGATAGGATGAGCACTTTAACTCTTCTCTAACAATCTATGATCGAAGTTACAGTCGCAGCACAGTATCTGGGCACTACTGGGCCTTGGAACAAGATTATCTGGTGGATTCAGACAAAATTAGACCATCCTTCTGCTTCCCTTTATAATGGTCAATAGCCTATTTGGATAAAAACCGCCATGGTGGAGTTTCAACATTTCAAGAGAAAAATAATAAACACTATTTTTTAATTTTTTTCATACTGCAATCCCAGGGACACAGAGGAGAAATACACAAAGGAGGAGAACATTCATTGAATTGATCCTTGGTTTTTGACATGGTTACAATTACTATTTCCAAAAGATGGGAATATTTTGCTTGCACGTAGAGAAGTCAGCTACAGGGAATGGTGGCCATGCAGAAGACTCTGCCATAGAAGGATAATTTTATATCACTTTATGAGAATTATTGCTCTGAGTCAGGAGACTTTATTGCCATCAAAGCATAGCCTGTCAGGGATGGTGCCATTAGTCATTGAAGTGTGGTTTATCCCAGGGCAGTCTGGTTTATAATGTAAACACCTCTATCTTCATATTTCATATTTCATCTGGGGGCACAATTTAAACTGATTGATGGACACAGGAAAAATACTTTAATTCTGAGAAAGCTTAATAAAAAATCAAGGTAAAATCCCCCATCAATAAAACATCTACTGAAATGACAAGATAGACTTTGTCAGACACTTGCTATTTCTCACTTAACCTATATTTTCCTGTCATTCTTGCACTTGTACTTTTTATTTATTCTTTACATTTAAATCCCAGTTGAGAAACAAAATTGAAGTAGAATATTTCGCATATGTAAAGGAATGCTGTCAAATGTATTGGAATTCAGATAAACTATAGGTTATCAGTAAACTCTTGAGGGTGGTAGGAGACATTTCAAAATTTAAAAAAATTACAGCCTTTGCCATACACAGCTTTCTCTAGTCTAATTTTCTGATTTTCTTTACTGTGTTTTCTCTATGGAAATTTTCCTTCTTCCATTGAGATCTCCAGTGTCTACTCAGTCAGGACCGTGTTATCTTGATTTCCAACAATTTCCCTGTTGCCCACTCTTGCCCAAAAGAGAAAGGAGGGGGACAGAGAGACAGAGACAGAGAAAGTCATTAAAGATAGAACCATCTAAATTCATCAGTTTCACCTTGGACATCTTCTAGAGACTGTTTTGTGCTCTGACTCCGTCTATTTGAAATTTTTGACTTAGGGACTCAGCTGTAACTCTGGCAGGAAATACCATCATGGGACGATTTCCTGACTTTTTCTATTATCTATAAGTATGATCCTCTCTGTTACTTTAGGTAATTGGCAGTTGACGATATGACACTATTCCTACCTTCATTGCCTAACCAGCTTGTTTGCAAGAATGTAGTCCTTTAACATGTGTTATGTCAACAAGAATCCACCCTACTCTACCCCCAGTCTTCAGCATGACTAAAAAATTTATCAACTGAATATGAAATGAATAGCTTCATTCATTCACTCATTTATTATTAATGAAGTGAATTATCAATTCACTTCATTATATAAAGAAATATTTACAGGGGTTATCTTACCAAAACCTTTGCTTTTGGGGCATTATAGTTTATGAGTAAGATTAACAAACCTACATGCTTGATAAATGTATATAGGGAGTAAGGAGATTAGAAAATATTTTCCTTGGGCCTGGCACAGTGGCTCACACCTGTAATCCCAGCACTTTGGGAGACTGAGGTGGGCGAATCACCTGAGATCAGAAGGTCAAGATCAGCCTGGCCAACACGCGAAACCCCGTCTCTACTAAAAATACAAAAATTAGATAGCCTAGTATGGTGGAGTGCACCTGTAATCTCAGCCACTCAGGAGGCTGAGGCATGAGAATCACTTGAACCATGGAGGCAGAGGTTGCAGTGAGCCAAGACTGTGCCACTGCACTCCAGCCTGGGGGATAGAGTAAGACTCTGTCAAAAAAAAAAAGGGGAAAAAGAAAAAGAAAAAGAAAATATATTCCTCTGCGCCATTATTCTTACTTTTATCCATCTTCCCAATAGGAAGAAATTATCAATGAAGTGGAAAATTGAGAACATTCATTAAACTATTCATTCAGGTCCTTCTTTGCTACCTCTTCCTGCTGCTGATGGTGAAGACAGTAATTTCATTAAACATCCATTTCTATGTAACAAATTATCCCCAAATTTAGCAGTTTAATACACAAATATTTATTATCTCTGATAGTTTCTGAGAGTCAGAAATCTGGGAGCAACTGAGAAAATTGTTATGTTCAGAGTTTCTTATGAGGTTGCCATCAAGATGTAGGCCAGATCTTTAGTCATATGAAGGCTTCACTTAGCTGGGGATCCTGTCTTTGTCCATTTTGTGCTGCTATAACAGAATACCAATGCCTGGATAATTTATAAAAAAACAGAGATTTATTTCTCACAGTTCTGGAAGTGGGGAAGTTCAATATCAAAGTGCCAGCCTCTGGGCGATGGTCTTCTGGCCATGTCATTTCATGGCAGAAAGTGAAAAGACAATAGAATGTTCATGCCCAAGAGAGAGAAGGGGGCTGAATTCCTACTTTATAAGATACCCATTCCTGAGATAACTAACCCACTTGTGCAATAATGCCATTAATCTATGCATGAGAGCAGAGCCCTTGTGACCTCATCACCTCTCAAAGTTTTCACCTCTCAACACTGTTGCATTGGAGATTAAGTTTTCAACAAATGAACTTTGGGGGACACATTGAAAACACAGCAGATTCACTTCTCAGCTTGCTTATATGACTGTTGTCAGGAGGCTACTGTTGCTCACCGTGTGGGCCTCTCTATAGGCCCACTCAACATGACAGCTGGATTCCCAAGAGTGAGTGACCCAAGACAGGGAGTGTGATCAAGATGGAAGCTGCAGTGTCTTTTATAACTTACTCTTGAAAGTATCTTCCTATCACTTCTGCTACATTTGCTGGTCGTATGAACCAATTTTGGTACAGTATAGTAGAGGACTAGACAAGGATGTTAATTCTAGAAGGCAGGGATTAACAGAGGCCCTTTTGAAGGCTGACTGCCTGACTACTACAGCTCTGCACTCTCTCTTCCACTAAAGCCCTATCTCCAGCTTGTGCTGTTTCTCACTTCAAGTTTCCATTAAACAGCTGAACCACACCAGATAAAATGCCAGGGTTTGGATGTGGATTTAGAAGAAGGAGATTAAGATTGAAGGCTAATCTATATTCTTTAAACCAGCTTTAACAATGCTAGGACCTCTGATTCTCATTTTTGTGCACAACTACTTTGATGGGAGGTGATGTATAGTACAGAATTGGGCAATTATAGATCCTTTATTTAAAACTCATCATAAACCATCAAAACTCTTGCCTTTCATGATAGATAAATAGATAGATAGATAGATAGATAGATAGATAGACAGATAGATAGATTTGTGACCAATATTCATTGATTCAACAGTTATTTATTGGGCACCTATTATGTTCCAGCATTTTTCTAAATGCCTGTGATAAACCAGTTTATTACACAAAAATTCCTACCTTCATTGTGCTTATCGTGGTGGGAGACAGAAACCACAGTTAAGTAGGTAAATCATACATTATGTTAGAAGATGATAAGTACTATGAGAAAATAGTCCAGTGTAAGGGGAATTGTGAGTGTTGGAGAAGAGGAATTGTGACTTTTAACCAAAGAGGTAAGAAATAGGCCAGGTTTAACAGGTCATATTTGAGCAAAAACCTAAAAGTAGCATGAAAGAAAGCCATGCATGTATCTGGAGGAAGAATTTTCAGCAAAGGAATGAGCCAAGCCAAAGGGCCTAAATAAGAACATTGTATGCACTTGACTGGAGATGAGTAAGAAGTTGAAACAGAGAGTATTAGCAGATGAGATCTGGGAGGTTATGGAAGAAGGGATTTTGAGGAGCTTGTAGGCCATTTAAAATGTTGGCTTTTCATCTGAGTGAAATGGGGAGACACTGGAGAGTTTGTGCTGAGCAGAGGACAGTAGACAAAAATTAACCCAATAAAGAAACGAGGATACACACCAACTACAAGTAAGCATAGGAACATGTTTTCATGGTGTTGATGTCCATTGGTGCTTCCATGTCCTACTGAATAACATCTAAGCACAATCAATACTGTTACTCCCTCAATTCCACCTTCAACATTTCACCCTTTAAAATTCAGCTCAGGCATCACCAACCGGCTCTCTGGGGAAAGGAAGCCCTGAATGATAGCATATTCAATTTCTGTGACATAAATACTTCCCTCGTGGCTGATTTCAAAGATAGTTGTGATTATCCCTTGGCTCCAAAAATGTTAAAAATTAGCCCTGAGAGCCTGTATCAGACAATTCCAGCATGCCATTGTTTGTATTCCACAGAGTCAACACCAAACACACTGACTTTTACAGTAGGCATTACTCAAATGTTTACCACATGAATAATAATAATTATCAGTTTATGAGTACTTATGTGCCAGGCACACACTTCCTCCATCATCAATCATCTCCTCAAAAACGTTATAAGTACATGAAGAAGACACCATAATTTTTTTCTGTATTGTAGAAGAATGTAGTCATGCTCATGGAGATGAAATAACTTGTCCACATTCACCAACTAATAAGTGACAGTCACGATTTGAACCCCAAACAGTCTATGCTCTTTCTATTATGCTGAGTGAGTGATTGTTGCCTGGATTTCAAAATATCAAGTGTTCACTTTTTACCCATTATATAAATGTTCATCACTGTGTAATTGTGTCCAGAATTTATTCCTTCTGGTAGGTTCTTGGTCTAGCTGACTTCAAAAACGAAGCCGCGGACATTTGCGGTGAGCGTTACAGCTCTTAAAGATGGTGTGTCCGGAGTTTGTTCCTTCAGATGTTCAGATGTGTCCAGAGTTTCTTCCTTCCGGTGGGTTCATGGTCTCACTGACTTCAGGAGTGAAGCCACAGACCTTCACGGCGAGTGTTACAGCTCTTAAAGGTAGTGCAGACCCAACGAGTGAGCAGCAGCAAGATTTATTGTGAAGAGCAAAAGAACAAAGCTTCCACAGCATGGAAGGCAACCTGAGCGGGGTTGTCGCTGCTGGCTGGGGTGGGCAGCTTTTATTCCCTTATTTGTCCCCACCCATGTCCTGCTGATTGGTCCATTTTATAGAGTGCTGATTGTTCCATTTTACAGAGTGCTGATTGGTGTGTTTACAATCCTTTAGCTAGACAAGAGCACTGATCAGTGCTTTTACAATCCTTTAGCTAGACACAGAGTGCTGATTGGTGTGTTTTTACAGAGTGCTGATTGGTGCGTTCACAATCCTCTAGCTAGACACAGAGCGCTGATTGGTGCATTTTTACAGAGTGCTGATTGGTGCATTTACAATCCTTTAGCTAGACACAGAGTGCTGATTGGTGCATTTTTAGAATGCTGATTGGTGCATTTATAATCCTTTAGCTAGACACAGAGTGCTGATTGGTGCATTTTTAGAATGCTGATTGGTGCATTTACAATCCTTTAGCTAGACACAGAGTGCTGATTGGTGCATTTACAATCCTCTAGCTAGACACAGAAAAGTTCTCCAGGTCCCCACTCGACCCAGGAAGTCCAGCTGGCTTCACCTCTCATAATGATTTACTGAAGAAATGTAGCACTGTTATCATTCAGCTGGTTTCCACTAGATAACATTGGATCACTTTGTACTATCCTATAGATACAAGCTGAGATTCTATTCTTTTTCACAATTTTATTTTCTGTGAGAATAGCCAACACCCCCAGCTTGCCATTTCCTAAAGAATGACAGCTGAGCCAAATCAATACCACTACTTCCCCAATTTCACTCATTCACATTGCATCCATTAAAATTCAGGTCAAACACCTCCTATTCTGAGAAATTGTTCTCCCTCTACAGCCCTCCTTACATAGAGACATAGAAGAATTAGTAAGCTCTCAATAAATATTATTACCCCATCTTTAAAGAGATTGGCAAAAATAAAACACGTTTACTTGTTTGGATCATAATTTGCATTAATGTCCAGGACAATTGTTAATTATTTTGTTTAACAAGAGATTATCACGAAATAGGTGCCCAAAAGTCATGCTTCCAAACATTCAGTGAATAGAATACATCCAGCATCACATTTAAACTCATAGTTATGTGGCATGTCTTCATGTTGTTTCTCTTTTCACCATCAGAATAAGAACATTTTTAGAAGAAAGGACTGTGTTGTATTCATCTTTATATCCCCAGTGCCTGGTATTAGATGCACCATAATTTTTTTTGGTAGAATAAATGAATGATTAAACAAATGAATGCAAGATTTAGGGCAAACATTGTCAATTTATAGTTTGGCATTTCTATTTATTGTGGTTAATTCCAAAATGTCACAAGATATGATAGTATTTCGACTATAATATTTTAAAAAGCAGAATGAGGTAGCGGTTAAATGTTTGGGTTCTAGTCATACTGCCTGGGTTCAGATTTTCGTTTCACCCTTTACTGGTTGGGAAGTTGATTTTATCTTTTAAGGCCTCATTTTCTTTATCTGTAAAATGGAGATTTTTTATGAGTTAATTAAGCTAGCTAACACATAAAAACACATTGAAGAAACATAGAAGAAATAGTGAGCTCTCAATAACTATTAATTATCACCTCATTGTTAAATAGATTGGTAAACATAAAACAGACTTAGTTGATTACAGCATGATTTACATTAATGGCCAGGGAAGTTGTTAATTATTTTGCTTAACAAGAGATTATCATTTATAATAATAAAAAATTTGCCACTACTAATTTCCCCACAAAGGCATATTTAACACCAAAACCAACTTTACACTGTCATATCTATTTTCTCTAAGAAAGCTAATAAACGCAATTTAAGCTAATCACATATTGAGTTTGTCCTCTTAACTGTCTACCTTTTTTAGGCATAGAGGATCTGCCTCTGCCTCTGCCTCTGCCTCTGCCTCTGCCTCTCCCTCTCCCCATGGTCTCCCTCTCCCTCTCTTTCCCCCGTCTCCCTCTGATGCCCAGCCGAAGCTGGACTGTACTGCTGCCATCTCGGCTCACTGCAACCTCCCTGCCTGATTCTCCTGCCTCAGCCTGCCGAGTGCCTGCGATTGCAGGCGCCCGCCGCCACGCCGGACTGGTTTTCGTATTTTTTTGGTGGAGACGGGGTTTCGCTGTGTTGGCCGGGCTGGTCTCCAGCTCCTAACCGCGAGTGATCCGCCAGCCTCGGCCTCCCGAGGTGCCGGGATTGCAGACGGAGTCTGGTTCACTCAGTGCTCAATGGTGCCCAGGCTGGAGTGCAGTGGCGTGGTCTCAGCTCACTACAACCTCCACCTCCCAGCAGCCTGCCTTGGCCTCCCAAAGTGCCAAGAGTGCAGCCTCTGCCCGGCCGCCACCCCATCCGGGAAGTGAGGAGTGTCTCTGCCTGGCTGCCCATCGTCTGGGACGTGAGGAGCCCCTCTGCCTGGCTGCCCAGTCTGGAAAGTGAGGAGCGTCTCTGCCCGGCCACCATCCCATCTAGGAAGTGAGGAGCGTCTCTGTCCGGCCGCCCATCGTCTGAGATGTGGGGAGCGCCTCTGCCCCGCTGCCCCATCTGGGATGTGAGGAGTGCCTCTGCCCGGTCGTGACCCCATCTGGGAGGTGAGGAGCGTCTCTGCCCAGCCGCCCCGTCTGAGAAGTGAGGAGACCCTCCGCCTGGCAACCGCCCCGTCTAAGAAGTGAGGAGCCCCTCCGCCCAGCAGCCGCCCCATCTGAGAAGTGAGAAGCCCCTCCACCCGGCAGCCACCCCGTCTGGGAAGTGAGGAGCATCTCCGCCCGGCAGCCACCCTGTCCGGGAGGGAGGTGGGTGTCAGCCCCCCACCCGGCCAGCCGCCCCGTCTGGGAGGGAGCCCCCCACCCGGCCAGCCACCCCATCCGGGAGGTGAGGGGCGCCTCTGCCCAGCCGCCCCTACTGGGAAGTGAGGAGCCCCTCTGCCCGGCCAGCCACCCCATCCGGGAGGTAGGTGGGGGGGTCAGCCCCCCGCCCTGCCAGCCGCCCCGTCCGGGACGGAGGTGGGGGTATCAGCCCCCCGCCCGGCCAGCTGCCCTTTCCGGGAGGGAGGTGGGGGGTCAGCCCCCTGCCCAGCCAGCCGCCCTGTCTGGGAGGGAGGTGGGGGGTCAGCCCCCCGCCCGGCCAGCCGCCCCGTCTGGGAGGCAAGGGGCGCCTCTGCCCGGCCGCCCCTACTGGAAAGTGAGGAGCCCCTCTGCCTGGCCAGCCGCCCCGTCTGGGAGGTGTACCCAACAGCTGAGAACGGGCCATGATGACAATGGCGGTTTTGTGGAGTGGAAAGGGGGGAAAGGTGGGGAAAAGATTGAGAAATCGGATGGTTGCCGTGTCTGTGTAGAAAGAGGTAGACATGGGAGATTTTTCATTTTGTTCTGTACTAAGAAAAATTCTTCTGCCTTGGGATCCTGTTGATCTGTGACCTTACCCCCAACCCTGTGCTCTCTGAAACATGTGCTGTGTCCACTCAGGGTTAAATGGATTAAGGGCGGTGCAAGATGTGCTTTGTTAAACAGATGCTTGAAGGCAGCATGCTCGTTAAGAGTCATCACCACTCCCTAATCTCAAGTACCCAGGGACACAAACACTGTGGAAGGCCGCAGGGTCCTCTGCCTAGGAAAACCAGAGACCTTTGTTCACTTGTTTATCTGCTGACCTTCCCTCCACTATTGTCCTATGACCCTGCCAAATCCCCCTCTGCGAGAAACACCCAAGAATGATCAATAAAAAAATAAATAAATAAATAAATAAAAATTAAAAAAAAAAAAAAAAAAGAAGATCTATGAAGATTGCCATTTCTTTTCCAGCCTTGAGTTATGCCATACTACCAGTGCCTGAAAGCCATGGACTGTATATCAAAACCAGTCTGGGATGAAAAAAGGGAATGTTTTAATGCAGAAAAGTAGGCGACTTCTTATGTCCCACCATATCTGACCTCTTGATTAAATCATGGAGCTAATAGCCATTGTTTGCAAATATGATATTTTCTAAAAGCTCTTATTTCTTTACCCCTTTTATTCAGTTCCAGGTAAACTTAAACTTAAATATATATCACTCTAAAGACTTTTAAGTACATTCCATTCTCTAGCTGTATAATCATTTTCCTTATTTTCACAGATAAAAATTATTTTTAGCCAATTTGGTTTGGTTTCTACATTTTTTTTATCAGCTAGAATACAGTTTTGGCTCAGACTTTTTTTCTTTTATTGTTCTCTTATATTTTCCTGAATGAAATTTTATGTTTTCTTGTGAATCATGGCTCCAAGTTACAGCATTTATACTTTATGTTCACAATGTTTAAGATTGTATACTGTGCACAAAACTTTCTGTAAACAAATTTTGTGTAATACTTAACAAAATTGGCTAAACCATGAGGGCTGGTAATTTGTTGATGGCCCTTAAACATAATTCTGGCAATTGTCATCACAAATTCTATATTACTTTAATCTTTGTGAGGATACATTTCTATCTGAACAACTCAGATAATTAATCCAACTCTGTACACAAGAGAAAGTTTGGTTGATGTAACAAAGTTTTTACATTTATAAATATAGCTCAAACATATTTGAGGCTTACCTATTTCTCTAGATCTGCAGTTCTCAAGACCAGGTTTGATGATGATTTATTACAAAATATATCAAAAGTCAGAAACATGTGAGAAATTTAAAAAGCTCTGGGCTTTCACTTAGATATGGCCTTTTTCCTTCCTGGTTCTTCTCATGCTCCTTTTATAAAAACATCTAAATAAAACATCAGATTGCTTCCCGCCTAACCTGTAGGCCCCAAGCCGATTAATCCCATTCCTATTCTATTCCTTTTACAATATGTAGTGTCAGCTCCTTTGTTAATGGCCAGCTGAAAAGCAGTGATGAGAAGTAGAAAAGGGGAAGATTTGCTTTCATTCATCTCTGGAAAAGGAGAGTTGTTTATGCAGAAAAAAATGGTGAGCTCTGCAATTCTCCAGTTTCTTTGGAATTCTATCATTATGCCTGCCTAAAGCAAACACTATTTAATAAAATTTACCTTTATTGAGACCCATTTTTAAATGGGCAAACTTGTCCAGAGGGACACTTTCAGCACATGGCCCCAAAGAACACCTCTGTCCTCTCTACTATTCCTTTCACTGCAGCTTTGCACTGGATGTGTGCTGTCACATTAATAGAGAACATCAAATCTAATAGAGACGTGCTGGGGTTCTGCAGAGTGTGAATTATTAACTCGGATATATGGGAGAGTATTAAATGAACCTGGGAGGCAGAAGGCATTGTTTAATGCTCTGTTTGTATCTGATTCTTTTCTGTTTTCATACACCGATGGAAACCAGGTAAGAATGCTAACAAGAAATTTCAAGTAGATAAGAGAGAATTTTAAACTGTTGCCATCAGTCTCGGCTTCTGTCAGCATGTGAAGTAAACAACTTCAAATGAATTAGACAACAATGAGAGAGACAAAGGATATGGCAGACAGAGAAGTCAATTTCATTGTTATTCCTCCACAGTCATTACCAAGGCTCAATTAACTAAGTCTTAAATTCAAGTGAGACAGAGGTCCAAAGCTCCCTTTTATTTCTGTACCACTTGATAAGAAATCTGAGGGCATATTAGAGAAACCACCTGAAAAATACTGACCAATTTTTTTATCACATCACTTTTCTTCTGAAATACAGACTTCTTTATAAATATCTCATTCTTATGATAAAATAGAGACTAAACTAGAACAACACAGAAAAGAGCATTCTTACTAAGAAAATTAGGGCCAGTCTGGGTATTTTAATTGAAAATTTGCATAAACCAAGGGTTCAGGAAAGTAATTCACATATATCTTAAATATCTTAAACATTTTATCTTAAAACATAACAAAATGTACATGTGTTTGCCAGGCTTTTGATATAGAGCCAAGACTTTTTTTTTTTTCTTTTATATTATGGGTCCACCCATAATATATGGTCCATGATTTTCAGAATCCTAGATCAGCTCTTTGAAGTGGATAAAGATTCAAAGGCACTTAGCGAAGGGTAGTTCACAGTCATTATAATGAGTAAGGCAACTATTCTAATTGGTACTACTCATGCCCTGCTAGTAGTTAAATATTTTTAACAGCACCTTTGTTTGTAAAGCAATGTGAAGAAATAATTTCTTTAGATTTGTAGAATTTTTTTTCTCAAATATTCCATAAATGACTTACCTACCTTTAATTTAACTGAAGTGTTAGCAAATTAGCTTTACTGAGTCTTCAGAATAGTTAACCTATTTTTATAGAAGCAGCTCTCTCTCTCTCCACTTCCACTTAATTCATTTTTGAAATAGTTAGTTTAGTAATATGAGTACAATAATAAGTACAATCATCAGTAAAAGCTTGAGAATAAACAACTGGCTCTTGATAAATATGCAATTAAACTTTAGAAGTATATTACTGTCCTAGAAAGTACCTGTAAGATGCAAGCACTCAGTGAGTCATAGACCATAGTCAACAGATATCATAGAAGGATTGGAAAACATCAATTAGTCCAGTAGACCAGTTACCTGGAAGTTAATTAAGACAGCATACACTTTATTGCCATATTCATAATTACAAAGACAAAAGTATATGCATACCATCATATCCAGGCACATAATAAAAGTATGTGTAATATAAATCACTTACAATAGAAAAATCAAAGAATGTGCTTATCTTGCCCCCTTTACTGCATTCTTACACCCATGACCTGTTGCTGAAAAGAACTCTCCAGATACAAGGATCTGCTCTTCTTAGAAGTTGTGGGGGCTAAAAATAAATACTTTTATTTCTGCTGCAAATTACATTTTTTTCTAGCCATATACCATCTACCTGGGTATATAGTGAAAATCCACAACCTTGAAAAGTTAGGGTGTTGTATTTCTTCTATTGCTCCATAACATATTACAGAAACATTAACTGATTGCATTGCACAATTATATTATCTCACAGATTCTGTAGGTCAGATCTGGGCAAGACATGGCTGGATTATCTGCTCAGGATCTCTGCAGGTGTTATGGGTAGAATTGTGTTCTCCAAAAATATTTATTGAAATCATAACCACTTGTAACTATGAATGTGATCTTATTTGGAAATAGAGTCTTTACATGTAATCAAGTTAAGAAGAGGTCACTAGGATGCACCCTAATCCAATATGCCTGGTATCCTTATAAGAAAAAGAAAAAGCCATGTAAAGACAGGAACTCATAGGAAGAATACCACGTAATGACAGAGGCAGAGATGGGAGTGATGCAGCTGCAAGACAAGGAGTGATAAGGATTGGTATTCACCACTAGAAGCTAGAAAGAAGCAAGGCAGGATTCTGCCCAGACTCTCAGAAGGATCACGGCACTTGGGTTTTAGCCTCCTAGTCTCTGGAATTGTGAGAGAATAAATTACTGATTTTTGAAGTTTCCTAGTTTTTGGTACTTTTTAACAGCAACTCCAGGAAATTAATTCAGCAGGCTGAAATCAAGGTGTTGGTGGACCTGTGCTTCTCATGTGAAGCTCACAGTCCTCTTCCAAAATCACTGGCTGCTGGCACAATTCAGTTCCTTGAAACCACAGGGACTGAGGTCTCCATGGTCTTGCTGACTCTTGGCTGGGGATTGCTATCAGTCCATAGATGCCTCTCACAGTTCTTTGAAATATGGTCATCACAAACAGTTGACAACATAGATGTCAGCTTTCTTTTAGCCCTGCTAGATCGCTTCTCTTTGACTTTCTCTCCCTCTCAAGCAGAGTAAGCTCTGCTTTTGAAGGACTCATGTCCTTCAAAAGGTAAGGCCCAGCTGAATCAGATAGTCTCTCTGTTTTAAGAGTAACTGATTTGGACCTTAATTACAGATACAAAATGCCTTAAGAGCAATAGCTAGATTAGTACTTGAATGAATAACTGGGAGAAAATATGAGTACTTCAGGGGCTGAGAATTTGGGAGGAGGGTATCTTAGAATTCTTCCCACTACAAGTATATTTTGATTTTTTAGGATTTCTGATAGATCCTGAAAAAATCACTAGGAATTACTCAAATAACCATTTTATTTTAGTTCTCTATAACCACAGCTGACATTGTTTCTAATGTCAACATATTTAGCCCATTTAACCTAAGAACTACCCTAGTGATATGGACAGGAGGCAGGGAAATATTGGGTATAAGAGGGCAAGGCCGCTGGCGAGGGCTCCCACACACCCTGGGCCTGCAGCCCAAAGTGAGAGCTATCCCCATTTGCCCACCCAAATGTTGCCTTTTGGCCCTCCCTACCAGCTATTACGTTCGGTGCATACGGATTATAATTATACCCAAATGTAACATTGGCCTCTAAATTCTAGGTTTGGTAACTGAGTCTTTATTAATGATTGGTTTTCCTATATAATCTACTGAAATAGCATAAAATAAAATAGAACATAATAGCTGGTAATATATCAGACAGGCCTTATAGGGAGGTGGTTCTCAAAGTGTAATTCCTTGGACTGGCAGCATCAGCATTACCCGAGAAATTGTTAGAAATAAAAACAATAAGGCCCTGACTCAGACCTATTGAATCAGAAACTTTGAGGGTGAAACACACCCAGAGATACAAGTTTTAACAAATACTCCAGGTGATAGTTTGACAACCACTGCTATAGAGGACCCTATTATTGCTATAATCTCAATGCCTGCTGCTACTCACATCCCACTAGGGTCATTTTAAACAATCTCTACTGCAATCAAAATCTTTGTATGCCCATTTTATGTTACATACATTTCATTCTTTACAATCGTCTGTTTCCCTGCAGGTTTTCTTTCCTCTGGAATGTAGATATGACGTTGTTTATAAAAAGAACCTACTTAAAATACTATGGTTAAATGGTATTTTTGCAAACTTCAATAATAACAACATTTAATAATTTGAAGATCCAGAATTTCTGATCACATGAATGTCTTATTCTGTTCTCTTAAAAGAACATGTGCAAGCGAATGCTTTTCAAGAGAATAATGGAAATACTTTCCATAAGTAAATCCATGCATAAATAGCATAGGATTTCTAACGTGCTTTCACTTGTGCATTGGCACAGATTTGTTGCTATACTTCTGCAAAGATGGAGACTATTGCAATAAAATATATTCTACCAGAACCTAAAGCAGCTCATATCACCATAGTGTCTTATGGACCCATTAATTATAAGGAAAAAAAAGGGTAGAAGATAAAATGTGTATGGGACATAAATGTTTAACCACCACATAGAGTCTGAATAATTAATGGAATGATACCCTTTAGTGCAGAGCCTCATATCTTTAAAATATAGAGGAATATAAGTGCACTATTTCAATATTTAAGTCAAAGTAAGTGATGTAGCTTCTGCATATGAAATATACATCTGGGCAATGGACTGAACAAATGCTTCATAATAATAAAATGACTTTTAAATGTGAATTGGTCTCATAAGGTATGAGGATTTCCCTAACCAACACAATTTATTCAGAGTAAGATTAGTAAAGACAATTTTTGAGGCTATAACATTCATTACCTCCACATTTTATAATATTGCTAGTTCAGTGTGTCTGAAGTGGTCCAGTGTGTTTAGACTGAACTTTTATCATGTCTAAACAGCTTAACTGATAGTTACTTGATAACTATTTTATGAAGCAGTTTTTAATAATGCTTTCATATTTCTGGTTTATGATGCCATTAAAGTCATCATTTGTCACATTAGCAATAGAGAGATTCTTAAACATATCCCCAGCAGCAATTCAGGATGGCTTTTAATGTCAGCATAAATTCCTGTATTACTAAACTAGATATTTGAAATATTAACAGTGTTGTTTGCAATTTCAAAATATATATGACAACGTAAGTGTATAACACAGATCCCTTAAGTTTGGTGGAGACTGATTAGAAAACTAAAAACAATGATACTAAAATAGGTTGGCTTGACCTTGTGATATGATTTAACGGCAAAGAAAAAAAATCCCTTTAGTTGTGAAATGGATCAGTGAAGTTTCTGCTATTGAATTCTTTATTGTCCATACTCTAAGGAATTTAAAATGGAGAGAGAAGGAGAAAAATGTATCTAAGTTGTTCAGAATGCTATTTTATAATGAATCCATCTGAGTTCAAACTCATGGAAATAGTCCCCAATTCTTTTTTGGAAGTTAAAACACTGCATGGCATGCTTTTGTCCCCCCACTCACATTGCATCCCGACATGGGGAAAATTTCTAGAGGGCCATGGATGAGGCTCCAGAGCTCTAAAATTAGACTGGACCAGCTGTGCATAGTTGGTTTGCTGCCGCAGGCTTGTGTGCATATATAACACCATCCCATTTCACTGTCAGATGCTCGGGTTCTTGGAAACACAAGGAGTACTAATGTCCATGAACCCCCTGCTGGGCTGCTTTGGAAACATGCTTGACACAATGTATGGCTCTGCTCTGTGTCTGCTACATCATTAGATAAGAGGAGAAGGGTTTCTTTTTGTCCTTCATGGGTGTGTGAGGACAGCATATCTCATCTTCTAAGAAGAGTTTCTCTTCCCGGAGGGTTAGTTAGCTCTTATATTTCATAGTTAGATAATAAGAGCTACCTCAGAGGCCAATTCATGTGCTTATGACTACAAGATAGGATTGTGTTTGTAAAACGGAGACACTAATAGAAAAGTACTTTTGTTAAGAAGATGGATTACAGGGGAACTCCACTCTCCATTCCTGAACTGTGGAGTACCTTTCTACTGCTCTTGGAACTTCTCTCATTCAAGTAATAGAATAAAAAGAGCACTGCCATTGAAAACAGAAAGCTCTTGTTTCCAAATCCAGTCATGCCCCTTAGTAGTTATGTGACAAACTTGTAATCTTACAGAAGCTCATTCTCTTCATTTTTTTTACTATGAAAATATATTTTTATTTTACTTTAAATTCTGGGATACATGTGCAGAATGTGCAGGTTTGTTACAGAGGTATACATGTGCCATGGTGGTTTGCTGCACCTATCAACCCGTCATCTAGGTTTTAAGCCCTGCATGCATCAGGTATTTGTCCTAATGCTCTCCCTTCCCTTGCTCCCACCCCCTACAGGTCCTGATGTGTGATGTTCCCCTCCCTGTGTCCATGTGTTCTCATTTTCAACTCTCACTTATGAGTGAGAACATGCAATGTTTGGTTTTCTGTTCCTCTGTTAGTTTGCTGAGAATCTTCATTTTTATAATTACAGATAACGCCTGTTTTATCTACTGAAAACAGTTGTAAAAATTATTGGGAACATAAGATAACTATAAACAGGGTTATAAATTAAACCATACTTGACATTTCAAAATGTTGGTTTATTAGTACAGTTATTTTACTTTGAAATTAACTTTGTCAATTGTAGAAAATTGTTCTATATGGCACCATTATTAAAACTTTTTTAAGTGTCTTTTGTGATATGACATGAAGACAGAGTGTCACAGTCAAAAATTTTATGCCCAACTATACTGAGTTATTCCTTAGTCTGAATGTGCTGCTTTGTAATAAACTGTTGACTGTGTCACTGACTGTGGCACTGTTCACTGTAATGAACTGTTGACTGACTCCATTTTGATTTGGCAACTTTCATATTTCCCCCTTTTGATCAAGATCTTTGTTTGAAAACATCATTGATCAATCATCCTGTAGTTAGGCTTTGATTGTCTCTAGGTGCCAGGATAGATGTGTTCTAGCTTGTTCGTCTAGTCCCACATTGGAGAAAGTAATTTCAGGCACATTTGAGCAACAAGGGACGATTGAAGGTAGTACATCTCAGCCTAAGTCTACCTAGAGTCCATTTTTAAGTTTAATTTTAAGTGAATGGACTATGACATTTCTATGGAAGAAGTAATTTACCCACTGGAAATTCATCATAATTCTCAAGGGCATAAGATGTGCCCTAGCTCCAGACGTTGACTAGGTCCATGAGGAGCAGTGCATTCATGGCTAAAAGACCAAGTAACAACAGAGAGAGTGAGAGAGAGAAGGAGGGAGAGAAAGATTTATTACAAGAAATTGGCTCTCCTTATTATGGAGGCTGACAAATCACACCATCTGCATTTGGCAAGTTGGCGACCCAGGAGAGTTGATATGTAGTTCCAGTCTGAAAGCTGGTAGGCTCAAGATCCAAGAAGAGCTGATGCTTTAGTATTAGTCTTAAGGCTGGAAAAGGCTAGTGTCCTAGCTCAAAACAACCTGGCAGGAGGAATTCCCTCTCATTCACAGTAGGATAAGCCTTTTTGATCTATTCAGGCCTTCAACTGTTTGGATGAGGGCCATCCACATTAGAGAGGCAATCTGTTTTTTTCAGTCTACAGATTCAATGATAATCTCATTTAAAGCACCTTCATACACACTCCCAGAATAATGTTTGACAAAAAATATGAGTGCTCCATGGCCCAGTCAAGTTGACTCATAAAATTAACTATCACACCACCTGAACTCATAGATGATAGAAAATCCCTTGTCAAATCCAGATACTCCTTGGTGGATCTGTGCCTAATCCTCCAAGTAGAGTGGGGCCTGTCTTAATCAATGAAGGTAATTTAAGACCTAGTTAACTGATCCCAAAGCAGCAAGATTAGGAAACAAGTAGATGGATAATTTCACAGGGTTCAGGACAAAAACCTTCTGTTGGAACAAGAGTTAGGTTGAAGGATTTTGGGCTGCATCTGTCTCCATTTGTCCTGAATCTTGTAAGCTATGGCTTCTCTAACTTTGGAGCCTGTACCAATTCCCTTTCCTTTGCTAAATTCATTGACTAGAGGGTGAGAACATTAGCTGGATTCTGCCCAGTCCTCTTCTCCTGCCATGACTTACATTGCCTCACTTCCCCCTCCCCTTCAGCTTGCAAATTAATTCAACTCTGCTTCCCACTTGCTTACAAACTTCTGCTTAAACTATACTGATCTAGCTTGGGTATTTTGTCTCTCTTTCATTGCATATCCTTTAAGTTTACCTTACATTTTCTGAGGGAATCACACTCAAAATTTTTACTTTATCACATATATCTAGCAAAATATACCCTCTGTTTTATCTGGAAGGCAGGAATCTTCCTATTAGCATGAATTTTCTTTTTGATCCATGATTAAGCTGTCCATATAAGAGTATATTTGGAAGACCTGTTATATAAGTTGAACAATTCTTACTAGATATGACAATGAAAACTTTATCAAATGCCATACTAAAGGCAACAATTTAACTCAAGTTGTACTTATTTACTAATACATTAAAAGTCTAATTCTGAGATTTGAACAGCATTACTATTCTGTGAAACATATAAAGAAAATTGCTGTATACATGGTGATAGATAGATAGATAGATAGATAGATAGATAGATAGATAGATAATGTCTGTACACATGCATGTGCATATTGTTTTGTACTGAGGAAAAATAACCTGATCAACATTTTCTATCTTTATAAAAAGAAACGATAACATTCTGACTATTCATATTTCAATGTAGAGTGGAAAAACTGAATAAATAAAAACTAGTAATGTAGTATGTATCAGTTTTCCATAGCTGATGTATCATATTACAACAAAATTAGTAACTTAAAACTGTCAACCTAAATAACACAGAGAGACTCTATAAGAAATTATAATTATTTGCGAGTAGGCATTGTAATGGAAATACATGTTTCATAGTAAACTATGTGCATATTCAGAAAGGTAAAAAAAAGAAAGATTATTTTTGTTGTTGTTGTTGTTTTTTCTGAGACAGAGTCTCGCTCTGTCACCCAGGCTGTAGTGCAGTTGCATGATCTCAGCTCACTGAGAGCTCCGCCTCCCGGATTCACGCCATTCTCCTGCCTCAGCCTCCCGAGTAGCTGGGACTTCAGGTGCATGCCACGACGCCTGGCTAATTTTTTTGTATTTTTAATAGAGACGGGGTTTCACCATGTTAACCAGGATGGTCTCAATCTCCTGACCTCGTGATCCGCCCGCCTCGACCTCCCAAAGTGCTGGGATTACAGGCATGAGCCACTGTAATCCCACTTTAAAAACCGGCCAAAATAAAGGTTTTTAAAGAAAAATTGAGGAGGCTTGCATAATTGTTTTCAGATAATTATCCTTGGCTACAAGGTTCAACAACAAGGTTGGTGCCAGTTCAAGGTTGGGCAGGCAGTTATTGGACAGTTGTCCTCACAGAAGTATTTTTTATGTTTGTGTAAGGATACAACAGCCTTTGGGCAAGATCACAGTTTTTGCAGAGTCTTTTGTGATGGTTCTTGTTATCAGGCATTTGTGCATGAGAACCCCCTTCATGGCCTTCCCTAGCTCCATTCGTCAAGGTTATTAACACAAGTGACTGATTAACACAAGTGACTCCATTTTGATTCTGATAACTTTCATATGTCCCTCTTTTGATCAAGGTATTTGTTTGAAAGCATCACTGATCAATCATCCTGTAGTTAGACTTTGATTATCCCTAGGTGCCAGGATAGACCTGCCCTAGGTTGTTGGTCTCGTTACACATTGGAGAAAGTGATTTTTGCCAAATTTGAGGAAGAAGAGAACTTTGAAAAGAGTGGCTCTCTGGCTAAGTCCACCTGGAGTCCATTTTTAAGTTTCATTGTATCTGTTCTGTAGGCATTGGCTATCATCTCAAAGTGCTAGACCAGCACTACTCTGTTAGGACTTGTACTTATGTAGAAATGTTAACAAGTAACAGGTACAAAGTTCAGAAAAGGAAAATACAGAGTAAAAATAATAGTAGTATTATAACATCAGTTTTATAACAGTTTTAGCCTTGAGACTAGGCTTAAAGGCAACTGATTAAATAAATCAAATGACAATGGGGAATTAAATGACACCTGCTGTAACCATGTGGCTTGTTTTTATTTTGTATATATTGTTCTCAACTTTCTCAAAGGAATTTATCTAGATACAACATGTAGCATTAGCAATAATATAGACATTCACAGATTTAAACAATAGCAATTTTATAATCTAGTATCCCATGACTGAGTTGAATTAAAGCAGAGAATGAGCAACAGTTGTATTAGAGATGTTGCCAAATTTACCGATTAGGTGTACTAAAAGATCTCTTAGGACAAGTTTTTCAGGCTACCAACAGAATTACTGATTGTAAAATTTGAATTATGCCAATATTCTGACAAGTTAAAAAGCTAGACTAGAGTGTGAGAGCCTCATTATGATATCAAGTCTTGTTTTAAAGTCTTTGGGGAAGCTATCTGCAGCACGAAGCTGTCAATTTCTCATTCCGGTTTGCAGTTTGAATGCTTCTGGTTATAGCACCAGGAAGTTTGGTGGACGTTCTTGTGTATCCCATACAACAGGCATGACAATCATTACTTAAAATTCGTCCAGGTTCAGCCTATAAAATTCTAGAAACAAAGCAGTTTCTGTTTTTAATACTTCTATGAAAGAAAGTTGTGTTAGAGAAACCTAGTAATCCAGGATCTAGCCTAGTTTCAGATAGACAATAAAAACTCAAAAACAATGTGTAAGGCTACAATCTAATAACAACTATAGTCCAGCTTTATTTCAGAAACCGAACTTTTTTCTCCATAGTCAATCCAATTTTTACCAAAGAAAATCGGAATAATACCCATTAGTTTGTGAAATAAGTTTAGTCTTTTTTTTTATTTTTAATTTTTGTTGGTACATTGTAAAGGTATGTATCTATGGGATACGTGAAATGTTTTGATACAGGCATGTAATGCATAATAATGACATCAAGGAGAATGGGGTATCTATCTCCTCAAGTATTTAGCCATTGTGTTACAAACAATCCAATTATACTCTTGATTTTATTTTAAATGTAAAATTAAATTATTATTGACAATAGTCACTCTGTTGCGCTATCAAATAGTAAGTCTTATTCATTCTTTCTAATTTTTGTGCCCATTAACCATCTCCACTGCCCCACCAACACCCCCACTACTCTTTCCAGCCTCTGGTAACTCTCCTTCTACTCTTTATGTCAATGAGTTCAATTGTTTTAACTTTGGGATTCCACAAATAAGTGAGAACATACAATGTTTGTCTTTCTGTGTCTGGCTTATTTCACTTAATATAATGACCTCCAGTTCCACTCATGTTGTTGAAAATGACTGGATCTCATTCTGTTTTATGGCCGAATAGTACTCCATTGGGTATATGTACCACATTTTCTTTATCCATTTATCTGTTAATGGACACTTAGGTTACTACTAAATCTTGGCTATTATGAACAGTACTGCAACAAACATGGGAGTGAAGATATCTCTTTGATATTTCTTTATTTGGGTTATAATGCAACAGTAGGAGTGTTGGATTATACGGTAGATCCATTTTTAGCTTTTAAGGAAGCTCTAAACTATTCTTCATAGTGGTTGTACTAATTTACATTCCCACCAACAGTGTAGTATGGCTTCTTTTTCTCCACATCCTTATCAGCATTTGTTATTGCTTGTCTTTTGGATAAAAGCCATTTTAACTGGGGCATAATGATATTTCATTGTAGTTTTGATCTGCATTTCTCTAATGATCAATGATGTTGAACACCTTTTCATATGCCTGTTTGCCATTTGTATGTCTTCCTTTGAAAAATGTCTATTCAAATCTTTTCCCATTTTTAATAGGATTGTCAGATTTTTTTTTCTATGGAGTTGTTTGAGCTCCTTATACATTATAGTTATTAATGCCTTGTCAGATGGGTAATTTGCAAATACTTTCTCCCATTCTGTGGGTTGTTTCTTCATTTTGTTGATTGTTTCCTTTGCTGTGCAGATACTTTTAAACTTCATGTGATCCATTTGTCTATTTTTTCTTTGATTGCCTGTGCTTGTGGGGTATTGCTCATGAAACTTTTGCCCAGATCAATGTCCAGGAGAATTTCCCCCAATGTTTTCTTGAAGTAGTTTCCTAGTTTGAGGTCTTATATTTAAGTCTCTGATCCATTTTTTTTTTCATTTTTGTGTACGGCAAGAGATATGGGTCTAGTTTCATTCTTCTACATATGGATATCCAGTTTCCCCAGCTCCATTCATTGAAGAAACTGCCTGTTCCCCAGTGTATGTTCTTGGCACCATACTCAAAAATGGGTTCATTGTAGGTGAATGAGTTTGTTTCTGGGTTCTCTATTCTGTTCCATTGATCTGTGTGTCTGTTTTTATGCCAGTACCATGTTGTTTTGGTTACTAGAGCTCTATAGTACAATTTGAAGTCAGGTAATGTGAATCCTCTAGTTTTTGTGGGTTTTTTTCTAAAAATATTTGTGGCTACTGTGGGTCTTTTGTGGTCCATATAAATTTTAGAATTGTTTTTTTCTATTTCTGTGGACAACGATATTGGTATTATATTTTGATTGGGATTACATTGAATTTGTAGATTGCTTTTGGTAGTATGAACATTTTAACAATACTGATTTTCCAATCCATGAGCAAAAAGTATTTTTTATTATTTTTTGGTTTCCTTTTTAATTTCTCTCATCAGTGTTTCATAATTTTCCTTATAGAGATTTTTACTTATTTTGTTAATTCCTAGGTATTTAATTTTATTTGTGGCTACTGTTAACAGGATTACTTTTTAAATTTATTTTTCAGATTGTTCACTGACACATAGAAATGCTATTGATTTTTGTGTGTTGATTTTGTGTCCTGCAAGTTTTCTGAATTTATCAATTCTCATAGTTTTTGGTGGAGTCTTTAGGTATTTCCAAATATAAGGTCATATCATCTGCAAACAGGATGATTTGACTTCTTCCATTCCAGTTTGGAGGTATTTTATTTCTTTCTCTTGTCTGGTTGCCCTAGCTAGGACTTCCAGTACTATGCTGAATAACAGTAGTGAAAAGTGAGCATCCTTGTCATGTTTCAGATCTTAGAATCTTAGAGGAAAGGCTTTCAGCTTTTCTCCATTCAGTATGACACTAGCTGTGGGTCTGTCATATGTAGATTTTATTACATTGAATATCTTCCTTCTATACACAGTGTTCTGAGGGTTTTTACCATAAAGCGTTGTTAAATTTTATCAAATGCCTTTTCAGCATCAATTGAAATAATTATGTTTTTTATTCTTCATTCTGTGTATATGAATGTAGCACATTGACTGATTTGCATATGTTGAATTATCCTTGCATTCCAGGGATAAATACCACTTGATCATGAAGAATGATCTTTCTAATGTATTGTTGAATTTGGTTTGCTAGTACTTAGTTTAGGATTTTTGCATCAATATTCATCAGAAACATTGACCTATAGTTTTCTTTTTTTTTTTTTTTAATGTGTCTTTGTCTGGTTTTGGTACCAGGGAAACAGTGGCCATATAGAATGAGTTTGAAAGTATTACTTCCTCTTACATAATATTTTTCAGAAAAGTTTGAGTAGGACTGGTTCTTCTTTAAATGTTTAGTAGAATTCAACAGTGAAGCCATCCAGTCCTGGCCTTTTCTTTACCAGGAGATTTTTTTGTTATAGCTTTGATCTCATTACTTATTATTTGTCTCTTCAGGTTTTGGATTTCTTCCTTGGTTCAATCTTGGTAAGTTGTATGTGTCTAAGAATTCGTCCATTTCTTGTAGATTTTCTAATTTATTGGCATATACTTGCTCATAGTCGCCACTAACAATCTTTTGAATTTCTGTAGTATCAGCTGTAATGACTCTTTTTCATTTCTGATTTTATTTATTTGGATCTTCTCTCTTTTCTTCTTAGTCTGGCTAAAGTTTTGTCAATTTTATTTAACTTTTCAAAAAGCAACTTTTTATTGATTTTTGTATATTCTTTATTTCAATTTCATTTTATTTCTGCTCTAATCTTTATTATTTCTTTTTTTCTACTAATTTGCGATTGGGTTTGCTCTTGATTTTCTAGTTTTTTAAGATGCGTAGTTAGATTGTTTATTTGAAGTTTTTCCTTTTCTTGATATAGGAACTTATAGCTATAAATTTTTCTCTTGGTTCTGCTTTTGCTGTATCTCATAGGTTTTGGTTTGTTGTATTTCCATTGTCATTTGCTTCAAAAAATTTTTCAATTTTCCTCTTTATTTCTTTATTAACTCAGTGATCATTCAGGAGAATACTGTTTAATTGCCATGTGTTTTTCTAATTTCCAAAATTCCTCTTGTTATTAATTTCTAGTTTTATTCCCTGTGGTCAGAGAAGATGCTTGATATAATTTTAATTTTTTGAATGTTTTAGACTTATTTTATGACCTCATATATGATCTATCCTTGAAAATTATCCATAAGGGGCTGAGGAAAAGAATGTGTATTCTGCAGCTGTTGGATAAAATGTTCTATAAATATCTATTATATTAATTTGGTCTGTAGCACAAATTAAGTCCAATGTTTCTTTCTTGATTTTCTGTCTAGAAGATCTGTCCAATGCTGAAAATTGGGTGTTGAAGTCTCCAGTTATTTTTCTACTGGGGCCTATCTCTTTCTTTAGCTCAAATAATATTTGCATTATATATCTGGATGCTTCATTGTTGGATGCATATTTACAATTATTATATCCTCTTGCTGAATTGATCCCTTTATCATTATATAGTGACCTTTTTGTCTCTTCTTATATTTTTGTCTTGAAATCTATTTATCTGATATAAGTATAGCTACCCCTGTGCTTTTTTGGTTTTCATTGGCATGGAATATCTTTTTCCATTCATTTATTTTCAGACTATATATGTCTTTACAGATGAAGTATGTTTCTTTTAGGCAACAGATCAGCGGGTCTTATTCTTTATTCATTTAACCACTATGTCTTTTGATTGGTGAGTTTAATCCATTTATATTCACTATTATGACTAAGTAAGGACTTAACTCTTGCCATTTTATTATTTGTTTTCTGGTTGTTTTGTGGTCCTTTCTTCCTTCTTTCTTTACTCTCTTCCTTTAGTGAAGGTAATTTTCTCTGGTGAGACGATTTTTGTGGATCTGTTGTGTGTTTCTTGGTTTGAGTACCATGAGGATTGCAAATACTGTATTATAACCCATTATTTTGAGCTGATAACAACTTAACCCAATTTACATAAACAAAAAAGCAAAAAAAAACTAATAAAAATTCTACACCTTAACTTTAGCACCCTACTTTTTAAATTTTTGTTGTTTCTATTTGTGTCTTATTGTACTGTCAATGTCTTGAAAAGCTCTTGTAGTTATTATTTTTTACTGGTTCGTTGTTTAGTCTTTCTATTTAGGAGGAGTAGTTTACATACCATAGTTACAGTATTATAATATTCTGTGTTTATCTGTGTACTTACTATTATTAGTGAGTTTTGTACCTTCAGGTGATTACCTATTGCTCATTAACATCCTTTCCATTCTGATTGAAGTATTCCCTTTAGCATTTCTTATAGAATAGGTCTGGTATTGATGAAATCCTTCAAGTTTTGTCTGGGAAAGTCTTATTTCTCCTTCATATTTGAAGTATATTTTAACTGGATATATTACTCTAGGGCAAAAGTGTTTTTCCTTCAGCATTTTAAAATATGTCATGCCACTTTCTCCTGGTCTGTAAGGTTTCCACTCAAAAGTCTGCTCTCAGACATACTGGAGCTCCGTTGCATGGTGTTTGTTTTTTTTTTTTTCTCTTGCTGCTTTTAGCATCATTTCTTTATCCTTGACCTTTGGGAATTTAATTATTAAATGCATTGATGTAGCCTCCTTTGGGTTAAATCTGCTTGGTGTTCTATAACCTTCTTGTACTTGGATGCCGATATCTTTCTCTAGATTTGGGGAATTCTCTGTTATTATCCCTTTGGGTAAACTACTCCTATGCCCTTCTCTACCTCTTTGTTAAGGTGAATAACTTTTAGATTTGCCTTTTTGAGGCTATTTTACAGATCCTGTAGGTGTGTTTTGTTGTTTTTTATTCTTTGTTCTTTTGTCTCCTCTGACTGTGTTTTCAAATAGCTGGTCTTCAAGCTCACTAATTCTTTCTTCTGCTTGATCAATTCTACTATTAAAAGACTCTGTTGCATTCTTCATTATGCCAAATGCATTTTTCAGCTCCAAAATTTCTGCTTGATTCTTTTTAATTATTTCCATCTGTTTGTTAAATTTATCTGAAAGAATTCTGAATTCCTTCTCTGTGTTATCTTGAATTGTTTTGAGTTTGCTCAACCTAGCTATTTTGAATTCCCTTTCTGAAAGGTCTGTCTTTCTTCAGGATTGGTCTCTGGTGACTTATTTAGTTCATCTGATGAGATCATATTTCCTGGATGATTTTGATACTTACAGATGTTCATCTGTATCTGGGCATTGAAGAGTTAGGAATTTATTGTAGTCTTCACTGTCTGGGCTTATTTGTACCCATCCTCCTTGGGAAGGCTTTCTAGATACATGAAAGGATTTGGGTGTTGTAGTTTAAGCTGTATCTTCTTTAGGGGGCACCCCAATCCCAGTAATGCTGTGGTTTTTGCAGACTTATAAGGGTACTGCCTTGATAATTTTGGACAAGATCCCACAGAATTCTCTGGGTTACCAGGCAGAGACTCTTGAATTATTCACTTACTTTCTCCCAAACAAACAGAATCTCTCTCTCAGTTCTGAACTACCTAAAGCTAGGAGTGGAGTGAAACAAGCACCTCTGTGGCCACCACAACTATGATTGCATTGGATCAGACCTGAAGGAAGCACAGCACTGGGTATCACCCAAGGCCTGCTGTAACCACTGCCTCTCTACTGCCTGTGTTTGTTCAAGGTCCTGGGGCTCTAAAATCAAATGGCAATGCTAGGCAGGCCTGAGTCCTTCCCTTCAGGGCAGCAAGATCCCTCAGGTCCTTGGTGAGTCCAGAGGTGCTGTCTAGGAGTCAGGAACTAGAGTCAAAGGCCTGAGAAGTCTACCTGGTATTCTTTCTATTGTATTATGGCTAAACTGGCACCCAAACAGTCCTTCTCACTCTTTCTTTCCATTTCCAAAGGCAGAGGAGCCTCACCCCATGGCCACTGCCACCACAGGCCCATGAGGAGTATTGGCAGACTGCCATCAATGTTCCCCTAAGGCCCAAAGGCTCTTCAGTCAGCTTGTGGTAAATATTACCTGGTCTGGAACTCACCCTTCAGTGCAGTGGGGCTCCCTTCTGGCCCACAGCAGGTCCAGAAATGCCATCCAATAGTTAAGTTCTGGAACAGGGGACCCCAAGAGCCTATTGGTGCTCTACCATCCTGTGGCCAAACTGTTGCCTGAAGCCAACAACTCTCAGGGTCTCATCCACAGCCCTTGATGTAGTACCTTGGTATTGCTCCTGATTATTCAGGGCCCACAGGCTCTTCAATTAACAGGTGATGAATGCTGCCAGTACTGGGTCCTTCCCTTCAAGGCAGTAGGTTCCTTTCTGGCCTAGGATGTATCTAGAAGTGTCATCTAGGAGCCAGAGCCTGGAACAAGGGCCTCACAACTCTGGCTGTTGCCCTATCCTGCTGTGGCTGAGCTGGTATTGATATGCGAGTGCTGAGAAGGGAAGTGTGTTGTCCTGTTAAATGATACGGAAGTGGGGAAGGGAAGTGCTGGGTAGAGAAGGGCATGGTCCCTGCCTAGGGATCCACCCCCACAGACCTAGGTGAGGCCAGGCACTCTTGCCTTTGTACCCTAATGCCCAAATGTTGCATTTCCCAAGACCATCCTGGCCTGCTATGCCCCCATCCTGTGCCTATAAAAACTCCTGAGACTAGCCGGGCACAGTGGCTCACGCCTGTAATACCAGAACTTTGGGAGGCCAAGGCGGGCAGATCACAAGATCAGGAGATCAAGACCATTCTGGCTATGGTGAAACCCCGTCTCTACTAAAAATACAAAAAATTAGTGGGTGATGGTGACGGGCACCTGTAGTCCCAGCTACTCGGGAGGCTGAGGCAGGAGAATGGTGTGAACCTGGGAGGCAGAGGTTGCAGGGAGCTGAGATCACACCACTGCACCTCAGCCTGGGCAACACAGTGAGACTCAATCAAAAAAAAAGAAACAAACAAAAAACCACTCCCAAGACCTTAGCAGGTGGACAGAAGTGGCTGGATATGGAGAAGAGCACATCGGCAGAGGAACACACAGGCAGCTGGACGTCCAGAGGAACGCACAGGCACCAGCATGCCAGCAGGCCGCTGACTGGCAGAACAACATAGAGTTTGGCTGGGGCAGTCATAGGAGAGCCCAGGTCACCAAGCAGCCCAACTGCAGGGAAAAATTATCTCCCTTCTGGCTCCCCTATCTGCTGAGAGCTACTTCCACTCAATAAAACCTTGATTCATTCTCCAAGCCCACATGTGATCTGATTCTTCTGATACCCAAGGCAAGAAACCCTGGGATACAGAACACCCTCTGTCCTTAACAACAAGGTAGAGGATCTAATTGGAGCTGACTAATACAAGCCACCTATAGATGGCAAACTAAAAGAGCACCCTGTAACACATGCCCACTGGGGCTTCAGGCACTCTAATCATTCACCCCTAGACACTGCGATGGGGTCAGAGCCCCACAGCCTGCCTGTCTGTATGTTCCTCTAGAGGTTTGAGCAGCAGGGCACTGAAGAAGCGAGCCACACCCCCATCACATGCCCTGTGAGGAGGACAAGGGAACTTTTCCCGTTTCAGTATCCAAGACACAAGACAAAGTAATTTCCACTATTCCCTCTCTGCTCCTCAAGCAGAAGAAAGAGATGTCTTTTGGAGCTATGAATTGTGCAGCCTGGGGTGAGAGTAGGGGTGATGCCACCCCAGCTGGTATCTCAGTAGGTGACACACTCCAACAGTCAACTGTCTCTGGGAGCAGTTCACCACTAGGACTCATCTAAGATGAGCTGCAGTTCTTGTGGCCTACAATAACTTTCAATTTTTCTTGAGACCTAGAGCACCTTAGCCTACAGTGGTGAGGTTTGCAGGGACTCAAATTTTGACCACAGGGATTGGTGATTCCCCTCTGGCTAGGGCTAGTTTAAATGTTCCCTCCATGGGCAGGCTTCAGCTGTGTTTGGTCATTTTCCTTTTTGCTCTAAGAGGACAGCATCAAGTTCAATGCCTCACAGTTGCTGTGCTCTCCTTCCCCCAGTACACGGAAACATTCTCTACACCACACAGCTGCTGCCAGGGGATAGAGAAGGGGTGGTATTAGTGATTCAAGACTGTTTTTTTCTATGCCGTCAGTGCCTCTTTCAGCAATGTGAAGTGAAAAGCAGGTACTGTGAGTCCTCACCTTATTTTTGAAGGTGTTTTGCAAGTTTAGATAGTTGTTAAGTTGGTGTTCTTGCTGGGGGCATGATCACTGGAGCCTCCCATTCTGCCATCTTGCTCCATCTTCCTTCTGTCCTATTAATTTTTGTCTGATTATTATATAAGTGCAGCTAGAAAAGTGGTTTTCAGATTTTAAAACTTTCTGATGCTGGGAAGCCAAACCAAGGAAGACTTTAGATATTATCTGTAGTCTCGATGTTTCGGGGATTGTCAGGAGTGACAATTTTTAGTCAATCACTATAAGGTTGTTAACCCTTGAAACCAGGCATTTTATGCACTTTCTCTAATGTGACATTCTAGTCAAACCATAGGTAATATAACCAATGTTGTTAACTGTATCCTGTTATGAAAATAGAGTAAAATTTGTATATAACTTATGTAGATAACCATATTACCATACAAATACTCATGAATAGTTTCCAAATTTTGGAAAAATCAAGTAGGAGAAAAAGGTAAATGTTTCCATCTTTGTTCACAAACATATACTTTACCAAATTGCTATAAAGTATAGATTGTTTTAACAAATAATATTTTATTAAATATGGAAAATAAAAGAAGTAAACAACCTTTTAAATAAAAGTCAAAAAACACTATGTTTATCAGTTATTTAAACTATGTAATTAATTTTGCTTTTGTTTGACCTTGATTGGCAGGTTTATATATTTATCAGGTTTCATTAGAGTTCTGGAAATTTTTTATTTTGTCCACTGATTTTAAAGTTATTAGAAATTTGTATTCAAGAATACTTTTTAGTGTCTCTTATATGAATCTAATTGTAAATGCTTCTAAAGTAGAATCAAAACCATGAATAACAGAGACTTAGTACAGCCATGTTTAAAAATCTGATGGAGAGGTGAGTTTGGAGGAAGATGGCATATGAGAGGCAGGTCTGTCTTGCAGCTCCCACTCAGGTGGATAGAACAGCGTGTGGAGAATCACATCGTGAACTTTTGCTCCAAGAACTACCATGGGAACATACCAGGAAAACCAAAAGAATTCACAGACCCTTTGAAAGAAGTGGTTTGCTGCTGCAAACTCTAAGAAACAGCCAAAAATCTGTGAATGCCTAAAGTGTGAGAGGGGGAAAGTCTCCCTCCAAACACACATCCTCACCGGGGAAGCTAAAAAGCCAGATAACAGGGAAAAGTTAACTTTGCCAAGAGCTGAGGCAAATTTACAGAGTGAAATATAAAAGTAGAAGAAGCAGTGGGAAGAACCCTGGAGGAGCTCCCAGCCCCCAAGGAAGCCCAGGGAACTCATTTCTGATTTTATCTCTCACAGGTTCTTGGGGAGGGCTGCCAGTGGAACTGGGGAAAGACCACAGGGAGAAGAAAACTTCCATCTAAACTTTGCAGTGATTTTGACCAAGCGCAAATTTTCCAGGGCAGAATCTGGGGATGTAGTGAAGGAGAAGAGCAGACATGAGCACAGGAGCTGAGCGGGAAGGGGCAAAGCTTGAAAGCCCTGCATGCTTTCACAGCAGGAAGGTTTGCAGCCCGGGGCAAGTTCCCAACCCTGCAGACCAGCTGCCTGGATATAGACTCGATGCTCTTGGGGGAGCACAGTGGGAATGAGATTGTCGTTTCTGGTTGCATGGCAGCTGGGTGAAGCCTGTCACTGCCAGCTTTTCCCTACTTCCCTGGTGACCTGTATGATGGAGCAAAAGCAGCCATAATTCCCCTGGGAACATAACTCCATTGGCCTGAGAACCACACTCCCACCCTACAGCAGCCACAGCAAGCCTTGCCCAAGGACAGTCTGAGCTCAGACACACCTAACCCTGCCCCTACTTGATGGCCTTTACTCACCCTTTTAGACTAAGACAAAAGACAGAATCTCTTGGAAGCTCTATGGCCCTGTCCACCACCAGAGAAGCCCAAATAGTTAAACAGGTGACCCTAGGGCAGGCTTGCGTCCTCTCTATACTACCACAGCTGGTTCTCTCTTGAAAGTGCCATCTCCTGGCTAAAGGCCAACAGACACAAGCCATTATAGCAACTCTTAGCTGAACAACCCTGCCCCAAGAAAGGAGAAAACAGCAGCTAACTCCACCACCTGTAACATACTGGCTAACCAGAGGCCCGGAGTCTATCCACATGACAACTTTACTGCCAGCATAACCAGCATTCGAGAAAACGAGTGCACTATAAAAACTATAACCAAGAACCCTCAAAGAGTCCACTTCACCCCCATGCTACCTCCTCAAAGCACGTGCTGGTATTCATGGCTGAGAGACTTGAAGATGGATCAAATCACAGAGCTCTTCACACATACTCCCCAGTACCAACCTGGAGCCCAGTAGCTCCACTGGGTGGCTAGACCCAGAAGAGAAATAATAATCACTGCAGTACAGCTCCCAGGAAGCCCCATTCCTAGGGGAAAGGGGAGAGTACCACATCAAGGGAGCATTCTGTGTGACAAAAGAATCTGAACAGCAGCCCTTGAGCCCAGATCTTTCCTCTGACATAGCCTACCCAAATGAGAAAGAACCAGAAAAAACAATATTGGCAATAGGATAAAATGAGTTTTTTTAACACCCCAAACAGATCACACTAGGCCACCAGCAATGAATCCAAACCAAGAAGAAATCTCTGAATTACCAGAAAAAAAGAATTCAGAAGGTCAATTATTAAGGTACTTAAGGAGGCACCAGAGAAAAGTGAATACCAACTTATAAAAATTTTTTAAATGTTACAAGATATGGATGAAAAACACTCCAGAGAAATAGATACCATAAATAAAAGAACAATCACAACGTCTGGAGATGAAGGACACACTTAGAGAAATGCAAATTACACTGGGAAGTCTCAACAATAAAATCCAACAAGTAGAAAAAAGAAACTTCAGAGCTTGAAGACAAGGCTTTTGAATTAACTCAATCTGACAAAGACAATGAAAAGACAATTTTAAAAAATGAACAGTTTCCAAGTAGTTGTGTGGTTTTGAGTGAGTTTCTTAAAACAACCTGTTCCTGAATGACTACTGGGTAAATAACGAAATGAAGGCAGTAATAAAGATGTTCTTTATTTACCAATGAGAACAAAGACACAACATATGAGAATCTCTGGAACACATTTAAAGCAGTGCATACCAGGAAATTTATAGCACTAAATGCCCACAAGAAAAAGCAGGAAAGATCTAAAATTGACACCCTAACATCACAATTAAAAGAACTAAAGAAGCAAGAGCAAACAAATTCAAAAGCTAGCAGAAGACAAGAAATAACTAAGAGCAGATCAGAACTGAAGGAGATAGAGACACACACACAAAAAAACCTTCAAAAAATGAATGAATCCAGGAGCTGATTTTTTGTAAAGACCAATAAAATAGATAGACTGCTAGCAAGACTAATGAAGAAGAAAAGAGAGAAGAATCAAATAGATGCAATAAAAAATGATAAAGGGCATATCACCACTGATCCCACAGAAATACAAACTACCATCAGAGAATACTATAAACACCTCTACACAAATAAACTAGAAAATCTAGAAGAAATGGATAACTTCCTGGACACATACACCCTCCCAAGAATAAACCAGGAAGAAGTTGAATCTCTGAATAGACCAATAACAGGTTCTGAAATTGAGACAATAATTAATAGCCTACCAACCAAAAAATGTCCAGGACCACATGGATTCACAGCCTAATTCTACGAGAGGTACAAAAAGGAGCTGGTACCATTCCTTCTGAAACTATTCCAATCAATAGAAAAAGAGGCAATCCTCCCTAACTCATTTTATGAGGCCAGTCTCATCCTGATACCAAAGCCTGGAAGAGACACAACAAAAAAAGAGAATTTTTGACCAATATCCCTGATGAACATCAATGTGAAAATCCTCAATAAAATACTGGCAAACCGAATCCAGCAACACATCAAAAAGGTTATCCACCACGATCAAGTGGGCTTCATCCTTGGGATGCAAGGCTGGTTCAATATATGCAAATCAATAAACATAATCCATCACATAAACAGAACCAGTGACAAAAACCACATGATTATCTCAATAGATGCAGAAAGGACTTCAAGAAAATTCAACAGTCTTTCATGCTAAAAACTCTCAATAAACTAGGTATTGATGGAACGTATCTCAAAATAATAAGAGCAATTTTTGACAAACCCACAGCCCATATCATACTGAATGGGCAAAAACTGGAAGCATTCCCTTTGAAAACTGGCACAAAACAAGGATGCCCTCTTTCACGACTCCTATTCAACACAGTATTGGAAGTTCTGGCCAGGGCAATCAGGCAAGAGAAAGAAATAAAGGGTATTCAATTAGGAAAAGAGGAAGTCAAATTGTCTCTGTTTGCAGATGACATGATTGCATATTTAGAAACCTCATTGTCTCAGCTTAAAATCTCCTCAAGCTGATAAGCAACTTCAGCAAAGTCTCAGGATACAAAATCAATGTGCAAAAATCACAAGCATTCCTATAAACCAAGAACAGACAGAAAGCCAAATCATGAGTGAACTCCCATTCACAATTACTACAAAGAGAATAAATTCCTAGAAATCCAACTTACAAGGGATAGGAAGGACCTCTTCAAGGAGAGCTACAAACCACTGCTCAAGAAAATTAGAGAGGACAGAAACAAATGGAAGAATATTCCATGCTCATGGATAGGAAGAATCAATATCATAAAAATGGCCATACTGCCCTAAGTAATTTATAGATTTAATGCTATCTCCATCAAGCTACCACTGACTTTTTTCACAGAATTGGAAAAAAACCCTTTAAATTTCATATGGAACAAAAAAAGAGCCCACATAGCCAAGACAATCCTAAGCAAAAAGAACAAAGCTGGAGGCATAATGCTACCTGACTTCAAACTATACTACAAGACTACAGTAACCAAAACAGCATGGTACTGGTACCAAAACAGAGATATAGACCAATGGAAGAGAACAGAGGCCTCAGAAATAACACCACACATCAACAACCATCTGACCTTTGATAAAGCTGACAAAAAGAAGCAATGGGGAAAGGATCCCCTATTTAATAAATGGTGCTGGGAAAACTGGCTAGCCATACGTAGAAAGCTGAAACTGAATCCCTTTCTTACACCTTATACAAAAATTAACTCAAGATGGATTAAAGACTTAAATATAAGACCTAAAACTATAAAAACCCTAGAAGAAAACCTAGGCAATACCATTCAGGACATAGGCATGGACAAATACTTCATGATTAAAATGCCAAAAGCAACAGTAACAGAAGCCAAAATAGACAAATGCCATCTAATTAAACTAAAGAGCTTCTGCACAGCAAAAGAAACTATCATCAGAGTGAACAGGAAACCTACAGAATGGCAGAAAATTTTTGCAATCATCCATCTGTCAAAGGGCTAATATCCAGAATCTACAAAGAACTTAAACAAATTTACAAGAAAAAAACAAACAACCCCATCAAAAAGTGGGCAAAGGATATGAACAGACACTTCTCAAAAGAAGACATTTATGCAACCAACAGATATAAGAAAAAATGCCTGTCATCATTGGTCATCAGAGAAATGCAAATCAAAACCACAATGAGATACCATCTCACCCCAGTTAGTTAGATTGGTGATAATTAAAAAGTCAAGAAACAACAGATGCTGGAGAGGATGTGGCTATGCGGGCTCTTTTTTTGTTCCATATGAAATTTAAAGGGTTTTTTTCCAATTCTGTGAAAAAAGTCAGTGGTAGCTTGATGGAGATAGCATTAAATCTATAAATTACTTAGGGCAGTATGGCCATTTTTATGATATGGATTCTTCCTATCCATGAGCATGGATAGGAACACTTTTACAGTGTTGGTGGAGTGTAAACTAGTTCAACCATTGTAGAAGACAGTGTGGCAATTCCTCAAGGATCTAGAACCAGAAATACCATTTGACCCAGCAATCCCATTACTGGGTATATACCCAAAGGATTATAAATCATGCTACTATAAAGACACATGCACACGTATGTTTACTGTGGCACCATTCACAATAGCAAAGACTTGGAACCAACCCACATGTCCATTAATAATAGACTGGATAAAGAAAATGTGGTACACGTACACCATGGAATACCGTGCAGCCATGAAAAAGAATGAGCTCATGTCCTTTGCAGGGACATGGATGAAGCTGGAAACCATCATTCTCAGCAAAAGATCACAAGGACAGAAAACCAAACACCGCATGTTCTCACTCATAAGAGGGAACTGAACAATGAGAACACATGGACACAGGGAGGGGAACATCACACACTGGGGTCTGTTGGGGGGTGGGGGGCTAGGGGAGGGGTAGCATTAAGAGAAATACCTAATGAAATGACGAATTGATGGGTGCAGCAAACCAACATGGCACATGTATACCTATGTAACAAACCTGCACATTGTGCACATGTACCCTAGAACTTAAAGTATAATAATAAAAAAGGCAAAAAAAAAAAGAACAAAACCTCCAAGAAGTTTGAAATTATGTTAAACAACCAAACCTAAAAATAATTGGTGTTCCCAAGGAATAAGAGAAAACCAAAAGTTTGGAAAACATTTGAGGAAATAATCAAGGAAAACTTTTCTGGCCTTGCTAGAGATCTAGACATCCAAATACAAGAAGCTGAAAGAACACCAGAAAATTCAGTGCAAAAAGATCATCGCCTAGGCACGTAGTCATCAGGTTATCTAAAGTTAAGATGAAGGAAAGAATCTTAGGAGCTGTGAGGCAAAAGCATGAGGTGACCTATAAAGGAAAACCTATCAAATTAACAGAACATTTCTTAGCAGAAACCCTACAAGCTAGAAGGGATTGGGGTCCTATTTTTAGCCTCCTTAAACAAAACAATTGTCAGCCATGAATTTTACATCCAGGGAAACTAAGCTTCATAAATGAAAGAAACAAATGCTGAGAGAATTCATATGAACAAATGCTTTTTCAGATGAACAAATGCTGAGAGAATTCGCCACTACCAAGCCAGCTTTACAAGAGCTGCTAAAAGGCACTCTAAGTCTTGAAACAAAACCTTGAAATACACCAAAATAGAACCTTCTTGAGTATAAATCTCACAGGACCTATAAAACAATAACACAATGAGAAAAAAAAAGGTATTCAGGCAACAACTAGTATGATGAATTGAATAGTACATCACATCTCAGTACTAACAGTGAATATAAATGACCTAAATGCTCCACTTAAAAGATACAGAAAGTCAGAATGGATAAGAATTCACCAACCATCTGCTGTCTTCAAGAGACTCACCTAGCAGGTAAGGATTCACATAAACTTAAGGTAAAGAGGTGGAAAAATTATTCCCAAAGTTAGAGGAAGTAGCTACACTTATACCAGACAAAACAGATGTTAAAGCAACAATGGTTAAAAAAGACAAAGAGGGACATCAAATAATGATTGAAGTTCTAGTCCAACAGGAAAACATCACAATCCTAAATATATACACACTTAATACTGGAGTTACCAAACTTATAAAACAATCACTACTCGACCTAAAAAATGAGATAGGCCAGGTATGGTGGCTCACACCTGTAATCCCAGCACTTTGGGAGGCTGAGGTGGGTGGATCACGAGGTCAGGAGTTCAAGGCCAGCCTGGCCAATGTGGTGATACCTCATGTTTACTAAAAATACACATGGTGGTGCATGCCTGTAGTCCCAGCTACTCGGGAGGCTGAGGCAAAAGAATCACTAGAACCCAGGAGGCAGAGGTTGCAGTGAGCCAAGATCGTGCCACCACACTCCAGCCTGGGCAACAAAGCAAGACTCTGTCTCAAAAAAAAAAAAAAAGAAATTATAAAGACAGCAAAACAGTAATAGTGGGTGACTTCAGTACTCCACTGACAGCACTAGAGAGGTCATCAAGACAGAAAGCCAACAAAGAAACAATGGACTTAAACTATACCCTAGAACAAATGAAGTTAACAGATATTTACAAAGCATTTTACCCAACAACTGCAGAATACACATTCTATTCATCAGCACGTGGAATATTTTCTAACATAGGCCACATGATAGGCCACAAAACAAGTCTCAATAAATTTAAGAAAATTAAAATTCTATCAAGTACTCTCTCAGACCACAGTGGAATAAAATTAGAATTCAACTCCAAAAGGAACCCTGAAAACCCTGCTAATACATGGAAATTAAATAACCTGCTATTGAATGATCATTGGTTCAACAATGAAATCAAGATGGAAATTTAAAAATTCTTTGAACTGAAAGATAATAGTGACATAACCTATCGAAACCTCTGAGATACAGCAAAAGCGGTGCTAAGAGGGAAGTTTATAGCATTAAATGCCTACAACAAAAAGTCTGAAGGAGCTCAGATAGACAATCTAAGTTCACACATCAAGGAACTAGAGAAACAAGAACAAATCAAACCAAACCCAACAGAAGAAAAAAAATAACAAAGATCAGAGAAGAACTAAATTAAATTGAAACAAACAAAAAAAGCAATACAAAAAATAAATGAAACAAAAAACCGATTCTTTGAAAAGATAAACAAAACTGACAGACCAGTAGCGAGATTAACCAAGAACAGAAAAGAGAAGATCCAAATAAGCTCAATTAGAAACAAAAAGGGAGATATTACAACTGATACCACAGAAATACAAAAGATCATTCAAGGCTACTATGAACACCTTTATTCTCAAAAACTGGAAAACCTAGAGGAGATGGATAAATTTTTGGAAATATACAACCCTCCAAGATTAAACCAGGAAGAAGTAGAAACTCTGAACAGTCCCATAACAAGCAGCAAGATTGAAATGGTAATTTTAAAAATTGCCAACAAATAAAAGTCCAGGAACAGATGGATTCATAGTTGAATTCTATCAGACATTCAAAAAAGTATTGGCTCCAATCCTGTTGACACTATTCCACAAGATACAGAAAAAAGGAATCCTCCCTAAATCATTCTGTGAAACTAGTATCACTCTAATTCCAAAACTAGGAAAGGACATAACAAAACAAAACAAAAACTACAGACCAATATTCCTAATGAACATAGATGCAAAAATCTTCAACAAAATACAAGCTAACTGAATCCAACAGCATATCAAAAAGATAATTCACCATGATCAAGTAGGTTTCATACTAGGGTTGCTGGAATGGTTTAACATACCAAGTCAATAAATGTGATACACCACATAAACAGAAATAAAAACAAAAATCACATGATCATCTCAATAGATGAAGAAAAAGCATGTGACAAAATCCAGCATTGTTCTAGTATTAAAGCCCTCGCAAAATTGGCATAGAAGGGATGTACCTTAAGGTAATAAAAGCCATCTATGACAAACCCACAGCCAACATTATACTGAATAGGGAAAAGTTGAACGTTTTCCCCCTGAGAACTGGAACAAGACAAGGATGCCTATTTTCACCACTTCTATTCTACATAGTACCAGAAGTCCTAAGCAGAGCAATCAGACAAGAGAAAGAAATAAGGGGGATCCAAACAAGCAAACAAGTAATCAAACTGTTGTTGTTCACCAATGATATAATTGTACACTTAGAAAACCCTAAAGATGGCCGGGCATGGTGGCTTAAGCCTGTAATCCCAGCACTTTGGGAGGCCAAGGTGGGTGGATTGCCTGAAGTCAGGAGTTTAAGACCAGCCTGACCAACATGGTGAAACCCCATATCTACTAAAAATACAAAAATTAGCCAGGTGTGGTGGCAGACGCCTGTAATCCCAGCTACTCAGGAGGCTGAGGCAGGAGAATCACTTGAACCTGGGAGGCACAGGTTGCAATAAGCTGAGATCAGGCCATTGCACTCCAGCCTGGGTGACAAGAGCAAGACTTCATCTCAAAAAGAAAAGAAAAGAAAACCCTAAAGACTAATCCAAAAAGCTCCTAGAACTGATTTAAAAATTCAGTAAAGTTACAAAATAAATGTAAAAAATCAGTAGCACTGCTATATACACCAACAGCAACCAAGCTGAGACTCGAATCAAGAACTCAAGCCCTTTTACAATAGCTATAAAAAATAAAATAAAATACTTAGGTACACACTTAACCAAGGAAGTGAAAGACCTCTACAAGGAAAACTACAAAACATGCTGAAAGAAATCATAGAAGACACAAACAAATGGAAACACATCCCATGCTCATGGATGGGTAGAATCAATATTGTGAAAATGACCACACTGCCAAAAGTAATCTACAAATTCAATGCAATTTCCATCAAAATACCATCATCATTCTTCACAGAACTAGAAAAACCAATTCAAAAATTATGTGGAATCAGAAAAGAGCCCATATAGCCAAACCAAGATGAGGCAGAAAAAACAAATCTGGAGGCATCACATTACCCAACTTCAAACTATACTACAAGGCTGTAGTTGCCAAAACAGCATGGTATTGGCATAAAAATAGACACAAAGTCCAATGGAACAGAATAGAGAACACAGAAATAAAGTTAAACACTTACAGTCAACTGATCTTCAACAAAGCAAACAAAAACATAAAATGGGGAAGGACACCCTATTCAACAAATGGTGCTGGGATAATTGGCAAGCCACATGTAGAAAAATGAAACCATATCCTCATCTCTCACCTTACACAAAAATCTACTCAAGATGGATCAAAGACTTAAATCTAAGATCTGAAATCATAAAAATTATAGAATATAACATTGGAAAAACCCTTCTAGACATTGTCTTAGGCAAAGACTTCATGACCAAGAACCCAAAAGCAAATCTATTATATAGATATAGTTATATAGATATACATAATGGAATACTACTCAGCCATAAAAAGGAGTGAAATAATGGCATTTGCAGCAATCTGGATGGAACTGGAGATCATTATTCTAAGTGAAGTAACTCAGGAATGGAAACCCAAACATTGTATGTTTTCACTTATAAATAGGAGCTAAGCTATGAGAACACAAAGGAATAGAATGATAAAATGGACTTTGAGGACTTGGGGGAGTGCGAGGTGGCAAGGGATAAAAGACTACACATTGGGTACAGTGTACACTGCTTGGGTGATGGGTGCACCAAAATCTCAGAAATCACACCTAAAGAACTTATCCATGTAACCAAACACCACCTGTTTCCCCAAAAATCTACTGAAATTAAATAAATAAATAATTTGTTAAAAATTTGGTGGAAATTTATTATAATCAGCAGTTGACATGAAAATTTGGTTATTTGTGATGTACTACATAAGAAGTATAATTATGACTGATGTCATATAAAATTTCAAAGAATTTTATACAATTTTTGAGCATTTATTATCAATAACATAGTCATAAATGTTACAAAAAGATCTAGCATCACTTATCACTTGACAATGCTTTTTTTTACAATTTACCAAATAATCCTAATTGTTTACTATCTCTACAAGATGAGAGACACATCCCGTGGGGCTCTCCAGGGTACCAACTGAAAACCTCAAAGTTAACTCTATCTCAAAATGACTTAATTTAAACTTTTAATGCTGGGAAGCCAGTTGAAGATGGCAAAATATTTAAAACAACTGATCTAAACAAAATCACAAATCACTGTGAAATGATAGCCATATTTTCACCAGAGTAACATAAAAAGATTTTAAAAGCAATACAGAAAGTTATATAGATTTAAAAAAATTCTAACCCTTTCAAAGCTCAGTTTTCCTAAGTAATCTAAAAATCTAATTAAGTCAACATGAAACATAGAAAATTATCTTGATAAAATATAAAATCTTTGTTTCTTACACCAGTTACCAAAAGGAAAACACACAAAAACCCACCTACCCACACAAAACACAAAGACAAAACATCGTCTCTCAGAGTATGATTGTGTCCCTTTGTGGGAAGCCTGTTTTGACTTCAGGTTTATATAGAAAGCATAACAAAAATTAGGTGTGTCTTTGGTAAAAAATATAAAAGCAAATATATGTTATTTATTTTTTAAATTGGCTAAATTTACAAGTTATTTAAAGTTGTGTAAAATGTGCAAGAGGTTTTGAAGTCAAACCTGATGGAAAAGTACTTGAATTTGATCAGAAACAAGAAGAGTATGTGTCCAGGATTTTGATTGTACACCATATCATAGAAAAACATAAACAAGAAAGCCAGTATCTTGAGCAGGAAAGTACATGGCTATTAGTAAAAACATGGGAAATTGCCTTGCTAGTTACCTGGCGCAATTCAGACACATCAATAAAAGCCAAGAGTACAGAATCAAATTATACTGGAGAGAAACATTGTTCTAAACTGGAAGCTGCAGTTCTGATGGTGGTTGAAAATTTTTAAAAACAGATTTCAGAATTACATCAAAACCTCTTGCACATTTTACACAACTTTAAATAACCTCTAAATATAGCCAATTTTAAAAATAAAGAACATACCTTTGATATTGTTTTTATAGTTTTTAACCAAAGACACATCTACTTTTTTGTTATGCTTTGTATACAAAATTATATATAAATGAGAATTTTAAACTCTCAATAACATTAATTTTTAGTGAAAACCTAGAAAGTAAGAAATTTTGAACTATCTGTCACATATTAGTATTTTATTATAGATGAAACCATTTTATAATTAAAATATATTTTCCCATTATTTAATTTTTATATGTATTAACAGACCCAAATATAGTCTTTGTACAAAATTTAAGAAACTACAAATAAACTTATGTTTATTTTTACAAATTTATGTTTTACTATTTTACCTCTCAATTCTGGGTCATCTGAAAATGACCTATAACTTCAATGGGTTTTTATTATTTAATTGAACATAAATAACTTCAAATTTCAAATTACATAAAAAATTATTTGCAAATGTTTATCCTATTTACACACACTGAATTTATTTAACAATTATACCTAGATTATTTATGAAAACTGATAAATTAGGCAAAGCTAGTCATTATTTCAGGTTATTTCTCTGTTTATCATTTTCATAGCCTAAGAATATCAGGTGTTCACCTAAGTAACAGCCTTAAAATTAAATACATGAGTATTTTGCTGATATTTAAGAAGATACAGTTGTCATCAAAACAACAAGATTAAGTTAGTCTTACTTATCGAAGCATTACTTAAACAAAGATTATTCTGTTTTTAATGTGATTTCACAGCTTCATAATTTTAAAACATCTACCAGAAACAATAATCCTGTCTGACCAGAAGACCCAGGCAAAAATCTATGTTGACAATTCTGAAGAAATTTTTATTTTTATTTTATCAACAAATTTAAAACCAAGTTATTTATCAAAGATTTACTTAAGTAATGTAAACTAAAAGGTATTTGAGTTAATTAGCATATATTCTAACAATTTAAATGAGTGCTCACTTATTTAAGCTAATCTGAATAGAACTCCTTAAAGAATTCTGGCCCACTATGTCAAATTTTACTATTTAGGCACAACATATAACATAATACACGTTCATATGTGTAAACACACACTGAAATACATATATACACACAAAAACAAATAATTCATAATTTTTATTTATGAAAGTTTAGTTATGAGACAGTAAAATATAGTAAGACAGACTCGCTAGGTCATAAAAGTCAGTTGAATTCAAATTATATTTCTGACAAAATGAGACCTGTTCACATGGCTAAATATTTTTTGCCTTGATAGGTAATCTGATGAAGGCTGTGGACTGAAATTGTAGATAAAGCAGTTTGGTTTTTATAAACTATATTTTACATTCTTTTGTTCTTTTTTCAGTTTTAAATTAGTTTAGGGGTAAATTTTTAAATGTTTGCATTTTAGTTAGTACTGACTGAATTATAAAGAGAAACAAAAATCTACAAGCAGGCTTGAATTTTAGTAACAAATTTTTCTTTCGTTTGCTGTTCTGATTTGCCTGACTAGTCAACATGGGCAGGGAAGCATTTTAGAAAAATTTATTTGTAGTTTTTTGGGTTTTCTTTTTTCTTTGTTTTTTGGCTTTTTCTGGCCATGCATGGCAGACAAAGCAATTTTTGCACTGGACAAAGATATCATATTATTTCTGTGAGTTCAAGTGTTTGTTTGACTTGTTTGATCTGAAAGCCTAACTTTTTAAACATTTATTTCATTCTTCTTTTTAGAATATCAATCCTTCAATTAACTGATTCATCACCCTAAGCAACTGCTAGCCATGCAAACCAAAATTTACATTTTCCAAAAGATGACCCAGATGTCTAGATTGCTGGTTACCATGAAACTGTTGTAATCTGTAAAGCCATTAATTTGAAAGTCTTTTAAGACTTTTTTTTTAACTTTGGCTGAAATGTCATAAAGAGTGACTACATCTTAATACCAGCAGAGAAGTCAGCAGATTCAAAGTCAGCAGAAAAAAAAAAAAAAGATAGAAATATAGAGAACTTCAAAGGCTCTACATGTAATTTTATAGTTGGTTACAGTTTTTAATTTAGTTCTAAGGAAAACAGGCTTGCAGAGTCTGAATGATCCCCTTTAAGGGCAATAAATTAGACTTGGTGTAATCTGTCCATTGACTAAAAATGTGTGCAAGAATGGACCATAAAATTTGAATGTACAGTTGGCTGGATTCCCAGAGAGTTTGGCATGCTTTGGAATTTTGAAGATTCCATTCCACATCAAATAAAATTCTATGAATCCTGTCAGGGAATGTCAGAAATTTGGACCAGTGTTTTGGTTGGTGGTAACCTCTATAGTGGCTTTAATTGGCAATCTTGCATTCACCATTTAGAATGTTTAATTTTTGTTTATAGAAGATGTTTAGGAATAAGCAAGGGGAAAAATGTTTTTAAAAAAGCCAAATTATTTACAGATATTCATAACCAAATCAAAATGAAACCAAAATAAGAGTGGTTATGAAAATTTTAAGCCAAGAGCATAAACCAAATACTAAATTAGTTGCATAGAAAGTGAATTCACCAGAAAAGATATGCCTCAGAAACAGAATGTAAATTCTGTAGAAACCAGAGTACTCTCCAAAAGGATACTTACCAGAAAGGGCTTGCCAAAAATACCCTTTATAGTCTCAAGTGGGATGTGAAGTCTGTCAATTAAGGTGGACTTACAACCAAATAAGATCCTGAATGAAATCAAAAATAAGGCGTCTGAAAAGTTGAGAGAAGATTAACCAGGGAAGAAGATTAACCACAGAAAGAGAGAGCATAAAAGGCTCTGTGAATATCACACATTCAAGGGTCCACCGTCTGTCCAAGGTAAGCTTGCTTCAGTCCCACTTCTGACACCATCAACTCAACCTAAATAACATATAGACAGAAGGTTTCTATAAGAAAACAATATTTATTCAGAAATGGAAGTTGCAATGGCAATATTCATGCCATAGTAAACAATGTCCATATTCAAGCAGGTAAAAGCAGACAAAAGTTTCTAAAGAAAAAATGAGGATTACATAATTATTTTGAAATAATTATCCTTGGTTATAAGGATCAGTAACAAGGGTGGCATCAGTTCGAGTTTAAATAGGTGGTTGCTGGGAAGATATCCTCACAAAAGTATTTTGTGTTTTGTCTGTGTATATGTGTCAGGTTATGATGGCCTTTGTGCAAGGTTGTGGGTTTTGTAGTCTGTTGTGATAGTTTTTGTTATCAGGCATTCATGTATGAGAACTGCCCCACTTCATGGCCTTCCCCAGCTCCCTTTGTCAAGGTTTTTAACACAAGTGACTCCATTTGGATTCCAACAACTTTAGCAAAACAATACAAACTTACTATACTACAGTTTCTAGATCAGAAGCTTTATATGATTCTCATTGGCCTAAGGTATTGGCAGAACAGCATTCTGGAGGCTATAAAAGTCAATCTGTTTCCTTACCTTTTCCGGATTCTAGAGCCTCATTGCATTCCTTAGTTCACCGCCCTTTCATCCATCTTCAAAGCCAGCAGTGTAGCATTTCTCTATTCCTTCTTCTAGCCTCACATTTTCTGTGCCCATAGTTGAGAAAATGTGCTCCATTCCAGGAACCCATGCGATTAGATTGATCTTACCCAAATAATCCAAGATAATCTCCCCATCTCAAGTTCCTTAGCCAAATTTACATCTGCAAAGCTTTTTTGCCACATAAGGTAACATATTGACAAGTTCTTGGAGTGAGATATGAACATTTTTGATGGCCATTATTCTACCTACCAGATTGTGCAAAATAACTCTTAAAATAACTCTGGAAATATAAAAGTCCTTTCATTTTTTCTTTCATGCAGTGTAGTTTTTATAATATTAGTTCCTTCAATTAGAAAAAAATTGAAAAAACTCTTTATGCTTTCATAAAAAACTTGGAACCAATAATATATTTAAGGAAAAAAAATAGCAAGGTTACAGTATTAACTATATATCCTAATTAATATCCCTTCATAATTACAAATCAAGCCATATGAATTGCAATTGAGATCAATTTGTCTTCATCTTAAAAATATTTTCTGCACAGTTGTGATAATGAAAACATTTGTGTCCAGGGACTATCTCCTTCTAAATCAGAGTCGTTATTATCTGGTAAAGTCATTAACTTGGATTAATTGGGTAAAAGTGGTATAATAATCCACAGATGACATACAGCTTTTAGGAGAGCTCTTATCTGAAAAGCAGTTTAGAAACTTTTTGTTATCTTTAGAGAAATATATAGATTTTAGCTTCAGGAAGCCAGGTGTATCTCCTTTTGTTCATTCCTAGGGTGGTGTCTGTCACAAAGTAGATGTTGAATAAATATTTTTGAAAGAACGCTTTACAATTGGATGCATCAATATATTGACCAAGAAATATTAAAGTATAAAGAACCTAGAGAAAGCCAACAAGAAAGATAAGATGTGATTTGAATGTTTCACATTATGTTGCCTTTTGTATGTCCCATACATAAAAGCATGGTGGCCTGTTTGGAACATTTAGTTTGCAATAGATTTGTATATGCTGTGCATGCAGGACTTCTATTTTAGGTCAGTAATCTGCTCCTTATGTCTACTGACTGCAAATCAGATATATACTAAGTAAAATATTAGGATGTCTGAAAAGGTTTCAGAAATGATAAAGCTAACAAATATAACCAGGTAAAATCAAAAGCTATTCTGGTGCTCTTATGGTAGAAGTTGCAAGAAACAGTTTGCCTCTTTTGAAATGAGCAGTCTCCTGTACGGGAAAGTTTTCTGAAGTTCATTAAAGTCAAATGCTTGCTGATTTAGCACTGACTAGTAAAGTAGACTGATTATACTGTTAAAAACAGGCTTTCCAGTTCCCAAATTTGGCCTTACTCTCAACTTACACCACCACCTATCCCTTCCTCTAAAGCGGATCTTGTGAAGAGTACAGTCTATCAAGGTCTACAAGAGAATGTGAGGAAGAAATGCCCTGCGAGGCACTTTGTTTGCTCCCTGCTTATTCTGTAGCAGCAGTTGCAATGATATGGCCTTTCTCTTACTCAGTAAGATGTGTGTTTATTTTTTATTTTCTTAGTCACATTCCAACTGAATAACATACTTTAGCATTGCATCGTCTGCGGAATTAATATGAATATTTAACACTATATTCCAACATGATTAATTTGTACCATCATTTAAGGTGAAATCCCATTAAGACAGTAAGCACTTGAAGAAATGTAGAAGCATTCATTCTCCTGTTTTTTGCCACAGTTAAATGATTATTGTGTCTAAAATAAGGGGATAGTTGAAAAGCAGTGAAATAAATTTTGGTCAAGAGGATGCAGAAATCAGGAACAAACTCAAGTTTTAGGCCATTTCCTTTTTAACCAAACTATAAGTGCCCAAAAAAGAGGTTGGAAAAGACATATTACAGAGAAGGGAAAAGATAGTTGTCTAAGATGAGCACAGGAATGATTTGTCCCATGTGCTTAATCCATTTGGAATCTCTAGACTCTTCATCATACTTAATGTCAATAGTAATTCATACAAAAAAGAACTGAAATCCATTCTCCACTGGATGCAGATTTCAGGCAAAGGAGACTTTTTTTTTAACTTCGCCTTACTGAGATTCTTGTGTTTCCATATTGATTGAACCATAAGAAGCCCAGAATGCAAAGACACAAATACTTTTAAAATATCTTTTTGTGTGTGTGTTTCTACCAGACAGAAAAACTGCTATTGTCAGCAAAGTAAGTCTCTAGTTTCACTCTACTCTATAACCTTATGGAGACAGACATCTAATGATGAAGAAAACATGGTGGTAATATTGAAATGGATATAAAGACACATGAAGGCACGAAAATAATTGTCAGTTTGTGACTTTTTTCTGTGTTGTTTTACCCATTTCTCTATGACTTTCTCTCTGATATGCTGCTCCTGGTAACTCACTAACACTAGAGATTAATGAATAATCCTTTTGCAAATGTATCTTCCTTTACTCTTAATGCTCCAACATAAAGTATTTGGAAAACTCAAAAGTCAGTTTCCATGAGAAATATTTAGAATGTTTCTGTGGCAGAATAACTCCATACTACCAATTTTAGCATCATTATACATTTTACCTCTGATAAATCAAATAGTACTTTACATATGCACTCTAAATAAAAATACATATTGAATAGATACATATTGAAGTTTTGTTTTGGGCAATGCATCGAGTATGTTATTTACACAAGTGTGTATGTAGATAACATTACTCAATAGAAAAGAAGATAAAAATATAATATTTTTAAATGTGGTTCTTTCTCCTGTTACCAACAAAGCTAATCATATTTACATCTAATTTTTTTACTTAATAAAAATTCCTTCCAGTGTCTAGGATAATGCTTGACACATAGAAGTTGCTAAATATACTTAAGTGACTAAAATGCTATTTCTCCTCAAACAGAATTGTCTTTTTGCTGTCCAACGGGTTTAGTATTTTAGAAACATATTTTTCATCTCAGTCTCTTTTTATCCCCTCTACCCTTCTGCAATTAATAGTAAGCTGGATATCTTATTGTTCAAGTAAAGGAGAGAACTAGAAGAGACTAAAGAGTCTTGGTAATTCTATAGGAAGATGCTAGTTTTGCAAACAACCCAATTTAAAAATGGGCAAACAACTTGAACAGACATATCTCCAAAAAAAAGTCATATAACTGGCCAATAAGCCCATGAGAAGATGAACAACATCATTAATCATTAGGAAACTGCAAATCAAAACCACAGTGAGATATCTCTTCACACCCATTAGGATGGCTATTTAAAAACAAACAACAACAATAAACAGAAAATAACTATTCCCAGAAAAGCTGTGGAGAAGACTGGAACCCTTGTACATTGTTAGTGGGAATGTACAATGGTGTACCCACTGTGGAAAACAGTATAGTGGTTCCTCAAAAATTTAAAAATAAAATTGTCTTATGATCCAGCAATTTAACTTCTAGTTTATACTCAAAGGATTGAAAGCAAAGACTTGAACAGCTAAGTGTACACCAACATTAACAGATAGCAGCATTATCCACAATAGCCAAATGGTGAAAATAATCCAAATGTCAATCAACAAATGCAGTAGTTGTTTTTCTGTCCCTGTGTTAATTCACTTATGATTATAGCCTCCAGCTCCATATATGTTGCTGTGAAGGACATGATTTCATTCTTTTTTATGGCTGTGGAGAATTCCATGTTACATATATGTATGTACCACATTTTCTTTATCCAATCCACCACTGATGGTCACCAAAGTTGATTCTTCAATATGTCTTTGCAAATAAATAGATTTTAAAGTATTGTCTATACATACAATGAAATATTATTTAGCCTTAATAAAAAATGAAATTCTGATACGTGCTACAACATGGATAAACTTTGAACACATTAAGTGAACTAAGTCAGGTACAAAGGGATAAATATTTTATGATTACACTTATAGGAGTTACCTATAGTAGTTAAATTCATAAGGACAAAGTAGAGTAGTGGTTACTAGGACATTGGAGAAGGAGAGAATAGAAAGTTAATTTTTAATGGGTACAAAGTTTCAGTTTGGCATAATGAAAAATTTGGGGATGGATAATGGGATTACCAAGATGGGTTAGAAAAGACCAGATGGAATTCCACCATACTGCACTTGAAACAGAGATATCTCTGTGAACTCATGGTTTTCAAAACAGAAAAATTCAAAACTAAGTAAAATGCAAGTGTGTGTGTTGGAGGGGGTGGGGGTACATCTTTCCTATCTTTGTCCAATGACAGGATCTAGAAAGAGTAACATCCCAATACGTGAGCAGAACTAGCATCTTGGCTTCTACATGTCACTCTCCACTGAAAGGAACCAGGATTCCTTGGAGAAATGGCTTCTTCCAGGTCTGGGACAGGAGAATATAACAGGAGCCTTGTATATCTTACTGTGCCAGACAGTAAGGAAGTATTCAGATAACAGCCAAAAAAAAAAAGGATTTATCAACAAAATGAATAAATAATAAAACCAGAAAGCAGCTTGAAACAGCTCCCAGAATTCAGGCACAACTTTAGCATGAAACTAAACAATGATAATAAGAGTTTATAACATTTTATAAGATAGAAATCCATGAGTCCCTGCTGATAGAAATAAATTAATTAAAAGTTTGATAAATTGCATGATATTTATAAAGTCTTAAAGTGCCTTGCCATGAAAAATTATTAATTACAAAGGGAAGAAGTGTAACTATATGGTGGAGGAGCCTAGCAGAAACCACTTTGAACAAGGCATCAAATTTAATATCACTAGAACAAATCAGATTCATATATAACTTGATAGAATGCAATGAGGAAATATCAGACAAACGCAACCTGAGGGTTGTCCTACAAAATAACTGGCCTCTAACCTTCAAAAGTCTCAACATAAGAAAGTTATGGTAAGTTGAGTAATGCCCCCAAATATGACTATGTCCTAATCCCTGGAACTTTATATGGCAAAGGGACTTTGCAGATGTTACCAAGTTGAGGATATTAAATTGGGAATATTTTCCTGGATTATCCCATGGGTTCAATGCAATCACAACAGTCCTTATAAGAGGGAGCCAGGAGGATGCAGAGGCAGAGGTGAAGACAGTGTGATAACAGAAGCAGAGATTGGAGTGATGCACTTGGAAGATGCAGCCAAGGAATACAGGCAGCCACCCGAAGCTGAAAAAGTGAAGGAAACAGATTTTCCCCCCCAGAACCTCCAGCCCTGCCAGAACCTTGATTTGTGCCCATTGAAACTGATTTCAGGATGCTGAATTCCAGAATTGTAAGAGAATAAGTTCATGTTGTTTAAGTCACTCAGTTTGCGGTAATTCGTCCTAGAAGCAATAAGAAACTAACATGAAAAAGCAAGAAATGACTGAGCAACTGGATCCTTTTTCTGTAAAGGACATTATTGAGACAGCTATAAAATTAGAATGATATCAAAAGGATACTGTTAATGTGAATTTCTTGATTTCGATGATTATATATTATGGTTATATGGGAGAACAGGCTTGTTTATAGGAAATAGACAAAGTTTTTGTGAGTAATGGAGCATCAGATTGGCAACATACATTGAAATGGTTCAGAAAAAGAGCATTAGACTTTTAAAATAAGGAAATAGAGTTTGGTGTTTTGCCAGATAAGTTCCCACAAAAAATAAGGCAAAACATTTGAGGATATATCCAAGGGAGCGATTAAAATGAATGATTATGCAAGTAAAAGTGGCTAAGAGAGTAAATGCAGATTGAACGGTGAGAGGCGTTGGTAAGGGGAATGGCAGAGTGGAAAACCAATGTAGAGAGGGAGCTAAAAAGACAGTGTGTGGCGGTCAGAGAGGCATGTTTGAAGCTGAGATGAGGTGGGGGGTGTTAGAGTTATCGGTAATGACATGGTCTGGAGTCAGCCATGGGAGTAATTACTAAATGAAATAAGGTAAAGCACAAATTGTAGAAGAACAATTAAAAGAACTGAAAGGGAAGAGCATGAAGAGAGTCTACATGGACACTGAAATAAGCAAAATTCAAAACCAGAGTGGTATCAGAGACAGTGACCATAAAACTAGCCAAATGTTCAACAATGAGAGGAAAAGACTTGGGAATCAATAGATGACTACAACAAGACAAAATAGGGTGATATAGTCTAATGATGTAAGATTGTAAATTGTGGTGGGTTTGGGGGGTATTTTTGGAGGAAAGAGAGGTACAGTGGTCTAAAAGTAGGAATCGAGGTTCTAGGTTCTTTCACTGATATTGATCCAGTCCAACAAAAGGGGATGAAGAGGAAACAGGCTCTACTAAAGATCATTAGAAGAGAACAGTGTCCTCTGTGAAAAGTCAAGTTTCACTTAGAGAAAGGATAAACAAACAAAGCAATATTCAGAGGAGAGTTTGGGTCTATAAAAATTTTTGATATTAAGAGATACCAGTTCCACAGGGCACTGCAGAACAATTTTAAACACTGATAAGGGATGAGAGTTGCCATCAGAAAAAGGGATGTCATGAGCTATATATGGAGGAGAGCCCGGGGTATAAGAATTGCCTTCACTGACATGGGCTTCTAGTGACTGATGCAAATGGGAATATGAATCTTGGTTTCAGGAGAAGTTAGCAAGTCAGAGAGTACTGACAAAGAGATCTATAGTCCTCATGTGCTAAATTAGATCTACAGATCCCCAGGTCTACAGATCTGACCTGTTTTATTCTCTATCTCCAGGTATTTGACTTTTTAAAATAAATGAGATCATGTAATATTTTTCTTTCTGTGTCTGGCTAATTTCACTTAGTACAATGTCTTCCAGGTCTATCCCTGTTGTGGCAAATTTTTAATTTTTAATTTAATTTTATTTTATTTTGAGACAGAGTCTCACTCTGTCACCCAGGCTGGAGTGCAGTGGCGTGATCTTGGCTCACTGCAACCTCCACCTCCCCGGTTCTAGTGATTCTCTTGCCTCACACTCCCCAGTGGCTGGGACTACAGGCGCCTGCCACCACGCCCAGCTAATTTTTGTATTTTTAGTAGAGGCAGGGTTTCACCATGTTGGCCAGGCTAGTCTCCAACTCCTGAGTGCAAATTATCCACCCACCTCTGCCTCCCAAAGTGCTGGGATTACAGGCGTGCACCCGGCCAAATTTTTTTATTTTTAAAGGCTGAATAAGAAGTCCATTGTATATATGCCAAAGTTTCTTTATCCTTTCATCCACTGACAGGCACCAAGGTTTTTTCTATATCTTAGCTATCGTGAATAATGCTGCAATGAACATGGAAGTGCAGATATCTTTACAAGGTGGTGATTTTATTTCCTTTGGGTATATACCCAGAAGAAGAATTTCTAGGTCAGATAGTAGTTCTATTTTGAGTTTCTTTAGAAACTCCCATACTGTCTTCCACAATGGTTGTAACAATCTACATTCCCACTAACAGTGTGTAAGGGTTTCCCTTCCTTCACAGCTTTGCCAACACTTATCTCTTGTCTGTTTTATATTAGCCATCTTAGCAGATGTGAGGTGGTATCTCAGTGTTTTTGATTTTGATTTCCATTTTCCTGATGATTAGTGATATTGAACACCTTTTAATGTACCTGTTGGCCATTTTAATGTTATCTTTGGAGAAATATTTATTCAAGTTATTTGCTCATATTTTAATAAGGTTATATGTTTTCTTGATATTGAGTTGTATGAGTTCTTCATAAATGTTGGATATTAACTTTTATCTGATAATATGGTTTGCAAATATTTCTTCTCCATCTATAGGCTGCCTTTCTATTTTGTGGATTGTTTCCTTTGCTGTGTATAAACTTTTAAGCTTGATGAAGTCCCATTTATTTCTTTTTACTTTTGAGTAGCCTGAATTTTGGTGTGATAACCAAAAAATATCATTGCCAATGCCAGTGTCCAGAAGCTTTTCCCCTGTGTTTTCTTCTAGGAGTTTTACAGTTTCAGGTCTTACATTTAGGTATTTTATTCATTTTGATTTTATCTTCATGTATAGCATAAGATAAGGGTCCAATTTCATTTTTTTCATGTGGAAATAGTTTTTCCAGCATCATTTTTTGAAGAGACTGTACTTTCCCCATTGTGTCTTCTTGGTGCTCTTGTCAAAAATTAGTTGATCATACATGTTTGGAGTCATTTCCGAGCTCTATATTCTGTTCCGCTGGTCTAGCTCTATGCTTTTATGCCAGTACCATACTGTTTTGATTACTATAGCTTTGTAATATAATTTTAAATGAGGAAGTATGATGCTTCCAGCTTTTTTTCCCTCAGAATTGCTTTGGCTATTTGGAGTCTTTTGTGATTCCATATAAACTTTAGAATTGCTTTTTCTATATCTGTGAAGAATGCCACTAGAGTTTTGATAGTGATTACATTGAATCTACACATTGCTTTAGGTACTATGGATATTTTAACAATATTGATTCTTCTAATCCATGAGCACAAAATACTTCTCCATTTATGTGTGTCCACTTTTTAAATCAACATTCTATAGTTTTCAGTGTACATGTCCTAAGTATATTTTTATGCTATAGTAAATAAGATTTTTTTGTTTCATTTTCAACTAGGTCATTATTTGCCTATAGAAATCCTATGGACTTTTGTATGTTGATTTTATATTCTGTAACTTTACTTAATTCATTTATTAGATCTAACCATCTTTAGGTGGAGTCTTGGAGTTTTTTACATATAGGATCATGCCATCTGCAAATAGAGATAACTTTATTTCTTCCTTTCTGAGTTTGATAACTTTTGCTTTTTTTTTAATCTGATTGCTCTTGTTAATACTAGTCCTAAATAATAAGTTCAGTACTATGTAGAATACAAGTGGCAAAAGTGGTTATCCTTGTTTTGTATCTTAGAGGAAAAGCTTCCAGATTCTCCCCATTGTTTAAGACATTAGCTGTGGGTTTTTCACAAATGGACTTTATTATGCTGAAGAACATTCCTTCTATACCTAAACTGTTAAGAGTTTTTATCAAGAAAGAATATTAAAATTTATCAAATGATTTTTCTTTTTCAATTGATATCATCATTTCTTTTTCAGTCTGCTAATGTGATATATCACACTGACTGATTTGCATATATTAAACCAACCTTGCATAGCAAGGATAAATCACACTTGATGATACATAGTGTTCTTGATATGTTGTTGAATTCCATTTTCCAATATTTTATTGAAGATTTTTGCATTAATATTCATCAGAGATATTGAACTGTAGTTTTCTTTTCTTGGAGTGTCTTTGTCTGGCTTCAGTATCAAGGTGATATTGGCCTTGTAAAATGTATTAGGAAATATTCTCTCCACTCTATTTTTTGGAAGACTTTAAGAAGTGTTGATATTAACTCTTTGAAAGTTTGGTAGAATTCAACTATAAAAGCATCAGGTCCTAGGCTTTTCTCTGATGGGAGGTTTTTAATTACTACTTTAATTTCTTTGTTATTGGTCTGTTTAGGTTTTCTATTTCTTCCTGATTCCACCTTGTAGGTTGTATTTTTCTAAAAATTTATGCATTCTTTAGGTTGTCAGATTGGTTGGCATTAAATTGTTCATAATAGTCCCTTATGGTCCTTTTCGTTTCTTAGTCATCTGTTGTCATTTCTCCACTTCTGATTTTTTGATACAATAGTTGTTTTTTGATACAATAGTTGTTTCCTTTGGGTTGGCCTAATAGTGCTCTGAGTTTGGCAGATCTCTCTCACTATCCCTAATGATATATTTTTTTTGTCTGCAACACCTGTGGCCTTAATATGGAGATGGTTATTAAAGGATTATTACTTAGTTCTAATGAACTGTATTTCTCAAGAGAGATTGAATAACTATTAGGAGATGATAGATATGTGATGCTCACAAGTACTCAATTCCTGATAATGAACTCTAAAATACCATAAAAGTTTTATGTGAAACTCTAGAAATAAATACATTTACAATTAACGCTCACCATGCTATCATGTTCATTTTGGACAGAGCTCCTAGTTTCAAAAAATCTCATTGTCATTTCCTACAACTCCAGACCATCAAAAAGTCTTCTGAGCATTATACTATAAGTTTTATTGATTTTTATTTGTTATAATAAATATGACTTTGTATATTAATATGCTCCTAAAATTATTTATATAGTATGCTTTGCCTTGAGCAAGAGAAAGTTTCTTATTTTGTATCCCAGACCATTGGAAAAGAGGAAACCAAGACAGTGATACACAATATATATTTAGAAATTGCCTATCTCTTACTTAAAGGAAATAATGACAAGTTTTAAAGGTGGCAGGGACACTGCCCTTCTTAGCATTTTTTGGATATATCTTATTATTAGTAAATAAAAGCAAAAAAAAAAAAAAGTAGCTGTGCTAGAACACAAGCAAATATTTGCTTTAAAAACACAAAACTAACACAAAAAATAGATTTTATAACCTTAGGTACATGCATATCTGGTTTTGTTTTAAAATTTGGTAGGACTATTGTTGTAGTTACAGAATGCAGAAATAACTCAATGAAACTGCATAGGAAACCCTTATTCAACACTTTGCTTTTCTCTCCCCTTTCTTTGAGTAAATCTGACATTATAAGCATAACTGGTTCTCTGTGGACCTCTTAAATAATTTAAAGATGCTGAGCTTCATATTCTACAGCCCAAAGATGCTGACATTATTTTAAATTAGGTTTTAACACTTAAAACGTATTGAAGTACATTTGGGGGAGATGAAGATTTGCTACCTGTGCTCTTTTTCTGTAATAACAGCGTTCAGCAGACAGAGTTGGAATAAAATAATATCTCCATGGTTTGTTTTTAAATCTTTATCTCCAGTCAAATGACATGAGCTATGATAACACATATATGACAACTTGGTAATTTCAGAATAAATTCTGAATGCAAAGAGACTTGTTAATATCAAGTGAAAATAGAAATTCTTAAATATTTTCTAAAAAGAGCAACAGATTGCTCTTATGATGTGCCTCCCTGTTCAACAGATTTGGGTATTACAACAACTCAAGGGATGTTTGTGGCACTCTAAGCTACATGTAAGAGATTTTTGAAATGCTGAGATGTGGCCATTACTTAACTCTGTGTGACCAATATTAACAGAGTTCAGCTCTACTTGAATAATATGAAAGTTAAGAGATATACTCTTCTTTGTCGGCACCTTCATCTCTTTCTGCATGTTAGGCAGAAAGTCAGTTTCACCCCATTTCCGCATATAACTGCCACATGTGGTTTTTAAGTCCCTAGGTTGAATGTATCTGGGTCAGAGGCAAAGCTCAAAGTTGAACTAGGGCTTAGTACACTGCTTGGCCTCAATCAGAATTTTCTTTTTGTGATCAGGCATGTTCCCAGTTGCCATGCAATGTGAGTTGGCAAGGGAGAAGGGGAGCAAAAAAAAAAAAAGAAAAGAAAATCCAGAATTGGGCTCCTTGCCAAGTTTTCATAGAGTAAAAAATTGGAGCCCTTGAGAGAAGCAAATGTTTGGAACTGCTAACCCTTCTGCCCTATCACATTCCAAGTCAGTCAGATGGTCATAGCCATCTCTGCCAGAATGCGCCATGTTATTGAGCACAAAGACAGGTTTCTAGCCTCCCAGGATATGGTACCATGTGCTGGGGATTCATGAGTTTATATGAAAGATTCTTTTTCACTTGTACCTGATGCTTAGGTTTCTAAAACTTCCTTTTGCCTTTTTCTTGTCCTGTTTCCCTTCTAGATTTCATTTTCCACTGGAATCCTACATTCTGTACTCTCCTTATTCTGGTAATTAATTTTCCTTGCATGAGTAAAATTCATGGTCACTAATCATAGTTTCATATCCAAGGTGCAAAATTGTTCAAGTGTAGAAAAGAGGGACATTCCTCTCAACAGGAGGAAAAAAATATAGAAAAATATGTCAGATATGCTCAATTCCAGTGTTTTCACCTTGGTGGATGCAGCTGGCAATCATTTTGGAAAAAAATCCAAGTCAGCCAGGAGTGGTGGAAGAACACTGAATTAAGATTTTTTTTATTTAAGTGAAATTAGCATGTCAAAGAGATACACTGTCATGTTTACTACAGCATTATTCACAATAGCCAAGATATAGACTCAGACTAAGTGTCCATCAATGGATGAATGCATTTTTAAAAGTGGTATATACATACAGTGGAATACTATTCAGCCTTAAAAAAAAGAAATTATTTTATTTGCAATAACATGGATAAACCTGGAGGAAACTATGTTGTGAAATAAAGCAGGCACATAAAAACAACTACTACATGATCTCACATATATGTAGCATCTAATAAAGTAGAATTCATAAAAGCAGAGAGTAGAATGGTGATTACCAGTGACTAAGGAGAGGGGTGACCTTTGAGGAGATGTTGGTCAAAGGAAACAGAATTTCACTTAGGAGGAATAAGTTGAAGAGATCTATTGTACAATGTATAATTAATGAAAATGTATTGTATTCTTGAAAGTTGCTAAGAGGGTAGATTTCAAGTATTAACACCACCAAAAACATATAAGGTAATTCATGTGTTGATTAGCCACATTTAGCCATTTCACAAAGTATGCGTATCTCAAAAACACTATGTTTAGAAGAGCTGGTACCATACCTACTGAAACTATTCCAAAAAATTGAAAAGGAGGGACTCCTCCCTAACTCATTCTATGAAGCCAGCATCATTTTGATACCAAAACCTTGCAGAGATACAACAAAAAAGGAAAACTTCAGGTCAATGTCCTCAATGAACATTGATTTGAAAAACCCTCAACAAAATACTAGCAAACTGAATTCAGCAGCACAGCAAAAAGCTTATCTGTCATGATCAAGTAGCCTTCATCCCCAGCAATTACAACAAAAGCAAAAATTGAGAAATAGGATCTAATTAAACTAAAGAGTTTCTGCACAGCAGAAGAAGTATCAAGAGAGTAAACAACCAACCTACAGAATGGGGCAAAATATTTGCAAACCATTCATCTGACAAAAGTCTAATATCTAGCATTTATAAGGAACTTAAACAATTTTACAGGAAAAAAAACAAACCCCATTAAAAAGTGGGCAAAGGACATGAACAGACACTTCTCAAAAGAAGACATACGTGCAGCCAACAATCATATGAAAAAAAAGTGCAACATCACTGATCATTGGAGAAATACACATCAAAACCACAATGGGATATCATCTCACACCAGTTAGAATGGCTATAATTAAAAGGTCAAAAAATAACAGATGCTGGCGAAGTTGTGGAGAAAAAGGAACATTATACACTGTTGATGGGTGTAAATTAGTTGAATCATTGTGGAAGACAGCTTGGTGATTTCTCAAAGACATAAAGATGGAAATATCATTTGACTCAGCAATCCCATATCTAGGCACATACCCAAAGGAATACAAGTCATTCTACCATTAAGACACATGCATGTATATGTCCATTCCAGCACTATTCACAATAGCAAAGACATGGAATCAACCTAAATGCTCATTAATGAGAGCTTGGATTTAAAAAAATGTGGTACATATACACCATGGAATACTAAATAGCCATAAAAAAGAATGTGATCATACCCTCGGCAGGAAAATGGATGGAGCTGGAGGCTATTATCCTCAGCAAATTAACACAGGAATGCAAAACTTAACACTGCATGTTCTCACTTAAAAGTGGAAGCTATATGATAAGAACACATGGACACATAGAGGGGAACAACACACACTGGGGCCTAGCAGAGGGTGGAAGGTTGGAGGAGGAAGAGGATCAGGAAAAATAACTAACAGGTTCTAGGCTTAATACCTGGGTGACAAAATAATCTGTTCAACAAACCCCCATGACACAAGTTTACCTACGTAACAAACCTGCACATGTACCCCTGAACTTAAAAGTTAAATGAAAAACATATATACGTTGTATGCAACAAATATACACAATTTTTGTTGGTCAATTTAAAACATTAATTAAAACTAAAGTATGTATCCTATAGGCAGACAAAAAAATGATTTTTCCGCTTGCTAGGGATATGAGTCTGGCAAAACCAGTTAATCTCTTCGAACCTCTGTTTCTTTATCTGCCATTGTGTATTTTAATGGCTGATGTGTTTATATTACAAGATTGTTAGAAAGATCAACTGAGATGGTCTATATAAGAAAGCATATTTTGGAAATATCAAACAATGTTCGAAGGTAAAGGACCATCATCTGCTGTTTCCAATGGGCTCTCAAAAGGTGTGGAATTGCCATTCCTTTCAGGGGCAACTATCCACAGACTAGTACATCAAGTGCTTGACTTAAAACCTTCAACAATAAGTAATTTTGGGTGTTTTAAAGATTATATTTTAATAATCTTATTGACATATAATTCACATTCCATTCATATCACCTACTTAGAATGTATAAGTGAATTTTTTTCACATATGCATAGAGTTGGGTAACCACCACCACAGTCTAATTTTAGAACATTTTTGTCCACTGTAAAGAAAAAAAATGTAATCACTCTTCTTTACCTCCCAACAAAACCCTACCATCCATCCCTAGGCAACCACTAATCAATTTTATGTCTTTATTCATTTGTCTCTTCTGGACATTTCATATAGACAGACGCATACGATATATGGCATTTTAAGACTGGATGCTTTCACTTAACATAATGCTTTCAAGGTTCCAAGGTATAGCTTGTATGAGTTCTTGATTCCTTTTTATGGCTCAATAATATTCCATTGCATGGATATACCACTTGTGCTTATCCATTCATCAGTTAATGGGCATTTGGGTTATTTCAGCATTTTGGTTATTATTGAATAATGTTGCTATGAATATTGATGTACAAGTTTTTGTGCGGACATATGCTTTTATATGTCTTAAGTATATACGTAGGTGCAGAGGTGCTGGGCCATGTAGTAGCTTTATATTTAAGGTTTTCAGGAACTTCCAGACTGTTTTCCAATCAGCTACAACATTTTAAATTCCCACCAAAAAAAAATGAGCATTCTGGTTTTTACACATCCTCTGCAACACTTGTCATTACCTGGTTTTTTTATCATAGCCAACCTAGTAGGTGTAAACTAGTGTCATCAGGATTTTGATTTGTATTTTCCTAGTGATGTTTGGCACCTTTTTATTTGTTTATTGGCAATTCGTATATCTTCTTTGGAGAAATGTCTATTCAGATTCTTCAGTCAATTGTTAATTGAGTTATTTGTCATTTTAAAAAATTTTGTTGTAAGGGTTTTTTATATATTTTGGATAAAGTCCCTTATCAGATATATTGTTTGTAAATATCATCTCCTATTTCATGGATTGCTCTTTTACTTTCTTCATAATATTCGTAGCAAAAACATTCGTTAATTTTGATGTAGTTCAAATTATTTTTTCTTTTGTTTCTTGTGCTTTCGGAGTTGAATCTAAGAAACCATTACCTAATTCAAGATCAAGAAGATTTACTCTTGGGTTTTCTTCTAAGAATTTTATAGTTCTAGCCTTTACATTTAGATCTGCAATACATTTTGAGTTAATTTGTGTTTAAGATTTGAGATAGGCATCCAGTTTCATAATTTTGCATGTGGATATCCAATTCTTCCTATTTGTTGAAAAAAATTTTTTCTATTTTATTACTATTGATTCCTTGAATTGTCTTGGCACCCTTGTAAAAAATCAATTGACCATTAACTTATGGATTTATTTCTAGACTTTCAATTCTACTATATAAATCTATATGTACATTTTTATGCCAGTACCACACTGTCTTGATTACTGTAGCTTTGTAGTAAGTTTTGAAATTGGAACTGTAAGTCCTCTAACTTTGTTTTCCTGTTTTAAAATTGTTTGAACTATTCTGGCTTCTTTGAATTTCTATGTGAATTTTAGGATCAGCTTGTCAATTTCTGCAAGAAAACCAGCTGGGATATTTTTAGAATTTGCATTTATCTGTAGATTAATTTGGAGATACTCCCATCTTAACAATACTAAATCTTCCAATTCCTGAATGAAATACCAGTTTATTTAGATCTTTAATTATTTCAACAATGTTTTACAGTTTTTAGTGTACAACTCTTGCCCTTTTTTGTTAAATTTATACCCAAGTATTTTATTCTTTTAATGCTATTGTAAGTGGAATTGTTTGCTCAATTTCATTTTTGGAGTTTTCACTGATAGTATACAGAAGTTCAATTGATTTTTGTATGTTCATCTTGCATCCTAAACCTGAATGAACGCCTTTATTAGTTCTAACAGTTTTAATAGATTCCTTTGGATTTTCTATACATAAGATCATGTCATCTACAAATAGAGATAGAATTATTTCTTCCTTTCCAATCTAGATGTTTTTTATTTCTTTGCTTCCGTAATTGCCCTGGCTAGAACCTTCAACAACAGGTGTTTAATATATATCAGAGGTTATATAGCTTCGATTGGCTACTTTTGGAAAAGAAAATAGGCTGAAAGAAAGAACAGTAATAACAAATACATAGTAATAAGTATACTAATTTATTTTTGCATCCATTTCATTGTTATGATGGTTTCAATGGATTACAGATTTCAGTTGTCTCATTGTTAATTTGTATTCATTTAAAATACGAAATCTTCCTGTAATTTATTTGTATGGTTTCTTGTTGTTTTCGTGAGTTAATGGGTTTCTTATTTGCACCTGACTTAATTTCCATATAGATTTTGGGGGACCTAATAAGCTAACTGGAGAAGAGAGAGAAGCAATGCTGCAGTCTCTATCTGACTTTCAGTTTGTTTGGGTTGCCAAAACTGTCCAGGGCCACTCTTGTTTCATAGCTGGTTTAATTAAATGGTACACCAAAATCTGATGCCTGGAAAAAATAAGTGTATTTTTAACATAGAAACTGAATGAAGAAAACTAGATCCCAATTAATTTCACGAGTTTATAGAAATACTAATAAGCAGAAAAATATTTAATCTAGTTTACTTACCTGAGTGATCACAATAAGTACAAATTGAAAATGCCATGTTTTCATCATTAATTAATATTTTGTAACATATTTCATGTTGTGGGTTTTCACTTGGCTTTCGCTAGTTCAGCTCTGTGGATAAATCACTGTTTATAGCTGCATATTTTACTCAAAGAAGCCCTACAATTTGTCTTAATTGTGAACTCAGTTTATTTGCAGATAACTGATCAAATACCTCTAGAGTAAGGCTCTCCATTCACTTTTATTTTCTTTAATAAATGTATATTTAAAATAGAAATATATGATCATTGTAATAAGTTAGATAAAATCTTTCTTTAATAAATGTATATTTAGAATAGAAATATATGATCATTGTAATAAATTAGATAAAATCAACATTAAGGAATAAAATTATTCTCATCCACCTCTCCCTTCCAATTACTGACCTCCTTCTCCTGCCCCTGTGACAAGTAATTTCTGACAGCAGCCCAGTATGTAACCTTCTACAGTCATATAAACTCTTACCAACGTATATGCACATACAGCAGTCTTTGTTTACACATTTGGGTTTTTATAAACACAACTGGAATAATCTAATGCAAATTATTCAAATTTCATTTGTCTTTTAAGAGTATAATATGAACATTCTTCCAGTTCAAAACAGCTAGCTTTAACTCATTCTTTTCTTTCTTTTTTTTAGAAACACTTTTATATTTAACAGCAACCATTCCCCAATGATGAATGTTCAAGATGCTTCCAGTGTTTTAGCCACTTCAAATAATACTGCAAAAATCACCTTCAAAGAACACTGAAAAACCATTTTTATACATACATCTCTTTTGGATTCCTTTTTTCTAAATTGTTTTGTCATATATTTTGTCCATTATTTTGGTTTTTTTCCCCTCCAATTATTACTTTGCACTAATTATTTGTATAATGAAGATATTTACAATGTGTCTGTCATATACATTTCATTTTTCCTCAGTATATTTATTGGTTAGCTTTTGGCATTTTAAAATTACATCTTCATCCAGACAATTTTTAAAGATTGTTTACATATTCAAATGTATCTTCTCTTTTATGCTTTCTGTGTTTCTTGCTTAATATAAAAATATAGATAAATAGATGGATGGATAGAGGTAGATGGATGAATACACATTTATGCTGCTGAAGCACAGAATATTTTTGGAAGGTACTATGGATTGAATGTTTGTGTCTCCTTCTAATTCATGTGTTGATCCTCTCATCCCCAATATAATCATATTGGGAGGTAGGACCTTTGGGAAGTAATTAGGGTTAGATTAGGTCAAGAGGGTGAGGCCCTTATGATGGGATTAATAGCACACCAACATGGCACAGGTATACATATGTAACAAACCTGCACATTGTGCACATGTACCCTAAAACTTAAAGTATAACAATAATAATAATAAAGGAGAGATATAAAATTTCTCTCCCTTGGGATAAAACCAAGTAGAAGGCCCTCACCAGACACTGAACCTGCTGGCACCTTGATCTTGGACTTCTCAGCCTCCAACTGTGAGAAATAAATGTCTGTTTTCAACATATCACCTGGTCTGTGGTATTTTTTTATAGCAGCCCAAACTGAAATAGACCAAAAAACACACTGGAATTTGGAATCAGTGGTTGTTCTGAGGAGAGAAACTAGAAGGAAGCTAATTGTCCCTGTATGCCTCCTTTTGCCATGTGAATTCCTAGCATACTTAAATTGTGTTATATAATGGCAAAGGGCATAATCTCCGAAGCCAGAGTTCAAATCTCTGGCTCTGGTTCAAATCTCTGTTCTGATACTTACTAGCTATGGGACATTGATCAGCATCCGTTTATCTTCATATCTTTGTAAAATGGATTTAATAATAGTGTGAACATTAGAATGTTGTTATTAGTACTGAAATAAATATATGTAAAGCACTTAAAATATCAAGAGCCGTATTATAAGCACTATCATATTAGCTTTTTTTATCTCAATACATTTTTAAATGACTATTAAACTGAGAATAAAGACATAGCTAGATGTGAAAAATATGTTTTTAGTTGTGTTTTTATATATTAATTATATGGATTATGTGTAGGTGTATGAGAAATTCTAGAGCACAGTGAATTCTAACCAAACATAAGGCACCCAAAAAGAGGTATAACACTTATCAGAAAAACAACAGAGCTAGCAAGACACACAACAAACAACAACACAAATTTTAGAGGCAGGTTCATAACTGTGCATTTAAACATAAAAAATCTCCAAGATATATTGTTTTAATGAAAAGAAAGATGTTGAAAAGTGTGTATAATGTGCTACAATTTGTATAAAATATGTATTCTTTTGTTTATTGTCTATAGAAATTGCAAATATTTATTTTATGTCTTAACTTTATTTCTCTTAATGATAACTGTGAACCAAGAGAGTAGTTAATTTTCATATAGTGCAATTTATTAATATTTCCTTTTGTTATTAATGCTTTTGGTGTCCTGTTTGAGAAATCCTGCTTTAATCTTCAAATAATGAAGATCGTGTCTTGTATTATCTTCTAACAGGTATAGATTAGCTTTTCACATCCACTTGAAATTGATCCCTTTACGAATGGTGTGAGGCAGATGCCCAGTTAACATTTTCCCCTGAAGATACAAAATTTTCCTGATATCACTTATTAAAACATTTTTCTTGCTCCACTGCTCTGTAATATCAGGTTGTTATAATCAAGTGTCCATAATGTTTTTATATTTTGGGGCTCCCTATTCTGCTGCAAAGATTTATTTATCTATCCATATGCTAATACCACATTCTTAATTTTATATCATTATAGTAATTCTTAATTAATATTAGATAAAGGAAACCTCACACCCTACTCTTCTTTTAGAGATCTGCAATATTATTGCTATTTTGTATATCCAATAAATCATGAAATTAGTTTGTAAATTTACAAAAATAAAACTGTGAAGATTTCAATTGAGATTATAGTGACTATATACTTTAATTATGGGAACATCTTTATAAAACTGATGTATTTACTTAGCTGTTATTTGTCTCAATAAAACTTATAAATTTATCCTAAAACATCAGTGCTTATTTTTGCTATATTTGTTATCAGTAATTTTTTAAACTATTGTAAATTGTATCTTTTGAAATTGTATTGTCTAGTTTTTAATAATATACATAATATAATTGACTTACGTGTTTTTAGACATTCTAATAATTTGTCAATACATTTTATTTTTTTTACTTACACAATTATAGCATTTTGCTCAGTATATTTTCATTTTTTCCTTTTTTTCCACTCTGCAAATCCTTTATTTCTTTTTTATGTCTTACTAGACTAGTTATATTCAATGCTCAATAGAAGTTTTCTTGTGTGTTTTTGTTTTAATAGTGGATATCTTTTTCTCTGAAGAAAAGCTTTAAACACTGCACTATTAAGTTTAATCATTATTCTAACCTTACAGATATAACCTTTATCAGGTTAAGGCTTTATTTCCCTTTTATTATCAGTTCCCTAAGACTTTTAACAATGAATGTTGAGTTTTATCAAATGCTGTACAGCATAGACTAATGTGGTCATATTATTTTTTTTCTTGCAATCTGTTAATGGGGTGAACTACAATAACTAAGTTTCTAATGTTAAATTAACTTTGCTGTCTTGGAATAAATCCAACTAAGTGATGATAAATAGGGACAAATATGGAGATAAAGACTGTAAAGCAATAAAATTTCAACAATTTGGTTTAAAGATCTAATTGGCTTCTATTCCAGGAGCATGAATCAGGGCAGCATCTCATCTAAAAATTTAGATAAGGTACTCTGATGGGCATGACAGAGCAGTAGGTTTTTATAAGGTAGCTTGAGCAGAAATGAGGAAACAGCAGAATATAAAAAGTGAATTTGTTAACATCTAAGTACTTAAAGTTTATTTCCTTGTAAGGGTTAAAACAGAGTGAACTTCCTCATCATGCCAGCTAAAACCGGCTGATTTGGAAATTTGGCAATCAGGTCTATCCTGATTTCTTAGAAGGCTGGATAAACAACTTAGCTTCAGTTCGGAGACATGAAACTTTAGCATGAGTCACTCCATTTTGTTTTGGCCTATTGGGGCCTACTGCGCGAGCTCAGTTCAAATTATGGTGTCCCATAAATTTTACTTGAAAAGATAGAAAGTTATATAATCACTGGATTCAATTTGCTAATATTTTATTTAGGATTTTTATATCCATGTCAGTAAATAAAGTTGTCATGTAATATTTTTTTCACAATTTGTCTTATGATTTGGTAACCCAATTATGCTATCCTCCATACTATTAGTAGGAGAATATAACTTATTTTTGTTGTTGTTTGTTGGAAGAGTTTGTATAGCTGAGAATTTTTGTTTCATTTAATATCTATTTTAACTCTCTAGTGAAACCATGTGAGCCTAGGATTTTCGTTGTGGATTATGGAAAGGTTTTAAATTATTTTCTCAATTTCTTTAATGGTGACAGTTTTATTCAGTTTTTTAAAAATAGGCCAGACATGGTGGCTCAGGCCTGTAATCCTAGTGCCGTGGGAGACCAAGCAGGGAGGATCACTTAAGGCCAGCAGTTTCTGACCAGCCTGGGCAGCATAGCAAGACCCATGTGTGGTGGTGCATGCTTTTAGTCCCACCTACTCAGGAGGCTGGGGTGGGAGAATAGCTTGAGTTCAGTAGTTTGAGGCTGCAGTAAGCTGTGATCGCGCCACTGCACTCCAGTGTGGGTGACAGAGCAAGACCAGGCTCAAAAAAAATTTTTTTTCTTAGAAACATTTTGGGAATTTGCCCAGTTTATCTAGATTTTCAAAATATATATGTGATAAAGTTGTTTCTAAAATCTTCTTTTAATTTTTTACTGTCTCTAGTTTCTGTAGTGATAACACTTTTTCTTGACACTGGTTATTTATGTCTTGTTTCTTTTTTATTAATCTATCTTACCAGATTTTTTCAACATTTGAATCATTTTCACATTGTGTTTCTTTTACTGTATTTTTCTTTTTTCTTTAAGAAATTTATCTTATCTTTATTATACTCTTTTTTCCACTCTTGGGGCTTTATTCTGCTGTTTATTCTCTAATTTCCTAAAATAGATATTCAATTATTAAATTTCTGTCAGTTTTCCCTTTTACTATACATAGTTGAATATATGTTTTCCTTAGAAAATATTTCAGCTACATACCACCAATTTTGATATGTAGTATTTTCATCACCTATTACTTAAAAGTATTTTCCAATTAATCTATAATATCTTTCCTATTTCTGTGATTTTGAATAGATGTAAGTTAGTCCTTCTATTCTGAAAGTTTTGTATCTCTATTATATTTAGTCATTTCTTGGTATCCTGAAGGAATTGGTTCCAGAACCGCTGCCTCAAGAATACGAAAATCTGAGGATGCTCATCTCCTTTATATAAAATGACATACTATTTGCATATAACTTATGCATAGCTTCCCATATATTTTAACTCATCTCTAGAATATTTATAATACCTAATACAGTGTAAATGCTATATAAATAGTTTTTATACCATATTTTTTAGGGAACAAGAAGAAGAAAAGAAAAATCTGTAAATGTTCACTACAGATGCAACAGTACAATTCTTTTTTCAAAATATTTCATCCGCGGTTGCTGAAACCATGTGTGTGGAACCCACATGTATGACAAACCAATTACAAATATATTGTTAAATTTCTCTTTACTGTATGTCTTATGTTCTAATTTCTATTTTATTTATTCTCTCTTCTGTTGGGCTAGGCAGCGAGCTGCATATCATATCCATTGAATTTTAAGTTTCAGATATGATCATCTTCATTTCTAGAAGTTTTAAATTTTTATCAAAAAATCTGTCCCGTTTTATAGATTCCTGTTCTGTATAGATGCTTTCACATTTTTAGATCATTTCTTTAAACATATTAACCAATATTTTTATAATCTAGATTAGATAATTCTAATATCTGGAGTCTGAGATGGCCTATCAGTCTGTTTATGTTTTCACTGGTTCTTGTTCATGGAATGTGTTTCCCTAACATGTCTGGTTAACTTTATGAGCAGATTTATGCACTTAAAAATTATTTTAGAATGCTTATTCCCCCACCCTGCCCAAAAAGGAGCACAGACATTTGTTTCTTTCAGGAAACTGAAGCCAGGTTCATGGCTTGAGGTTGCCTAGACCACCATGGCTTATGTAGCAAACTTTCAAATTTGCAAAGAACCTATCTGTATTTCTGAGGGCTCTGCTCTGTTCCATTGATCTATATCTCTGTTTTGGTACCAGTACCATGCTGTTTTGGTTACTGTAGCCTTGTAGTATAGTTTGAAGTCAGGTAGTGTGATGCCTCCAGCTTTGTTCTTTTGGCTTAGGATTGCCTTGGCCATGCGGGCTCTTTTTTGGTTCCATATGAACTTTAAAGTAGTTTTTTCCAATTCTGTGAAGAAAGTCATTGGTAGCTTGATGGAGATGGCATTGAATCTGTAAATTACCTTGGGCAGCATGGCCATTTTCACGATATTGATTCTTCCTACCCATGAGCATGGAATGTTCTTCCATTTGTTTGTATCCTCTTTTATTTCCTTGAGCAGTGGTTTGTAGTTCTCCTTGAAGAGGTCCTTCACATCCCTTGTAAGTTGGATTCCTAGGTATTTTATTCTCTTTGAAGCAATTGTGAATGGGAGTTCACTCATGATTTGGCTCTCTGTTTGTCTGTTGTTGGTGTATAGGAATGCTTGTGATTTTTGCACATTGATTTTGTATCCTGAGACTTTGCTGAAGTTGCTTATCAGCTTAAGGAGATTTTGGGCTGAGACGATGGGGTTTTCTAGATATACAGTCATGTCATCTGCAAATAGGGACAATTTGACTTCCTCTTTTCCTAATTGAATACCCTTTATTTCCTTCTCCTGCCTAATTGCCCTGGCCAGAACTTCCAACACTATGTTGAATAGGAGTGGTGAGAGAGGGCATCCCTGTCCTGTGCCAGTTTTCAAAGGGAATGCTTCCAGTTTTTGCCCATTCAGTATGATATTGGCTGTGGGTTTGTCATAGATAGCTCTTATTATTTTGAAATATGTCCCATCAATACCTAATTTATTGAGAGTTTTTAGCATGAAAGGTTGTTGAATTTTGTCAAAGGCCTTTTCTGCATCTATTGAGATAATCATGTGGTTTTTGTCTTTGGCTCTGTTTATATGCTGGATTACACTTACTGATTTGCGTATATTGAACCAGCCTTGCATCCCAGGGATGAAGCCCACTTGATCATGCTCAGAAATAATGCCGCATATCTACAACTATCTGATCTTTGACAAACCTGAGAAAAACAAGCAATGGGGAAAGGATTCCCTATTTAATAAATGGTGCTGGGAAAACTGGCTAGCCATATGTAGAAAGCTGAAACTGGATCCCTTCCTTACACCTTACACAAAAATCAATTCAAGATGGATTAAAGACTTAAACGTTAGACCTAACACCATAAAAACCCTAGAAGAAAACCTAGGCATTACCATTCAGGACATAGGCATGGGCAAGGACTTCATGTCTAAAACACCAAAAGCAATGGCAACAAAAGACAAAATTGACAAATGGGATCTAATTAAACTAAAGAGCTTCTGCACAGCAAAAGAAACTACCATCAGAGTGAACAGGCAACCTACAAAATGGGAGAAAATTTTCACAACCTACTCATCTGACAAAGGGCTAATATCCAGAATCTACAATGAACTCAAACAAATTTACAAGAAAAAAACAAACAACCCCATCAAAAAGTGGGCGAAGGACATGAACAGACACTTCTCAAAAGAAGACATTTATGCAGCCAAAAAACACATGAAAAAATGTTCACCATCACTGGCCATCAGAGAAATGCAAATCAAAACCACAATGAGATACCATCTCACACCAGTTAGAATGACAATCATTCAAAAGTCAGGAAACAACAGGTGCTGGAGAGGATGTGGAGAAATAGGAACACTTTTACACTGTTGGTGGGACTGTAAACTAGTTCAACCATTGTGGAAGTCAGTGTGGCGATTCCTCAGGGATCTAGAACTAGAAATACCATTTGACCCAGCCATCCCATTACTGGGTATATACCCAAAGGACTATAAATCATGCTGCTATAAAGACACATGCACACGTATGTTTATTGCGGCATTATTCACAATAGCAAAGACTTGGAACCAACCCAAATGTCCAACAATGATAGACTGGATTAGGAAAATGTGGCACATATACACCATGGAATACTATGCAGCCATAAAAAAGGATGAGTTCATGTCCTTTGTAGGGACATGGATGAAATTGGAAATCATCATTCTCAGTAAACTATCACAAGAACAAAAAACCAAACACTGCATATTCTCACTCATAGGTGGGAACTGAACAATGAGATCACATGGACACAGGAAGGGGAACATCACACTCTGGGGACTGTTGTGGGGTGGGGGGAGGGGGGAGGGATAGCATTGGGAGATATACCTAATGCTAGATGACAAGTTAGTGGGTGCAGCATACCAGCATGGCACATGTATACATACGTAACTAACCTGCACAATGTGCACATGTACCCTAAAACTTAAAGTATAATAATAATAAAATAATAAAATTAAACAAAACAAAACAAAAAAAGAACCTATCTGTAGCCACAGATTCTCAGTGATGTTTTGTTGTACTTTTTCCTACCCACAACCTTTGTTCTGATCAGGACCAAGGTGATCTTTCCCACAACCCAGAGTTGACAGGAGAAAAAAAAAGACACATAGATTTTGGCATTCTCTTACCCTGAGTGTGTGTCCTTTTTTAACCACAGTGTAAAATGTAAAGACAGTCTTCAGAAAGACTCCCCACTGGACAGGCTCTGGTCCCTGGCTCCTATCCCCTTTAATACGGCTGGAAAATTCATTTAGGTAACAGCAACTTTTGTGCTTAGATATTTGCTTACCTCTCCAGCATTCAGGCTTTCAGGGTTCACACTTTCCTCCAGAATGTTTTTCTGGAAATTCATCAATTTCTTGCAATACTTTTAATGTTTTTAAGGTAATGTTTTAAGTATTTAATCTTTAAGTGTTTAATCTATAATATTATCATATCAGCTGGAAATTTTATCCAAATAACCAGTCTCACCATTATCTAAAATATCTTGTTCCTGACTTGAATAGCAATGATCCAGTGCTTTGAGGGTGAGCTTGATGCTGGATACACACACACACACACACACAGTCATTAAATGTCTACTCATTCATATTTTATTCAATGTTTTTATGAAGAATAAATATCAGGCTGGGCTTACACCTATAATCCCAGCACTTCGGGAGGCTGAGGTGGGCAGATCACTTGAGGTCAGGAATTCGAGACCAGCCTGGCCATAATGGTGAAACCCTGTCTCTACTAAAAACACAAAAATTAGCCAGGCATGGTAGTGCATGCCTGTAGTCCCAGCTACTCAGGAGGCTGAGGAAGGACAATCACTTGAACCTGGGAGACAGAGGTTACAGTGAGCCAAGATCATACCACTGCACTCCAGCCTGGGTGACAGAGTGAGACTCCATCTCAAAATAAATAAATAAATATCATATTAATTGAAATCTTTTCAGTGTTTATGAAAATAGCATAGAGTCCAACTTCTTTGATTTATTCTTCTGCTTAATCATAATAATGGATTTCATTTTACAGTCATGCATCACTTAATGATGACAATACGTTGTGACAAATTCATCCTTAAGTGACTTTGTCATCATGCAAATATCAAGAGTGTGTTTACACAAACCTAGATGATATGGCCTACTACACACCTAGGTGATAAGGTGTAGCTATTGCTTCTAGTCTACAAAGCTGTACATCATGTTACTGTACTGAATACTGCAAGCAATTGTAACATGATGGCAAGTATTTGTGCTTTTAAACATATCTAAACATGAAAAAGGTATAGTAAAAATATAATAGAAAAGACAAAAAATGGTACACCTGTATAGGGCACTGACCATAAATGGAGCTTACAGAACTGGAAGTTTCTCTGTGTGCCTCAGTAAGTGAGTGGTGAGCGAATGTGAAGGCTTAAGGCGTTACTGTTGTACTGTAGACTTTATAAAACACTGTACACCTAGGACACACTAAATTTATGTAAAAATCTTATTTTTCTTCAATAATAAATTAACTTTAGTTTACTGTAATTTTTTATCTTTAAAAGCTTTTTAATTTTTAAATGTTTTGACTCTTGTAATAATGTTTAGCTTAAAAACATAAAGACATTGTACAGCTGTATGAAACTATTTTCTTTATATCCTCATTCTACAAGCTTTTTATTATTCTTAAATTTTGGGGTTTTCTTTAACTTTTTAAACTGTTGTTTAAGAAAACTAAGACATGAACACACACATTAGCCTAGGCCTACACAGGGTTAGGATCATCAATATCACTGTCTTCTACCTCCACATCTTGTCCCAGGTCTTCAGGGGCAATAACATGTGTGGAGCTGTCATCTCCTACGATAACAAGGCCTTCTTCTGAAAAACTTCCTGAAGGATCTGCTTGTGGCCATTTTATAGTTAACTTTTCTTAATAAGTAGAAGCATATACTCAAAAATGACAATAAAAAGTATAATATACTAAATACTAGGCAATAGGAATTTTTCAGCTCGATTAGAATCTTATGGGATCACCATCATATATGTGGTCCATCACTGACCAAAACATAGTGATTGTATTTATCCACCTTTGAATCATTGCAATGAATCTCGTATGTTCATGTGCTAACATTTCATTTGCATTCCTGCGTTAACTTTCATAAGTGGGATTGGCCTGTAACTTTTATTATCCTGTTGCAGTTTTAAGATTGACCTCATAAACAGGTGTAAAAAGAAAAAACAAATATTTTCAGTCTTACTTATTCTCTACGTACTGGGAAACCTGAAATAACATTAGAGTTTTCTATTTGTTAATGATCTTCTAGAATTCACCTGTTTAACTCTGTGGTTCAATGCTTTTTTGGAAGAGGTGGCCCTTTGAAAACTCTATCATTTTGTTCAATGTTAGTGTGATTTGCTTTGATTTTGTGTTTCAAGATTAGCTTGGGTAAATTAACCTATCATCATCATTTTCAGTTTCTTTTATCATTAATTTTGTTGTTTTTTTAAAAAACAATTTGCATAGAACCAAAATGTTATCTTATCCCATGTTCATCATTTCTTAAAACTTTTTACTATCTTTATGCCATAAAGCAGTCATGAGTATCACCTGCATCGGGTAAGTATTTGTCTGTGATTTTGAGAAAGAACTTCTCCCTTGTCAAGGCCACCCAGGCTTAGAAAATCTGGCACCTTTCCTGACTGCTGACCAGGTACAAGAAATTGGTACAAAACAGCCTTATCCCATTCCCCAGTGTGTAGGGAGTGGTAAGCAGAGAGCACATCAGTTTCTCAGGGGCATCATCCCTTAGCCAAATCTAACCTGAGGCCTGCCTGAAATCTACTTTCGAAGTCCTCTTTAATAATTTTAACCTTGAATTCTGCTTTGTCTGAATTCTTTCCTTCTTTCCTTTCTTGCTTCCTTTTTACTTTTGCATTTGCCTGTTACAAATTTATCAGTCTTTAAATATTTTGACTTTTCTTTGCCATGTTATTTTTACATCTTTCTTAAAAACAATGAAATATTAAATTTCTTTGTTTTCTACGCTTCTGATTATTTGATATAGAAATATATTCAAATTTGTTGAGATAATTAACATGCCAGTTATTTAATGTATCTTATTTACTATTTTTTAAATTTATGTACTATTTAACACATTTTATTGTTATTTTCTTTTCTTTACCTGTTATTAATTTTGCCAGCTTAGTCAACTTTCTCTTCCATTTCCTCTCCATCCTTTTTCTTCCTGTTAATTTACAATACTTCTATGCATTTTGATTTTACTAACAGCCATAATTAAGCCTGTATTACTCCATTATTTTATCAAAATTAAATAATGACTATAGTCTTTCTCTAATATCTTTCGCATACACTTCCTATCTCTCATCATTTTACTGAGCCTAAGCCCTTTACAATCTAGATTTCCCATTAGCAGAGCAGTCTGATATCGCAAGAAAAGACACCCCCTCACTTTCCAAGACATGTAAATGCTATAGAATAAAATAACTAATTCTAAAAAATACCTAGAAAATGTTGATGTAAAGGAAGGTACCAGAAATGAAGCAAAAACACAAAATCAGATTCTTTTGTTTGGCAAAACCCAGGAGCTCATGACAATATAGAAACCGCTGGTAGCTCCTGGGGGCTAGGGTTTCCACACCCAGCTGTGGAGGCACAGCCAGGACACAGGATCCTTGTGCATGAGAAGCTGCAATCACAGAGCCAGGCCTGCCTCTGAAATAGGCAATTGAAAACTCTACCTACCTGCTTGAAGAAGGGAGCTGAATGCTTCTTTCTCCTCAGGGACATGAATAAAAATAGATTCATCTGTTAGAAATTAGAAACCCAAGAAGATCCCTGTACTGCAGAGCTTCACAAACTGGCTACAGACGACCTGGGGATCTCCCTAGAACTAAGGCCTTGATTCAGTCTAGCTCAAGATTCTGGATTTCCTCAGGGTCCCCGCACTTGAGGTAGCAAGTGTGGGTCTGAGTGAACACTACTCTTAGGAAATGGGGACTCCAAGCCAAGGAACTATGATCAAAGCTAACCTGCAACTGGTGAAACCTTCAGAAGCCAATGTCATGTCATCCCATAGGGGAGCAGTTTCCAACCTTTTTGACACCAGGGAATGATTTCATGGAAGACAATTTTTCCAGGGATGAAAGGAGGGGAATGGCTTCAGGATGAAACTGTTCCACCCCAGATCAACTGGCATTAGATTATATAAGGAGCTCACAACCTAGATCCCTCACATGCACAGTTCACAACAGTGTTCAGGTGCTCCTATGAGAATCTAATGCCGCTGCTGATCTGGCAGGAGGTGGAGCTCAGGCCGTAATGCTGGCTCACCTGCGCTCACCTCCTGCTATGCGGCCCAGTTCCTAACAGTCCATAGATACAGCCCAGGGGTTGGGAGCCTCTGCTGTAGGCCACAAAGGATATCCATTGCAAACGTCTTCCTCCTCCAAGTTGGATTCAGAGACAAAAATAACAAATCACAGTAAGAAACCAGTCAGCCAGCCTAACAAATGAAGAATGGATATTTCAAGAACTTGGATAACAGAACAAACTGAAGGATATTTTATAAAAAGTATTTTAAAATTTAGAGAACTGAAGGAAGAAATAGAAATTTAAGGCAAGTAAAAAGATATGTCATAAAAAATAACAAGGTACACTTTGGGAGGCCGAGGCGGGCAGATCACCTGAGGTCGGGAGTTCGAGACCAGCCTGACCAACATGGAGAAACTCCATCTCTACTAAAAATACAAAATTAGCCGGGCGTGGTGGCGGGTGCCTGTAATCCCAGCTACTTGGGAGGCTGAGGCAGGAGAATCGCTTGAACCTGGGAGGTGGAGGTTGCAATGAGCTGAGATCATGCCATTGCACTCCAGCCTGGGCAATAAGAGCAAAACTCTGTCTAAAAAAAATAAAATAAAATAAAATAAAAATAAAAATAAAAACAACAAAACAAATAAAAAACAAGGTGTTTTGAAAAAAACCAAGAACAAGTTTCAGTAATGTCCAATGTAGTCATTGAGAATATGCAGGCTTCATCTGTGGACTTTACATATTGATTCAAGCAAATCAAATATAAAATTACATTAATGAAATAATCAAGGAATTTTAACAGACTGATTAAGGACTTGTTCATTTTAAGTATGAGAATGGTATTGTGCATGTCCTTTTTTAAGAGAGGTCTTAGAAAATTCAAAATATATTTTGAAATATTTCCAAACAAAAATTCTATGATTCTTGGGTTTGCTTTAAAATACCCTAGTGAGGGGGAAAAAGGAGGAATCCCACCCAAGGTCTTGAATCCAAGCTGAATTGTGTTTAGAAAGGAACCTGGAACAGAGGTCATGAAAGACAGAGTGGAAGTGGGAAGGATGGATGTTCGTTTCTCTGGTTGGCAGTTAGTACTGCACAAAGGTGAAAGGGGGGCTGTGTAGATGAGAAAAACATGGAAACTTCATCAGAAAAGTAAATCCAGCACGGCAAGGAGTTAAGTCAATGAATTCAATAGGAAATATTGTCTGTAACTGATGACAGCATGGCACAAGGACAGCATGGTGACAAATTATGTTAAGACCAAGGCATGGGTACTAATAAACAAACCCGGAATCTTGTTTCCCCAAGTATTTTTCTCTGTGAAATAGCATGGGCAGGTAATACGTATAGTGAAGAATGTGTTTTGTGAATGTACGTCACAAGATATAGTTGTCATTATTACAGTGAAAAGGCCTGGTAAGTCTTCAAAGAAGTCAGCTAATGGATATGTAAGTCCCCACATGCCACAGAGTCTTCTGTTCCACCATTTCGGCCAGGCCAACTGGTGAACCAAAGAAAGCTTGTAAGTCAATAAGCATACTTTTGGCTGGAAGTGACAGAATAGAAAACAAAACAAAACAATGATTAGTAGCTTGAATAATGAGTGCAATGATTATTTTATATAACAAAGTATAAGGTAGGTTGCTGCAGGTTAGCCCGGCAGCATGACGCCACTAGGAATCTAGTGGTTTTCATTGTCTATGCTGCCATCCTCAGCAAATGCGTTTTACCCTCCATGTTCTCCTCTCATGGTCATCAAACAGCTACTGCCATTCCAAGCAACACATCCTCACTTCACAATATCAAAAAAATGAGAAAGTAGGAGAGGAATCAATTCTTCTCACGTCTCTCCCTTTTCATCAGAGAGAAAAATATTTCCCAGAAGCCCCTCAGACTACCCAGTAAGTATCTCAGATGGCTCTACAGAAGTCCTTATACATCCATCTCTGTACAAGTCACTGGCAAAAGGGACTAGGATTAATTTGCTTGGCCCAGATCACACATTTCTCTTTTTTTTTTTTTAACTTTAAGTTCCGGGATACAAGTGCAGAATGTATAGGTTTGTTACATAGGCATACATGTGGCATGGTGGTTTGCTGCACCTATCATCTAGCTTTTAAGCCCTGCATGCATTAGCTACTTGTCCTAATGCTCGCCCCTCCCCTTGCCTCCCACCCTTAGACTGGCCCCAGTGTGTGTTGTTCTCCTCCCCGTGTCCATGTCTGGGAACACATTTCTAATTCCAAGATCCCTTGACATAATTGGCATTCTGTTCAACAAGAGGGGCATAGCTATTGGTTAGGAAACCAACATTGTCTGCCCCTATCTGATACTCATTTAAACATTTGCAATTTCTAATTTTCTCTGACAAGTCCATTTACCTGTCTAGGGTGAGGGTGAGATTGTTCTAGGGTGACAATGAGAATAAAACCTTGGGTCTCTGTGATAGGGACATTTCTATCTGAGCCCCAATGTGCCTTAAACCACCTCTTAAGTGAGATTTGCACATAATCGACTTATAGCGTATAAATGAAAAGAATGTCTCCAGGTGGATAGTGTCAGAAAAAATATTTTAAAAAAAGAAATAAAAAAGAATGTGCAAATTTTATATTGGTGAAGTGACACAGACAAAATAGGAAATATATTATTTTAGAACATTTTTGGGACAAATGCCAAAGTATAAATGTGATACTGCTTAAATTTTGAAGAATTTTGTAATATATACATATTATACAACTTCTTTTATCCTTCCAATGAGATAAATTTAAAAAAATGAATTTAGTAGAAGTATTTCAAGTTTTGACAGCAACCCGATAACTGTCCAAATTATAATGCTTGAGAGTTAATCTAACAAGAAATGAAATTCTGGTGACAAATCATGAGCATAATAAAGATAATCACTTTATTAAAGTAATGTGTCACAGTAGGTTTCCTGTCTTCTGCTCTCCACATGTAATCACAGGAAAGCGTAATATTCAGAAACTTTACAAAGTTGATTTAACAAGTCAAAGTTAGAGAAGTTTCAGTGCTTTTTTTCGTTTTTGTTTGTTTTTCAGAGAAAACTCATTTGAGAACTAGAATCTACTATTAAGAAAAAACAAAATGCTTTAAGCTAACTGCAGTGTCTACCTCCTTAAGAGGGGTGTGTGTGTGTGTGTGTGTGTGTGTGTGTGTGTGTGTGTGTGTGTTTTCATTTTGCTCTGATCTGAGTCAGATGTTTCTTCTCAAAAGTCATGGAGCCTCAAAGGTAGAACAAGATTAAAATATCCTCAACATTGTCTATCCACTGCTTCAATAAAAATGCCAGAGAGTCCCCACTCCTTCTCAATTTGATAATCCTTATCCACAGAGAGATGATTAAGAACAATCATACAGTAAATGATTAAGAACAACCACTTGTTCTATCCCTCATGAACGCTGTATGAATAAATAAAGGTAAAAATCCAAATTCCAGGCCTGACTTTGCTATATTGTCTTTTTTGAGTCTCATCACAAATTTAGAGTTGGCTAAATTTTCTTGCTTCGTTGAGGTATGTGATAGTTCAAGAGTACTGCCATCTTAAGGAGATTCCACCATCTTAAAGTATCAAGCTTTTATTTCTCAGAACTGTCTGTTGCTACCTGACTAAACTGCAAATGTCAGCCCCACCCACATCTTCAACAGAACATAATGACTCTAATCGCAACACAGCTAACATAGCTTATCCAAGTCTAGCCAGCACTTTCCCAACCCCTCCCTGATAGGAACCCCTCTTAGAGCACACTTCCCCCACTGGGCCTTTTTAAAAAGCCTTATGCTGTAAGAGAAGTTTGCTCCTGACCCTGATGGCCAGAAGCCCTTCTCAGGTTTACTCTCAATAAACCTGTCTTAACTGTTGAACCCCCTACTCGTCTCTCCCTTCCTTTCATCACTCTACCCTAACAGTATGTAATAAAGAAATGTAGGGGAAAATAGAACAGGTGGCCATTGTTTCTAAAGCTAGAATACGTGTAGGCTGTAGATGGAGTTCAAGCAGAGGATGTCACTTGGAATGTGAGCTACGATTTGGGGAAAACTACAGGGGTACCTATGCATATGGCAAGTAGTCAAGAGCATGTGTGGAAACACTACAGGGCATCCACAATTCCACTTTGTCAAGGTTTCATGGGTTCAGCTCTATAAAAATATAAGATGAGGAACAATGCTTTTTTTGTTTTTCTGAAAGACTCAAATTTGGCTGTTTTCAATTATCTCTGTAGTCAAACAACAATTAATTATAAATTCATTCTGAATGTATTCCCATGTGAGCACATCCATCATTTAGAAACAGAAAGCTCCCTGACCATGCACAAATATTTGGAGAAATGGAAGAATGCCTTAGATGTAAAGGGTACTTTATAGTTTTGGAAAGAGTTAAAAAATAAAAAAAAAATAGGAGTTTCATATCCATCATCTTTGATCTTCACAACAGTCTTTTGTAAAACAGGAAAGTGGGATTGAGAATGATTCATTGGCTTTTTTCCAAGGTCATAAACTAAGAAGTTTTCAAGTCAGGGACTAGACCTTCAGGCTACTCTTTAGTTTAAAGGCCTTTCAACCTCAGGTTCAATGCACTTTCTATTTTACATAACTCTGTGAGGTTGATATTTTAACATACGCATTTTGGAAAAGTGCACAGATTAAACATACAGATCTAGAAAAATGGCACCATGTGTTTTCTAAGTTGAATTGCCCAACTCCCAGGTAAGGGGGCCAAGTGGTCAAGAGCCCTTCTGTCTCTCTCTTTACCTCTCTGTAATTTAATCTCTTCTCTCCCTTTTTGCTGTTAATTTTTTAAACAAAAACATTAACATTTAACTGAATTTCTGCATGTGCATATTAATATTCAGGAAGACAATGACCTCTGTTCACTTTAAAGTGGTGAGTGTTATCATTTGTTTTGTTTGGAATGTCCATACCTTACTTCATCTCATCAGAGTGAGACCCGGACTAAAGTCCTATATCTTTGGAGACTTTTGTATTTTAAAAAAATAAACAAAGAAAAGCTGTAATTAAAAGTTTATGTTTTCATTAAAGAAATACTCAAAGAAGTAAACATTCAAAACTCCAAAAGAGGTAACAATCAGGAATTCTTAAATGATGTTGATGTTAACACTCTATTTTAGGCATAAACTGGTTGCTAAATGGTAAAACATTTAGAAAAGTTACAATCCCACTTTGGTCTTCTTATTTCACTTTTTTTTCAAGGATTAGGTTCATTAAGTGTTTCATAAACTGTTACAGATTTTGTGCTCAAACAAAAGAGAGTTTCAATGAAAAATGCTTTAAAATCATGCAAATTTCCTTCATTTCATATTTATAAACCTTACACCTAACAGAGCCTATTTCACAGTGTCAGGGACACATCCCAAGTGTGTCTAGTAAAAAAAAAGGAAATGACAGATTTGCCAAGCCTTCAAATGGAAATTTTAACATAAAATAAAGACACATCTTGAAATTATTTAGGAAGGCAAATTAGTCCTTCAAAAGGCACAAGCAAATATTGGGGTATCTTCTCCGTGAGTAGAGAGCACACCTTATCTTGGTAAAGAGAATGATGTACCCTGACCTCAGGACCCAAAAACAAATTGTTAAAAGGTGAACCTAGTCTCTTCTTGAAAGTTTCCTTTACCTTTTATAAGGAGACAACGTAATCCATCAGTGCAGAGAACAGCAGGGTAACTACATGCTCCTTGATGTGCAACTGGACAGGTACCTGTGCTTTGTTAAGGATGCTGAAATCTCAGGAAATCTGGAGGATTGAGGACCAGTTTCAGGGATGCCAAGAAGCAGAGGTGGTTAATTGTGGATTAGGGCACAACAGACTGTGTTGAGGACTGTTGTGAGCTATGCCACAAGTCATTGATAACTAGACAAAAATCATTTACCTGCTTACAATAAATTACAGGTATTCAAGGTTATGCCTATAAAAAGAGTTATCTCACTCTTGTGCATTCAGTTTGCTTTCTAAACAGGCACGGAAATGGGTGGAACAGCAGCTAGCTCCCTGGATGTTTCTGTATTTGGGAAACAACTATCCCTGCTGCTGGAAGTACGCGCATGCCCACAACTGCACACACAGGCAAGCACGCACAGAACATTCCACAGCCCAGGCCAAGCTCCTTTGAGACAATGAAGTGCAAGGTAGCCACCTGAAGAGAATAAAGCCTTAATTAAAGGAGGAGGAAGAGAAAGAAGAGAAAAGGTCTCAATGGTGTGATTTAATAAAGGCCAAGGGACCCACTGCCTTCACTGCACTATCAGGTGGAAGTACACAGCCTCATTTCTAAAATTCTAATAAGCAATAAGCAGTCTTAGCAAACCCTAGTACTTGAAGATGGATGGGAAGAGAGTAAAGGTAAAACATTCCAAAGACATCACGGGGCTGAGGGAAGAGAGGAGAGAAGTAAAGGCTTTTCATAGGCCCGACTCTATAGGAGGAAGAGGCTGGAGGAGCAAGGTATTAGAGCACGGTGCTAGAGAAAGAGTGTGACCTAGAGAATAATGGGTATATTGTGCAGAACTTATAGTAGAATCTTCCACACCCTATTAAGAGAGCAGGGAGAGGCGTGGTAATCATTATTGAAATAAAAATATACAGACAACAGGCCCTCCAAATTAAAAAAAAAATTGGACAAACAGAATCTTGAAGAGGCCAATAATTGAGAAAAAGGAAAAGGAAATGAGCAATCTAAAACATCAAAAATGTAGGAAAAGATGAAACAAAAACACTAAGAAACTAGATCCATGCATGCATTTTTAGCTGAAATACAGATAGGATAAAAGGCACGAACCAGATGCATGCCACTTACTAAGAAACACTTAAAATAACATGAAAAAAGCAATGAGCAAAGAGATAGTAGACAAATGTAAGCCAAAAGGATGTATTCTGTTTAGGATTTTTTAAATGAGTTTCTCATTCTTTTGTATAATACAACGTTTGTTTTTGTTGTATTTTGTTATAAATATAATTGTTTAAAACGAGGACTCTGGGATAGTGACACAAAGATATGACAAAGCGTGATTCTCAGATCTGGGAACTTGTGAAAAATGGAATTTCTGGGACCCCACTCCAAACCTTACAGTCATAGCCTTCAACATGAGGCCAGTAACCTGTTTTTAATAAGCCCTCCTGGCAATTCTGTTCATTTTAGGGTTTACATGAGCCTATAGATGTACTAGTGGCTTTGGTAGCCTAAGGGCAGCCCTCTGCCAAAGCAGGACGCTCCAGTGAGGGAAAACATAGTAGGGTCTGATGGGCAGGAAGAAAATGGTAAAGAAACGTGACGGGATGTGGATAAGCCACATTTGCGATAGCTCCAGAACAAACTTTAAGAGCTTTAGCAAGAGAGAGGGAAAAACAGAAGAATACACAAGTCTCACACACACACACACTGAAATTTCACCAGCTCAAGAAAGTTGCCTAACACGTTGGGTTCAAACAGTGTTGGATTTGAATCCAAGCTCTGTCATTTATAAGTTGGAATGGCATAAAGTGAGTGATTTAATTTCTTTAAGCTTCAGTTCCTTCATCTGTAAAATGGAGAAAATAGTCTTATCTCAGGAAGTTTTCGTGAGAATTAGATGAACTAAAGTAATAAAGTCTTTAGCATATCATTAGTACTTACAGCCTCAACAAGTGGTAGCTGTTATTTTAATAATAAACCTGATGGCAGCTACTCTAAACTTAGCTTCTGTAAGTGCTTTATAGGTTTTGATTTTATAATCCTCAAAACAATCTTATGAGGCATATACCATTATCATACCCTTTTTACAGGTGAAAGAACTGAGGCATAGAAACACTAACTGAAAGTTAACAGCTGGTAAGTAGCAGAGCCTAGATCTAACTCAAGCAGGCTGGCCCTGAAGCCTGTGCTGTATGCCTCTCCAGGATGATGTTAATGACAATACATGACTCCTCTTATTATTAGGACCACTCAAGATGTTTAAACTCTATTTTTCCACTGTGCTTTCTACCTGTATGTCATTGGCGCTCTGTGCAGAAATAGAGGACATGCCCAGCTAGTGGGGAAATAAGCCAGTAATATCAGAGTCAGATTTCTTCCAGTAATACAAAAGATTTGGCCCCCCGAATTGTCCTTTTATTTATGGTTTATTCAGCCAATGCAGTGGCACACATTTGTCCTTATTTCTGCATAAAATATTCAACAGTGCATGCTCTTCTATACCCTCTACCATCTACATGAGAAGGATGATCCCACCCATCTCTCATGCCAAGATTCTTAATTGCCTTTTAGCATTGCTCTTCCATGGCACTAACCTCGCAAAAACTCATACTTGAGTAAATTCTTCACCCTGCCTATCCTAGTGCCATTAAGAATTGGTGGAAAATGACACAACTATTATGGGACAATTCATAAAAAGCACTCAGCACACTTGCAATCACATGGAGTACACAAGAGAAATTTCAAGCTATTATTATCATTAGTCCATTTTCTTTCACTCTTAATAATGACCATTGTAGATATTCTCTGTTCTCCTCCAGGCAAATGACCCCTGCAACTCCTTCAACTTCTTGTCACTAAACCAACAGGCTAACTTGCATCCATATCTACAATTGTGATTTCCCTCACTTAAAGGGGGAGATGTTCCTTTTCCTACTGTTAACTTTCCATGGGCATTCAACAATTCTGGACCCCTCCTGCCTTTTCAGGACCTCCTTCATTTAATCATTCTTTCCTGTTCCTATAGCTTCAATTATTTTGTTGAAAATATTTTCTACAGTCAGGAGAAAAATGTTCTAGGACTTCACCCCCACTCACCCTTCAACCCATTGAAAACTGGCTTTTAGTCTCTAACACCCCCTTGTAATTGGTCTTACCAAAGCCACCAAATTTTAGACAATGTCATTATGTAATCCAGGAATTATCTTAAAGAAATTCCCCCCAAAATGGAAAACGCGATTATCATAAGACATTCATTGGAAACTCTTTTATGCAAAAAATTAAAAGTAAATGAGATGTCCACAGTTAAGAGAATGTTAAATTACAGTGCATCTACCTGATTGAAAACTATGCAATTTTTAAAATGGATAATTGTAAGTCCATATCGCAACACATAAAAATCCTTCTTCAGCTAACTTTAGTAAGAAGGAACAAAGTTTTTATGAGTACATTGTGATTGCAATAATGGAAGATCGTTTGGATGAAAAACAAAAGGAAGAGAGCCCACGAATATCAAAAATATTGCATTTTAATGTTTGAGTGTTGAAATTATGATTGATATCTTCCCTTGTATTTGCCCAATTTTTTGTAATGTTGTGACATTGTTTTCACAATTTAAAAAAACACCTTTTCATAGACCAGACAATTCCTACATAAGTTATGCCATATCAGTAAACCTGCTAAGTTTTTGCAGCTTTTCTCACATTTAAGGAATATATCGAGGGACTGTTTATCTTTAGCCTTAAGATGGCTGAGGGATAAATAATTTTTTCATTTTCAGCTGATCTCTTAAGCTGCTTCTGTTTGCAGAACACTCTGTTAAGCTTGGAACTCGTCAAAAAGTGAATTGAAGTTGACTTTGATTGGCATAAATACCATATTTATCTTCTCAGATACGTAATCAGGAGACAGCTATCTGGCCACACTTGATTACTAACATATCTAAAGCTAATGTAATATCTAAGTTTATCATCTTGAGTATTAGAGATAAAATCTGAAGCCCTCAGAGACAGCATGCCTTGTTTACCTTGCCCTCATCTTTTACAAAGAGGCTGTAATGCATTTTTTCATTAATTAATATCAGAGCAAATTTAAAGACAAATAAATTACATTCATCACTGTAATTGAATAAGTCTTTTTTAAAAAGTATATGCACCATGCGGAATTAGCAATATTCTGATCAATAAGTAGTTAAGAGGGGTCAAAATGATTGACTACTCTAAATATCACACCAATTAAAAATAAATATACACAAATAAATAAAGTGCTCCTCTGTAACTCGTAGCATTGCCTCCCAGAACATAACTTTTATACCGGCTTACTGTTGCATTCAGCCTTTATCTCCAAGTCTTATTTCATGTATTTTCCAGGGATGGATGGATTATAGGACAAAGTCCCTCTCAGGAGCTCACCTTCCTGAGATATTGTCCTTCCTTTTCTACATACACCTATAAAAAGGAGAATACAAATATTATTTACTACTATTTAAGACCTGTCATTATGATCTGATTTTATAAAACAAATATCAAGTCTAGATTAGTACTGTTTGGGTGTGGTAGACAGTGTTAGGGGTAAACATTGGTAAATCAGCTTTTGCTCTGCAATTTTTCAAATTACATTCACCCAATAAATGTTCTTCCTTATTCCAGCTTCTCCAGTTTGTAGTGTCTCCAGTTCACCCCTACTCCCACAGCACCCCACTGCTATTATGTCTGGAATTGGTGGGTTCTTGGTCTCACCGACTTCAAGAAAGCAGCTGCAGACCCTCGCGGTGAGTGTTACAATTCTTAAGGCGGTGCAGCTGGAGTTGTTCGTTCCTCCCTTGCAGAGTTGTTTATTCCTCCCTGTGGGTTCATGGTCTTGCTGGCCTCAGGAGTGAAGCTGCAGACCTTTGCAGGGAGTGTTACAGCTTATAACGGTAGTGCAGCCCCAAAGAGTGAGCAGCAGCAAGATTTATTGCAAAGACCTAAAGAACAAAGTTTCCACAATGTGGAAAGGAACCGGAACAGGTTTCCCCTTCTGGCTTGGGCAGCCTTTTATTCCCTTATCTGGCCCCACCCACATCCTGCTGATTGGTCCATTTTACAGAGACCTGGTTGGTCCATTTTACAGAGAGCTGATTGGTCTGTTTTGACAGGGTGCTGATTGGTGTGTTTACAATCCCTGAGCTAGACACAAAAGTTCTCCAAGTCCCCACTAGATTAGCTAGATACAGAGTACTGATTGGTGTATTTACAAACCCTGAGCTAGACACAGAGTGCTGATTGGTGCATATATAAACCTGGAGTTAGACACAGAGTGCCAATTGGTGTATTCACAATCCCTTAGCTAGACACAAAGATTCCCCAAGCCCCCACCAGGTCAGCTAGACACAGAGCGCTGATTGGTGCATTTACAAACCTTGAGCTAGACACAGAGTTCTGACTGCTGTATTTACAATCCCTTAGCTAGACATAAAGGTTCTCCAAGTCCCCCCCTACACTGAGGAGCCCAGCTGGCTTCACCCAGTGGATCCCGCACGGGGGCCCATGCGGAGCTGCCTGCCAGTCCCATGCCCTGCGCCCAGGGCACTCCTCTGCCCCCAGGGCGGTCGATAGGACCGGGTGCTGTGGAGCAGGGAGCTGCACTCGTGGGGGAGGTTCGTGTGGTGCAGGAGCCCATGGCTGGCCGGGGAGGCTCAGGCATGGCGGGCCCCAGGCCCTGAGCCCTGCCCCGTCGGGAGGCAGCTAAGGCCCAGCGCATCACAAGTGGGCCCGCACTGCTGGGGGATTCGGGGCACCCTCTGCAGCCGCCAGCCCGGGTGCCAAGCCCCTCACTGCCTGGGCCGGCAGGGCCAGCCGGCCCCTCCGAGTGCAGGGCCCGCCGAGCCCTAGCCCACCCGGAACTCGCGCTGGCCTGCAAGCACTTCGCGCAGCCCCGGTTCCTGCCCGTGCCTCTCCCTCCACACCTCCCCTCAAGCTGAGGGAGCCGGCTCCGCCCTCGGCCAGCCCAGAAAGAGGCTCCCACAGTGCAGCAGCCGGCCGAAGGGCTCCTCAAGTGTGGCCAGAGTGGGCGCCAAGGCCGAGGAGGCGCCGAGAGCGAGCAAGGGCTGCCAGGGCTGCCAGCATGCTGTCACCTCTCACCGTGACAGGTATGATTTCATATTCGTCCACTGTGTTGACAACAGATAAAAGTTTGAGAACTTCCAAATTAAAAGACCAGAAGAATATAGTTGCTTGTACAGCACAAAGCCTGGAGGTTTGCAGGCACCAATGAGATAGCACTATCTGTGTAAGGTGTGGTATCATACAAGGAGAGTCCAAAATAGTCTGAGGATGATCGAGATTAGATTAGGCTGTGCCTAATATTAGACCATAGGTACTTGTTTCTTTCAAAACCTGCACTGTTAAAATCACCTATTGTATATTTGTTTCATTCCAGGAAGTAGTAGACTGGTGAAGCCGAAAAAGAAGTTTGTTGAAAAGATATTAGAGGCTCACAGAAGATCTGAGAAGGCTGAGATTCCAAATCAGGTGCCATGCTTTCTGGAAAGATATATAAATTGTCCAAAAGTAGTTTTATGGGTCATCTGCTACTTCTGCCACCATGAGCTAGGTGCTACAGTTGGCAAAGCCACCAGGAACATGACTCTCCTCCCATCACCATGGTCACCAGCACCAGGACCTCTTCTGTACCACAGACTTGAAACTGTCCAAGAACACTTTATGGCTCTACTGAACCCTCACCTGGAGAATAGATTGACATTCCTCACCTCCTAACCCAAGTCCTGGGTAAATGCATCTGATTTATAGAACCACAGTGTGTCCTACCAGCACACGCTACCTTAGGGCACACAAATAGAGCAATACTCCAGTGATAGAAAAGATGTTTAAAGGCTGCTGGAAAGCAGAGTGCATAACACATACAATTTCAACATTTTACTGTCATTTACCTGTGTTAGTTATTTCCTTAATGAAAGACTCGTTTTGCTTAAAAGAGAAAAGATAAACAGAAAAGTGATAAAGCTCTTTAAATTCACCTGCTTGGGAAGGTGCCAGTTGCCCTGAGAACAACTACTATTTGTTCTGTAGTATATGTAAAGACTATACACAACTCTTAATAGTTAAAAAGAACTATACAGAGTTGTTATCTTATGCTAAATGGTGCAAAGTAATGTGTAAACATGATTTTACTTAACCTTTCCATAACCACATTAGTTGTTTACAGATAGGACTCAGAGAAGTTGGGTGACTTGCCCAAGGTCACACACCAAGGACGAAACAGAGCCAGGATTTCCACCCAGCATGAGGCCTGGCAGATGTTCAGTATTTCACCCAAACCACCACCCCCATCTAGGGACTTTTTGGGGGTTAGCAATACTGCATCAAGGGAAACCACCAGCCACAAGCTCCGTGCTGCTGCCTCACTAAGTTGTCCAAGCAAAGTGAAGAGGAACAGGAAGAAACACAAATTCAGAAGAGCAGCATACAAAGAGGTGATTCAAGGCTAGTTGCAAGATGAACCTCCCAATTTCCAAATTACGTATGTTGGAGCAGTGCTCTTCAAATTATGTTTTGCTCAAGTCTCCTAAAATAATTTGAATAACAATATATCCCCTCCAACATTTCCTAAATTGATATTTAAAATTTTTTCATTGTAAGTTTAAATAGCTTAAAAGCATGCAATTTCTAGTACATCATAAATATATTTCAAAATAGAAATCCCATCAATTTTAAATGTACCCAATGGAAACCACATACATACAATGTGATAATATCCCATCATCTCTTTTAAAAGGACATTAAGAAGCTACTCTTTCCCATTTTACCTTTTCCTTTTCTCCTTGAATTTGTATTTTACTTCCCTCATACAATTTAATTCTAATAAAATATATTTAATTCTTCAAAGTCTTTTATTAATCTCTTACCATGCTTCTCTATACTGAAAAGGTGTTGTGTTTATTAATTGAAACAAGTTTATTTTATTCCCTAAGTCTCTAATACTTAACAAAAAAATCTGGATTAAGTTATCATTTTAGTAGTAACAAGCGATTAAAACTATACAAATACACAAATAGATTTAAAATATGGATACATCATTACTAAGCACGTCTAAGATTTTTTGGAAGTCCAGGCATCCTTAATGAAATAACTGGAAATTTTGAAAAAAAAAAGTTCACGCTTCTTGATGTCAGATTGCTAGAACGGCACTGGGCTATCTCAAATTTAATGGTTTAAAGTGGAACATATGGGCTTTTACTTTCAAACTTGCTCCTCTGGTCCTTACATTTTCTATTTCCTTTAATGGACCTTTCAGTTACCTGCCTTAGAGTTACCCAGAGTGTGTGTTCCTCTCTCACCATTATCCACCAACTTCCAAATCAGTTTTCAAGTTCCATCCTGAGTCCATGCTGTATTTTTTATCTTCTGTTACCTTATATCTGCCACTACACTGAATTGTGTTGGTAGCTATTAACTGGTCTTCTTCTTTCCTTTCTTCTTCCCCAGCTAATATTGCCAGTCATTGAAATATTGCCAGTCAGTCCTGCTGGCTCGAGCAAGTTTGGGTTTTGTGCCTATCCTGCTTTAAAACCTTCTATCATCTCTCATTTCCTAAAGAATTCCTACCGAGTGCATTAGCTTAGAACTACTCATTCAAGGCTGGGTGTGATGGCTTATGCCTGTAATCCCAACACTTTGGGAGGCCGAGGCCAATGGATCACCTGAAGTCAGGAGCTCGAGACCAGCTTGGCCAAATGGCAAAACCCTGTCTCTACTAAAAATACAAAAACTAGCTGGGCATGGTGGCAAATGCCTGTAGTCCCAGCTACTCAGGAGGCTGAGGCAGGAGAATCACTGGAACCTGGACAGTGGAGGTTATACTGAGCCAAGATTGCACCACTGCACTCCAGCCTGGGCAACAGAGCAAGACTCTGTATCAAAAAAATAATAATAAAAAGAACTACTCACTCAAGGCCAACCACAATCTGATATTAATCTTCTTTTCTGTACTTATTTTCTGCTATTAGTATGTGAGCAAATGTATGTCCATGCTTCTCAAACTCAGGTCACATACATCCAGGGATGGGGGCCACTCCCATGACACAAAACTGTGGCATTTTCCTGAAAATAATTTAAGATATTTTTGTATGAAAACAAATGTACTTGTATTATAGAATAAAATGCAAACTTTGTAAAATATTTTTAAAGATTCAGATTTAAAGAAATGTAAACCCCACAACTGTTCTCTAGTTACACTACCAAATTCCTGTTGACTATTAGTACACACCAGAGGACGTTTTAAGAAGCACTGTTTTGTGAAAGTTCGTTGCTCGGCTCATATCAACTATGGTGAATATTATTGTTTAACTGCCTTTCATTTCTTGTGTAGCACTCACCCTCCCCGCATACACTCTGTCCCTTCCTGCCTCCTCTGAATGTGCCTCTGTTATTGCTTCCAAAAAAAGACCTGTCCCCCTGAAGACACATTCTGAAATCCCATCTATCCTTCAAGGCTGGCTCAGACTTAAAAGTTGACTTTTCTATCCCGGTTCTGTTAATCACATATACTCCCCTCTCACCCTTCCTAAGAAATAATCCTTGGATTCTTCCTCTTGGTGTACACATATTATTTCATCCTGTTAAAGGAATCTTAAGCATTAACATGCTTGAAAGCAAGATCTGTATCTAAATAAAGTCCCTTTCGCTGCTCCTCCAATCATGCCTAGTTTAATAGGTGCTCAATAAATAAGTAGTTGAATGACAGGATGATGGAGTAAAGCATCGCTTTGTGTCCAGGTGTTATCACCAAATTACTATTGCTTTGTTTTACAAACCTATGATTCCTTTGTTTTGAGACCATATGAAATATATGTTCACCTCGGCCGAGCGCGGTGGCTCACGCCTGTACTCCCAGCACTTTGGGAGGCCGAGGCAGGCGGATCACGAGCGAGGTCAGGAGATGGAGACCATCTTGGCTAACACGGTGAATCCTCGTCTCTACTGAAAATACAAAAAAATTAGCCGGGCATGGTGGTAGGCGCCTGTACTCCCAGCTACTCGGGAGGCTGAGGCAGGAGAATGGCATGAACCCGGGAGGCGGAGTTTGCAGTGAGCGGAGATGGCGCCGCTGCACTCCAGCCTGGGCGACAGAGCGAGACTCCGTCTCAAAAAAAAAAAATTGTGTGTATATATATATATATATATAGTCACCTCTACTCATAGCAGCAGACCATGGTCAATTCTGAATCACTGAAAAGTGACTGTCATGGTACGATTTGAAATTTAGTTATAAACAAGAAGACTCTCCCAAATCTTCTCATAGGTCAACAATCATAGAGCTAGAGGTCCCATTTCAGTTGCCAATATTCTACCCTTCAAAGGAAAACATTAAGCTTTCAATGGCATTTTTAAAAGGTGCCTATACCTAATATAAACAAAATATTAAAATATTTACTAAAGCTTGAGTCTTATACATGGATAAAGGAGAACACTAATGTAGAGTGTCTTTGCAGCACAGCTGCTAGGTCATTTCAGAAAATATGGGTCTGACAGATGGAGAGAAACTAGAATTAAACCTGCAGGTATTTCATGTTCTTTCTCAAGTCATGTTTATTTTAATTAAATTAGGGAAAAGAGAGTCTCATTTCTTAAAAGGAGAAGTCTTAAAGGACTTTCATCTCCCTACCATTTCTTTCCCTAGAGAATTCTGAATGGGGGCAGGGTGAGGTGGGGGAGGAGAAAGCCTGTGGCATTTTATGATTGGAATGAATAACTTTCAAAGGGAATGATATATTTCTTTTTCCAGAAATGTTTAACAGATTATGCTGTATAAGCTGTTAAGGTAAAGAGTCTTCAATTTGGAGGTAAAAGGCAAAGAGAGAAACATAAAACCAAATTAGGTATCAAACTAATTAGAATCAAGTAGTTCTTGCCAATAAATCCTGTATTTGTGTCTGATTCACTATATCCACGTTATTTTTAAAAGGGAATTATCTAATTATCCAGCAAGATATGAATTTATAGACACTTTGACCCACTTGTGAAAAATGGATTTATAGACATCCATTTCCTCTGCTGTCAGGAAATTTAATCTTACCAATCCAAAGTAAATTTAGTTTCTTCTAGTTTTAATTCCATTCCATCTAGGTAAATATTCTGTCAATTCAATATTTCTCCTCCACATTATTCTTTCTGTCCTGGCAGGGAGACAGGATGAGAGAGGGTGATCTACATTTCCCATGTCCTGGTGCTCTCATCAATAATCATTATCATCAATAATCACTTTTGTAATGCATCAGGAACTGTTTAAAATATTTTTTAAATTGTCTGCCCATTTTAAAGATTAGGAAACTAAAGGACAGAGAGATTAAGTGGCTTGCCAGATCTCACAGCTGGTAAGAATGTAAACTTAGGCACTAGGACAGAGGCCTTTGATTCCCCATCACTCAGCATCCCTGTACCTGATTACTGCGGTCAGGAGCCATCTTGGCTTTTTGGGACCCATGCTGGCCATACCTGCACTGAAGCTTCAGACACTCCCTCTGCTGGCTGGTGACAAATTCAGTGCAGGGCACTCTGCATCTTCCTTTCTTTAATCAGGATCTGTTCTGTCTAAAACAAGAAAGCTTTTCAATAAATGGCTAATAAGATTTGTGGTTGAATAGTAGGTTCAGATATTAAAATCTCAATCTGTGTGGTCCTTTTCCCCACACACACTATGTATTTTTATTATTATTACCCATTAAAGCAAGTAACCTGCTCTTGAGGAGATTATAAGATTCCTGTATCTTGAGGAATGGTAATTATAGAAATCGCAAGTCTGTCTGTACTTTTTCCCTCAAATGGCTACACCATTAAGAAATGTAGGCTGGGCGCGGTGCCTCACGCCTGTAATCCCAGCACTTTGGGAGGCTGAGGTGGGCGGATCACAAGGTCAGGAGTTTGAGACCAGCCTGACCAACATGGTGAAACCCCATCTCTACTGAAAATACAAAAATTAGCTGGGCGTGGTGGCGCATGCCTGTAATCCCAGCTACTCAGGAGGGTGAGGCAGGAGAATCTCTTGAACCCAGGATGCAAGGTTGCAGTGAGCTGAGATCACACCACTGCACTCCAGCCTGGGCAACAGAGCAAGACTCCATCTCAAAAAAAAAAAAAAAAAAAGAAAGAAATGTAGAAGCACCCTGAATAGAGGCAGGGAGTTCAGGAAATGCAGAAAAGGCACTGGGTTACACGAGAAAGAGAATTTGTGTGCTGCTCTTAAGGAGGTGACAAGATTTGAGAGAAGTGCTTCAAACTAGTGTGGCCACAGACAGCCTTTCAGGGAGCTTCAGGTCACAAGCATGACATAAAAAGAACAGGAGATGCCAGGACTGAAGAGGCCATGTGGGCAGGAGCAAGGAACATCTCAGCAGTTGTCAAAGCAGACAGATGGCTGTAATGACTACCAGGGGCTCTTACCTCTAATGTCTTATATCTGCAAAAGGCCCCAGATTCATGGCCCCCACCCCAGTGGAGAGAGGAAAACCTCAAGAAAGGGAGAAAGAAGTCAAGCTTCCATCATCCCAGCAGGAAGAGTCCTCAGAAGTTGGCTTTTATGTCATTCCCTGGTAAATAAAGATGTGGAATATCATGTGGACACTTCAGTGCATAGATTGAGTCACCCCTGCTACCTATCATTACAATTTCTGAATTTGAAAGTGAGCATGTGTATGTAACTGCCAAGAAAATACAGAAAGAGCACTTAAGAAGATCATTTTTAGAGATAAAAGCTCATTTTCTCCAGTACTTGGAAATCTTGGTGAACTAGGAAAGATATTTGAAGAGATAGATTGGTTTTCTCACATTATACATACATCACCTATTAACTAGCAGGAAGTGGGAACTTATAAAAGCCTGGCGTCACACCCTGACTTGGGTCAGCTTCAAAATTAATCTCTTTTTTAGTTAGTTTTTATCTTCATAGATTTAGGAGGACGAGTACCACAGTTGTGTTCCATGGATATATTGTGCAGTGGTGAAGTCTGGACTTTCAATGCAACCATCACCCGAGCAGTGGGCATTGTACTCAATCAATAGCATTTCACCCCTCACCCCTCTCTCACCCTCCTGCCCACTGTAGCCTAAGTGACATCATCAATACGAAGAAAGCATCATTCCTGATCACAAGCAGTTCCACTCCATTCACTGGAAGTTATCTGATACATACATTTTATTGGTGGTATTATTAAAAATATATCTGTATATTGTATGTCAGAAGATTCACTGAAAGCAAATTCAAAAAACCCTCACAAACACTAACCTAGGCTCTAGGAGAATAAATTAAATATCTATAGTCAGAGAGACCAAGGATCAAGAGATCAAATATTATCTCAAGTGGAATTAATTATAGATTAGAAGAAATGAACATTCCTTACTTCCTATTCTAAGTCCAATGTCATTATGATTCTTTTGTGTCCCTATTTAGGGACATGAAAACAGGTAGACAAAAATAATCATATGTATATGACTATCAGAAGTTGTATCTTTGGATCCCAGATATTTTATTATCAAAGTTTTGTTTTTTATTACTTTCCTCTATGGTCAATGAAACCCTGAATTATTACATTTACAATATTATTATTTACAGCCACGGTCAATAAGCCAGGGTGATACAATTACAGCAAACAAGAAAAAATATTATTTAATTAGCATTACAGCTCTCTCATGCTAGCAAATGTATGACTTCTGTTAGGCTTTTGACATCTTAAGGGAAAAAAAAAGAGCATCTCTAGGTTTATCCTAGCTACTTTCAAGAGACTTAGAATGAAAATCGCTGGATCAGACACATCTAAGAAGGAAATATATTTTATGGCAAAATCATGTCAGACTTGCCTATTCCCTTTTAGTTTTATTTCAGTAGCCTTCACGAATCCTTCATAAATAAATTAACCTATTTAGCTCTTATCAGAAAAAAATATTTGAACATACATTAATTCAAAAATTTCTCAGCCAATTCAGTTCTGAATTGAGTATTAAAGAAAACTCATTAAAATAACAGTAAATTTTTAAATAAAAAACACCCTCAAGTTTCATTTTACTCCTTGGACCCCAGGTTCTAAATATTGCAACAAGCTCTGTCTATGTGCAAAGGTTTAGGATGGAGAGTTCACGCACCAGACTGTAGACGAAATGAACAATGGGAACAAGCAGAGATGGCATGCTTTGCTCCAATTGCTTCAATTAAAGTTAGACCCTATGCCCAGGGGTTCAGTGGCTTTGCTCCCCGTTATAAAAAACGTCCTTCTTTGACATCAGCATTTTGTTTCCTAGCAGAAGCATTCCACTGAGATTTTATGCATCTCATCAACACTATTCCATCTCCTATGCTAAACGTGTTATTACGAAAGGTTTGCAGTGTCTGGAAGCTGGAAGGGGCTGTGCCCAGGCTATTCCAGCAGCTTAGCTATTGCATTGGCCTATCTCCAGCTTCTCTGCTAAATACATAATTAAATCTCACGGTCGACATGGTGTGATTCATTCCCATAAAGTGTGAAAACAAACAACTGTGCATGCGCTGTCCCCAATTTCAAATTCAAAACAAAAATATCCTGGAATCTTCTATTTCCCTTAAGTTCCAAATGTAATTAGACCGTTTTTAAAGGCAAGTAGTCTTCCAGTTTCCATGTGTTAAATCCAATCTGTCAGTTACAAATGGGGTGGGGGGGACAAACGACTGCAAAATGTAACATCTTGGTTTCCTCTCTTTATAATCAAGTGCTCAAATTGACTTATTTTCCCCCAGAATTACCAAAATGTCATTGCTCTCTCATGCAGAGCCTTTGTTTATTTACCAGTTTACAGCCAAGAGCAAATGTTCACAAGTAAGTAATCAGACCCTGCAAGTGCTGTTGACTAATGCAAACTTACAAACTGCAGCAATGTGACTAGGGGCAGCCGTGATGCTGGTTTTGGCTCAGTTCCATAGCCCTAAGTCACAAGGAATTTAAACAAGATGCCCAGCACCTCTCTGCAGACGTCACTACCAAGTTCTTCTGTAGGGCAACAATTCTTTTCATTTTTCCAAATAAACTTCACATATAATGAACTAGATTCTTCCAGCTGCCTCCTAGGAAAAATTCAATATATGAGGAGCTAGAGTAAAATTTTCTATCCATAAATAGATATCTCCAGTATATTTGTATTGGCGAAATGCAAAATAAATCAGAAAATATTTCCGGAAGGGAGAGAGTCATAAGATTACATTTTCTCTTCAATAAATACCAATTTTGTGGCACAAGTCTACAATTAAAAATTTAAGTAACTGAATAGAGGTTTTAGCTAATCTATGAATATAAGTCTACAAAGGTTAAATATATTTTATGCAAATGTGTCTCATATATAAACATAGCACAAATATACTGCTCTTTAATGACCAACAATATTTTTATATTGTCTTCCATTTTTCTTGTTTGATTCTCTTCTACTATACTTATATACTTCTTGAATCTATATTATACATATATATATATACAACTATACTTCCTTATACTGTACTTATATGTATTTCCTCCACACTTTAGCTGTACTAGATAACATGTTCTCAAACATGGCTTATGCATCCCTGACTCTATAATTCTGCTAATTCTGTTTCCTCCACTGAGAATTCTATTCCACAAACTATCAAAACACTTACCTGATATTTCTCAGCCCAATTCAAATGCCATTGAGCTAAAATATTTGTCTCCTCTTAACCCCTTATAATATTTTATTTGTGCTTTTCTAACTTTTTAATAGTGTTAGTATATACACCATTATATTACTCTACATCTACAAAATTATACAGACTGATGACAAGAATTATGTCTCATTCATTTTTAATCTTTTTTAAAGCCAAGAGCAAAATTTTAAAGATAGTCCATGCTCAAAAAAACAAAATGCATTGATGGAACAAAGAAATGAATGAGCTAATGTCTTTAGCACGCTTATTGTATAGAAAACTTTTTAAAGTGCAGAGGAGCAAAAAATAAGAATCTTTTAAAGCATTCATAATCAATACATATGTATTTTGTACACCTTGTATGTGCAAATAAAATATGTGCACAATTTGTATTTGCAAAAATATTTTGGAATGTACCACATTGACTTAGGATTACCATATATCATGATTGAATGTGTCATGATAATATTTTTCTACATACATTTTATATAGTAATTCATTATGTGGTCACAATATAATTTTAGATAATCTTCTGCTAAATATTTTGATTGCTTCTCATTTTTCTGGCTTTATCTCTCCTACTATGTTCTAATTGTTTTAGTAATATAAATAGTTCTCTACCTCTACTGCTAATTGCATTGCTAAAAATTTGCATATTTTACCATTGTCTCTCACCTGAAACATGCATCAGCCTGCTAACAGGTCTGCTTGTTTTCATTCTCAGCCTTCTCTAAGATATTCTCAACCAAGCACACAGAGTGATGATATCACCCATCAGATCATGCCTACTATTTACTCAGAATATTCCAGTGTCTTTCTGTTTTATGCAGAGTAAAACCAAAGTCCTAGTAACAGAGACTGGAAAACTGCATTTGAAACTCTACTCCCATCCTCCCCCTCATTATTTTTCTGGTCCAATTTATTGTTTTACCCTCTCCCACCCTGCTCCAGCCACATTGGTCTCTTTGCTCTCCCTGAAACATACTGACTATTCTGCCTCAGGGCCTTTGCACTTGCTGCTCCTTAAGGTGGTCAACAAATCTCCACACCTAGCTAAATCAAAACTGTCTCCTTTGAACCCCATTGCATTTTGTTTGTATTAAAGCCATTCAAGTATGTTCACACTCTCCTCTCTTTTGCATCTTTACAGAAATATCAACTCAGTAAGGCCTTCAAATCGTAGACCCTATCTCAAACACCACCTTGCCTTTGCCATAGGCTTTTCACCATATTTCATATTTGTTGAATGTATTTCTACTTTATAGACTCTACGTTTCATAAGAGTAGAGATTTATATCTGCTCTATTCATACTGTATCCCCAGTTGCCAGAACTATGTATCTGACACATAGTGGGTACCTAATAAATATTGGTTGAATAAGTAGATGTTATGATTAATTGACTTCAACTATATCTGTGCTTATATTCAAGATGACTAAGAAAAAAGTGCTCTTGTCTCAACTTAACTATTTACAGGCAAAATAGAAGTTCCTGAAACTGATAAATCCAAGCTTGTCCTTCCATCTCTAAAACATCCGTATGCTTTGGCACATTGTATGCTCACAGTTAGCAGACTACTCACAAGTACATCCACACGTCTGCTCTCACTCATTGTGTTGTATGTTTAATAGAATCAGTTGTGTTTGTTCCCAAAACTGTCTGTGTCAGTTGCACTTGTTATATTGTAATTGTACAACTTGACTAAATATTAGTAAAGCAATAGACTATGGATCTGCAAATCGAATTATAGTAGTATGAAAATGCCATTGAATGTTTTAGTAAGACTCAGTAAAGGCAAGTGACTAACAAATGTGAAATATGATAACAATAAAATATTTGAAAAATAATAAAAATATAGAAAGGGATATACCACATCACTTTAAAATTTTAAGTACTTACTCTCCCCCTGCCAAATAAAATCCTAGACATTATAGATGATTCAATATGGGTATGATTTATGTAAAAAAATAATTATAGAGAACTTCAGTCATCAAAAATATATGCAAACAAAAAGCTTTAGCCCATGTCAGAATGTATACTTATATGTTTAAAGTTAAAACAAAATCTTGAGGCACACACACACATATATGTACATATACACAAACACATTTTTAAATTTAATCTATTTTATTAACTTACCACAAATTTTAAGAGTAATGACAGATTTATGTAATCTTTCTGCCCCTCAGTTATTTTATCAACAAAGTGAAGAAAATACAAATTGTGCTGCCTGCAACAAAGATCTATTAAGAATAAAACAAAGTTATATATCACAAAGTGCCCTGAAAAGCTATTACAGATGTGTAACCTGGTGGCATAATTAAACGGATTTAAGGAAAAGCCGAAAGTAATAAAAGACACCTTTACTTCTTCATTCCCCTTAGACATATTCTTTTCTGGAATTTTCGAGGCATTTTCACATAATACTGTTCTAAACTTGAAAATTCAAATGCATCAGGCATTCCAAGCATAACTGGAACAAATTCAAATGAACATCAGATTTCCATTTAAATCCAATTTTACTCACTTTCTCCTTCCTCTGTTTCAAGTCTCAGAACCCTCTCCTTTCTTATAACTGAGCTCATTTCTCAAGAGTCAAGGAACTCACTTGGGTCAACTTCCTACCTGGGGCACCAACCATCTTCAAGAGCTTCATCTGTGCCTGCATACCAAAGAGATGCTTACACAAGAGCCTTGGCAATGAGTCCTGAAGTGCTTCGTGAATGTAAATGACCTGAAACAAGGGGACTGCAGATAAGTAGGGAGGCCAGGTTTCCATGATTCCAACCATTCCAACCTTTCTATGCATCGCCTGAAACCTACACAGGTGGCAACCAGACCCCATCTGACTGTGTAGCCGCTCTGCTGTCCTTCCTGCGTGAGAGCTGTTTCATCAGCAGTATGACAATAATGCTGGACATCTATTTAGGTTCTGCTTTGAGAAAATGAAAAGGGTTTCACAGTTTGCAAAGGATCCAACAGGAAGGGCAATAGCATTGGTGTTCAGGGCATGTGCTTTGGGTTTAAATCTTTACTACTTAGCATGTTGTGATTTTGTGCAAGTTATTTAAACTCTCTTAGCCTCAGTTTCCATATTGTTAAAAATAGCTATCAAATGCCTACTCTAGATTGAATAATTTAGGGTTTTTAAAATAATTTAAAATGATATATTTAAAGCATCTATTTACCAGAACATATAAAGTGGGAAGCTATTACTATTATGTTTTAAAACTATATAATTTAAAGCTAAGACAGAATGTTGTCATATTTCAGTATGTCAGGTAAGCAGAATCCAGCTGTTACAGAAATATTTTTAATAATAGAAGAGCAACAAAAATGAGTGATAGGCATACAAATTTCATTTTCACGACCTTACTTCTGTCCTCAGCATTCCACAAGCCTCAAATGTTCAATTTAGTCTCAGAGGGATTCATTTTCTAGTTCTTTCTTTGGACTAAAGACATTTACGTAAATAAAGGTTTGAATAAAACAACCCCCAGAAGTATTTCACCATATTTCAAGACACCTGATTTATTTTGTGTATTACAAATAAAATGTTTTTTAATAATCAAAATGGAATATTTTCTAAATGTCTGTTTCTAAACTACCTCTAAATATATCTCAATGAAATTTTCTTCAAAACAGTAACAACAAATCATTGTAACACTACGTAGTAAGCATATACAATACCATAATTGTACACACAATCCTGATAGATACATTTTCTAAGTTGCTTTAAATAGATTTCTGTTTTTTTAAAAAAAAAGACATTTACCTTCTATTTTTAGATGACTGATTGAATAAAAAAAGTATCACATTACCTCTCCCCCAAGAGACAAAAACTGTTACCAAAAATATGTTCCAAGAAGAGAAACTTTTCTTGGAGTAGAAGTTTAATTTAAAAAAAAAAAAAAGACTCAAGCAAATCATATGCCAAGGAAGAAACAAAAATGATAGATTCAAAGGACTTTTGTGTTTTGTATCTGATATCTAATAGACTTTTTGTACTACTGCTAAGCTGAAGATAATCATTTCTCATCATCTTTATCAGAAACCCCAGAAGGCTCAGCCACATGCAGACCTGGTAATTAAGCTGTTAAATTGGGAAGTGGTCATCCCTTCAGGTGAATTCATCTGTTGTCAGATCCTCCAATCCTTCCCTCCCCTCTAGGTTCCTAAATTTCCTCTGACATGTTCCTTTTTTGTGTCTCATGTGTTGAGAATCTTAACAGCAGCTCTGGTTTTCAACTAGCTAAAAACTGCATTATACCCTTGGATCGACACAAGAGGACATTCTATAAATATTCCATAAATATAAATGATATATAAAAAGAAACTAAAGAGTTTAGGGAAGTAAACTTGTAGACATACTATCAAAGCCTTCTTGCATTTTACATGAGGAAGAATTCAAACACCAAGCAAAGTTAACTAGAAAGCTAATAAGAAAGGCCGGGTATGATGGCTCATGCCTGTAATCCCAGCACTTTGAAAGGCTGAGGCGGGTGGATCACTTGAGGTCAGGAGTTCAAGACCAACCAGGCCAACATGGTGAAACCCCGTCTCTACTAAAAATAAAAAAATTAGCCGGGTGTGGTGGCATGTGCCTATAATCCCAGCTACTCAAGAGGCTGAGGCAGGAGAATCGCTGGAACCCTGGGGGCAGAGGTTGCAGTGAGTAGAGATCATGCCACTGCACTCCAGCCTGGGCAACAGAGCAAGATTTTGTCTCAGACCACACACACACACACACACACACACACACACACACACACAGAGCTAATGAGAAGAACATGAATCCTATCAATCAAATTTATAACTAATTCTAGTTCTAACAATTATAATTCTTTTCAATTATTTTGCATAATTATTTACACAAATTTTGAGTCTTTCTTTTATAAAGTTAAAAGTTATAAGAATTTCTTCAGAGAAAAGGTACAATCGCCTCAAATCTTCTAAAGGGAAAAGCTAAATTCTGATGGTTTGAACTGCTGTTTTCCGGGAAACACTGAGTAAAAAACTGACTGGCAAAAGTAACTACAGGCTGGACCTTAAAGCCCATGGCACCATCTCTGAGAAGTAAGATACTTCGTACAATGGGTTTAGAGAAAATTATTGTATTCCCTCAGGATAGTCAGATCAACGACAGAGACTCAACCTGGCTGAATGTATTATTATCTCATAGCCTCAGAAGCCAGCATGGCAGATTTTTAGGGTGCCATTTACAGGTAAAACAAGTGAAAGTATGAAGAAAGCCACTTGATTTTTTTGTTTTTACTACATGAAGCCCTTTATTTTGAGGACATGATATGTGCTACATTTTTTCAATTAGGTATATTCTGATCTATGCTTAAAAAATTATTTGAAGTATTATTTTAAATATTATTTATTCTGGCCGGGCACGGTGGCTCACGCCTGTAATCCCAGCATTTTGGGAGGCCGAGGTGGGTGGATCACAAGGTCAGGAGATTGAGACCATCCTGGCTAACACAGTGAAACCCCGTCTCTACTAAAAATACAAAAAATTAGCCGGGTGTGGTCGTGGGCACCTGTAGTACCAGCTACTCGGGAGGCTGAGGCAGGAGAATGGTGTGAACCGGGAGGCGGAGCTCGCAGTGAGCTGAGATCACACCACTGCACTCCAGCCTGGGCGACAGGGTGAGACTCCGTCTCAAAAAAAAAAAAAAAAAAATATATATATATATATATGTGTGTGTGTGTGTGTGTGTGTGTATATGTGTATGTGTGTGTGTATATATGTGTATATGTGTGTGTATATATATATATATATATATATATAATTTATTCTTTCAAGGTCCAGCTCAAATGCCAGTTCCCCCAAAAAGCCTTTCCTGATAGAAATCGTCTTATCCCCATTCTATATCAGATATATATATATATATCTTTGTTTTTCATGCTATTAGTTATTAATCACTTGCTAAGCAAGTACCTGCTATTTATCAAAAAATCAAGCCTACATGAATATAAAGCATGAATGAAATTGTACTGAAAATATATTTCAGTTTACATACACATTTTTAGAAATACACAGAGAAAACATTATACAGCAAACATTAGGTGCTTTCATTTATCTTAAAGTAGAGATATATTACTGTTTTTTAACTGTCCAAGGGAAAAGTTCATAACTTTGCAGTGAAAGCATTCAATTTCATAGCAAATCTCCCTGAGTGTTCCAAAACCCACAACACTACACTTCACGTAGGCTGACATAATTTGCTTAAGCACTGTTGGATCTCCAGTATCTTATACAGTCAAATTGTAGGTATTCAGCTGATTTTTATTAGAAGATTAAAGTATTATATCATCTCATTTAAACTTCAAAGCCATACCAATAAATCATTGTCATCACCATTTTATAGATGAAACAATAGAAATCAAGAGGGTAAGGGTAGGTAATTTCTTCAGAAAAATACAATTTTGAGGAAAATACAGGAATCGAGGAGATTCAGCATGAGTCTTCCTGGCTCCACACCTTGCTTTTAACTACTGCATTACGCCTCCTATTACAATACTTAGAACATTTTGTTCTTTCCTTTTTTGTACTGGAGTTACATGACAGCATGGGAGCAGGGGTCATGTCTTTATAACTCTAATCTATGAGACTTTGTACCTTATAAGCATTCATAAATATTTGCTAAAGTAGTATTGGAATTAATGAATCAAACTATACTAATGCATTCAATTACAATGTGTTAGTACTATACAGCAAATAACATTAAAAATAACCAATATTTGGCCAGGTGCTGTGGCTCGCGCCTGTGGCTCCCAGCACCTTGGAAGGCCGAGGCAGGTGGATCACCTGAGGTCAGGAGTTCGAGACCAGCCTGGCCAAAATGGTGGAACCCTGTCTCTACTAAAAATACAAAAATCAGCTGAGTATGGTGGCACACACCTGTAATCCCAGCTACTCGGGAGGCCAAGGCTGGAAAATTGCTTGAACTCGGGAGGTGGAGGTTGCAGTGAGCCAAGATCGTGCCATTGCACTCCAGCCTGGGCAAGAAGTGTGAAATTCCATCTCAAAAAAATATAGATAGATAGACAGATAGATAGATAAGCTCCAACTATGTGCCAGGTTTCTTTTTTTGTAATTATATTTCTTATTTTGAGATCGTTGTAAATCTACATGCAGTTATAGGAATTAATTCAGAGAGATCTTATATAGCCATTACCCAGTTTCCCAGAAGGGTAACATCTTGGAAAACTTTAGTACAATGTTACAATGAGGATATTGACATTGACATAGGCAAGGGGGTTCCTCCATTGCCCTTTTACAGCCACACACTCCATCTCAATCACCACCACCATCCCCCATCCCGTGTGCTAAGATTCATCCAAATTGTTACATGTATCAATAGTTCATTCTCTTTTTAATAGTGAATAATATTCCATGGTATAGATGTATCACCGTTTAACCAAGTTTGTATTAAGCATGTCTTTTTATCATGATGTTTTGACATCCGAGGCCTTACTGATCCTGGGGAAACTGACCCCTATCCCCCAAGGCTACACAATTTCTAGAGAAAGTAAATTACTCACCTGCAGGTGCACCTTTCATATGCAAATTATCAATCTAGAGCCCATAGCTTGCATATGCAGGTGCACCTTTCATATGCAAATTACCACTCTAGAGCAGTGTTTTTCCTCTGCTCTCACACCACAACAATCAACACAGAAGACTTCTGTGACAAAATGTTTGGGGGTTCCTCTCCATACATACACAGTTGAGGGCTCAGTCCCCAAGACTGCCCCTGCCTTCAGACAGCAGTTGCAAGTCCAGGCTTTTGGGGTTTCAAGTTGGGGTTCCCACGACTCCCTCTTTGGGTCTGATTAATTTGAAGTGCCTCACAGAACTCAGGGAAACACATATTTTGCCGGTATATTATAAAAGATATTACAAAAGATACAGATAAAGAGATGCATAGGAGAGGCCTGGGGGAAAGGGCTCAGAGAGTCCATGCTCTCCTTGAGCGCACCACCCTCCAGCAACCTCTACATGCTTAGCCATCTGGAAGCTCTCTGAATCCTGTCCTTTTGGGTTTTAATGGAGGATTCATTACACAGTCATGAGTGGCAACTGTGTGGAAATGTAATTGGACAAAAGGGGTATGATCTCATACTAATGGACTGAATGGGGAAACCTAGCAAGATCTGTCTGTTTAGATTCTTCTTGGCTTCTCTGGGCAGCATTCCTTCCTCCAGAACATCGACAGGACCCTCTCTGGAATGAGGGTCTTTTGACCTACAATCAGAGCCCTGCCTTGCGCAGATAAAAGGAGGACAGGAGAAGGTCAGAGAAAGAGATTCTGTTTCCTGAGGCCTAAAGTACCCCCAACATTATAACAAAAGACTGTAATAAGGGCTCTGGGAGTTATGAGCCAGGAACCATGGATAAAAACAAATACACATATATAATCATAATATCACAGGCTCTTATATTCCAAGCCAATATTTCCCTACCCTAATCACCCAGGGCCAGGTACCAGACAGTACTTACACCCCACAGCCTGCTAAAATTATTCAAACTAGCCAATCCTAAGCCTGTTTGCTTTGCCTCACTCATTCCCTCCTGTGGAAACTACAATAAGGGTTCACGTTCTTATTTTCTCCCCTCCCTCTGCTTCCCCAGTAAACCTGATGCTTCCTCATATGGCACTGCACAGTGTGGCATGCCCCCTCCTTTTACAAACTGTAACAAACCACCATTTCAATGGCAGTCACCTCCTGATCTGTTGGCCTCATCATACTTAAACAATAATAAAATCTACACTTTGAAACATTATTTAAATTTGTGGCCATTATGGATAAAGCTGCTATGAGTATTTGTGTACAGATTTTCGTGTGAACACAGCTTTTCATTTCTCTGGGGTAAATGTGTAGGGTCGCAATTGACAGATCACATGGTAGTTGCCTATCCAGGCTCTCTTTCCAGTGCTCATCCTCACAGCAATTCTGTGATGTTAGTGCGATTGTCATTCCCATTTTAAAATGATGGAATTGAAGCACAGGGTTCAGTAATTTGCTAAAGATCTATAGTATGTACCTATTCCAATGCTATCAATAAGAATAAATACTTTATTTTGTGATATAGTGTATCAATTGTTACCACCATAAGGGCACTATGTATTTTCCAGCATCTCTGGGTTAACATGGCAAAATAATAATAATAATAATAATAATAATAATAATAATAATTTACCTGCTTTTTTAAGAAAAACCTAAGGATCTCGTTTAGCCCATTTGTGTCTTGGGATATATAACAGATAGTTTAAAGAATAAATTTTGACAAAGTTTAGTTAGATGTTATACTCCTTCTCCATATTGCAAAAATTTTCAAATTCCCCTGCTATCATTGTAATAATATACATCTTATACCAAATGGAAAGGCATTATTCTGAAAGAAGAGAGGAGTGAATGTGCAGCAATTGCTGCCCAATTGGAGATGTTCATCCTTGAGCTCTCAAGGAGTGGCCTCATCGGGGTCTTCTGGTTTCTTGACTTATGCAGCACTGAAAATGTTCGCAGCTGGATCTAAGTAAGAAATTGACAGGAGGGCCGTCACTTAAATCCATACTTGTCCTTGCCAGTGTCCAGAACAAATAGCTAAAAGACGAAGGATTTCCACTCTAACCAAAACTGCACAAATGTTACAAAAGGATATGTGGGATATCACCAGATGGCGTAATCCTCTGATAATTAAGAAGGATTTTAGAAGGCTGGAATCACAATTTCTATGGGGACAAAAGTATGGACAAAGCAACTCAAGTCCAATTTGAAACTCTGGACAGGGGCCATGCTCCTTTTCTTGTTGTTGTTGTTGTTATTGTTTTTCTTGTAAGTTGGTCAATACTTCTGCCCTTTTAAAATGTTTTTAAATTATCAACTATTTCAGGCAAGTAAAATATTTTATGTAATAATATAGTGAACACTCTTGCAACCTCCACCATCTAAAAAAATAAAACATTAGACTTTCAATTCCTTTGTGGATTCCTACACAACCTCATTCTTCTTCTTCCCTAGAGATAATCACTTTCCTGAATTTTGAATTATAATTCTCATATATGACTTTATTCTTACATATATATATAATATAAAGTAAAAGTCATATATGGGTATTAATTTGTATATACATGGCTTCCTTCTGTCCATATCCTTTTTTTCACTAGAAGTTATACTTTTCAGTTTTATCCATGGTGGTACATTGGCTCTACTTTTTTCATTTTCACTGCTGAATAATGTTACATACTTCAATGTATTAATCTATCATATGTTTTTGGATGCTTAGATTGTTTTAAACTTTTGCTATTACAAATAATGTTACCATAAACATTTATGTATAACTGATTGAGCAAATCTATCTTAAGGAAATATGTCTAATAATTGCTATTGCTGGGTCATACCCATGCACTCATTCAACTTTATCAGGGATATCCTTTTCCATTCTAGCAAGAATCAGATGGCACACTCAAACTGGAAAATTTAAGAGGAATTTAATAAAAACTACTCAATAGGTATTGTTAGTGTTTAGAGACCTAAAAAATAGTGCAGTACTCTGGCATTAGCAAGAACAGAGTCATCACCCTTTTAAGCCTCAAGTAGCAAGGAAAGAAAACAGAAGGATCTGGAGCACATCACTCTATGGAGAGAAATGTCTGACAGGATGTGTTTTAAGGGATAGGACAAGCAAACACACGTGAGAGGGGCAAGAGGACAATTACCATGACCTTACTTCCCTTACATACTCCAATCTACAATTGAATCCAACTGTAAGCCAAAGAACCATGGAGCTTTCTTGATGTAAGGTCAACCCCCAGAGCAAAAAGCTAGGCAAAGAAAGAGGGAAAGTGGAAGTGGAGGAGTAAATAGAAAGTATCCAGCATAAAGTTGCAGCAAAATTGCTTTGCAACATGATTGTATCATTTTACCCTCTCACCAGTTGTATATGGGAGTTCCATATTGTCATTAATGCATTACTTTCATGCATTTCACTTTTGGCTAATCTGATGGATATGAAGTGGCACACCATTTAAATATGCATTGACCTAATGTCCACTGTAGGTGAACATCTTTTCTTATGTTTATTAGCTATTTCTTCCTCTGTGAATCCCTTCCTCAAACATTTTACCCATTTTTTTCTTAAATTAACTGTCATTTCTTTTACACATACCTCTAATGACTTCTAAGTTTTTCTCTACTTCAATTTTTTTCTTTTTCTCCTTTTTATTTTATTTTATTTTATTTTTTTTGAGACAGGGTCTCACTCTGTCACCCAGGCTTGAGTGCAGTGGCACAATCTCGGCTCACTGCAACCTCCCCTTCCTGGGTTCAAACGATTCTCCTGCCTCAGCCTCCAGAGTAGCCGAGATTACTAGCCACACCCAGCTAATTTTTGTATTTTTAGTAGAGACAGGGTTTCACCTGTTGACTAGGCTGGTCTCAAACTCCCGACCTCAGGGGATCTGCCCGCCTCAGCCTCCCAAAATGCTGGGATTACAGGCATAAGCCACTGCGCCCGGCCTCTACTTCAATTTGAACAGTAGCCCATTCTTTATTCTCCCATATGCACATTTAACCTCTGGCATTTCCCAGTGGTAACTATATTACTTCCACATATTATCCATTTTTCCTGACCCTCATGGCAAGATATGAGCACTTTCTGTTAGTTAGCTAAAGTGCCACTATTGATGTCAGCAACACATTCTATTCAATGTCCAAACTCACTTATATAACACAAAAATGAGAATCAATGTGTGATTGTTTTCATATGTATCTTTTCTCCAGGAAACTGCACTCTTTTCCTTTACAACTGGCTTAAACTCTATTGTTACTAACTAAGGACCCATTTCTTTAGAGTCTAACATTAAATGATCAAATATATAAACGTTAATGTACAGAGACATGAAAGGAAACAGATAATGCATTATGTGAGGAATCCTCAAACAGCAATATAATAAATTACTCTGGCTACATTAAACAGGTTCCTGTTTGTTCAATAAGTAAGCAGAATTTTCAGGACATTGAATGATAACTGTGAAATAACTGGAAAAAAAGTTTGAAAACAAAAACTGTCTTATATTTCAGTTTGGAGCAATTGAAATAAACATACATTGATGTTTTTAAGAAGAAATTGATCATAAGAGAGTTTGGTCAAAGATTTGACTAACATTAAAAGATGATAGCCTCTAAAATTATTTTTGACTCAGGTTTTTGTTCTTCCCCTTTGAATGTTGAAACCAATGTTAACAGAGAGCTACCAGCTCAGCAAGAAAAATTATAATAATTCATACAATTTACATGCAATTTGGTGGCTTGCTATTTTCAAATAAGGATTTTTTTAAAATTAGCCTAGAAAGTATGATAGTTTTCTCAAACTGAAAGCTTCTTTTCCAGAAAAATATGCTATGTGATTCAAATTATTTTGGAAGAGCTATTTACCAATGCCCCGAAAGCACTGCTATGTTATATATTTTAAATATCAATGCTATAATTAAAGCCATAAAGTGAAATATTTTTTTCTGAAAATCCAGCAATATAGCTGTGAAAAAAACAAAAGCTATGAAATAATGCAACAAATGCAACTGAAGCATTCTTAGAGGGACATTAATAGCTTATTCCCTATAGGAGAAAAGAAGAAAGATATAAAGCTAATAATCTATGTTTATATCTTAAGAAGTGAAGGGGAAAAAAGTAAATTAAATACAAAGTAAACAGAACAAAATGGGAGAAAAAAATACAGAAATTAGTGAATTAATGAACAAACATTATTAAAAAAGTCATTTGCTTCTTTGAAAAGATTACTAAAATTGATAGAAATTATCACAAGAATCATCAAGAAAAAAGAGCAAAGCACAAACTTTAGATACCAACATTGAATGAAGGGTTGTAACCATAGATTTTACAGGCCTTGTGATTATAAAAGGTAATCATGAGTACTTTATGCTGATAAATGCAGCAATATACATAAGATGCACAAATTCCTTGAAACATGCCATTTACCAAAACAGACACAATAAAAACTAAATTATGATAACATATCTAGGTGGATTAAATAAACCAGATTTGTTATATAAAAAGTTGAAGCAAGCCCAGATGTCATCACTGGTGAATTCTATCAAACGTTTACAGAAGAAATAACATCAGTTCTATACAGATTGGTTCAGAAAGTAGAAGAGGAGAGAACATTTACCAACTCATTTTATGGGGTCAGAATAATTCGGATACAAAAGTCAGACAAGAACATCATCAGAAAAGAAAATTACAGACAAATACCCCTACAAACATAGACACAAAACTTCTTAATTAAATATTGGCAAATCAAATCCAGGAATATATTTTAAAATATTAAAAAATAATATATAATGGAATAATATATGTAATATATTATATAATGGATAATATATAATGGAAAAATGCAAGGTTGGTTTAATTTTTGAAAATCAACAAATATAACTTATAGATATAATTTATTACATCTACAGATTAAAAGGGAAAATATTATATAATATAGATGCTGAAAAAGCATTTGACAAAATCCAATTTCCATTTAGAATTAAAAAAAAAAAACTTCACAGCAAACTAGGAATAGAAGAAAATCTTCAGCCTGATAAAAGTCATCTATACAGAACCTACACTCCCTGTCATATTTAATGATTAAATTTTGAAAGCTTTCTCTCTATTATCTGGAATAAGACGGGAATGCTTTCTCTCACAACTTTTATTTAGTGTTGTACTGGAAGCCCTAAGTGAGTGCAATATGGTAGTAAATTAAATTCATGGTTTAAAATTGGAAAGAATGAAAGAAAACTGTCTTTATTTAAAGATAGCATGATTATGTAGGATGATATGAAGAATTTGTAAAAAATTGCCACAACTATTAAGTAAATTTAACAAAGTCATAAGATATAAAGTTAATGAAAAAAATCGATTACATTTCTTTATACTAACAATAAAGAATTGGATAATGAAATTAAAATTACTGTATAATAATATTTACAATTGCTCACCAAAATATAAAATACTCAGTATAAGTTTAACAAAAGATATGTAGTATCTCTGAATGAAAACTCTGAAATATTGCTGACAGAAATCTTAAAAGGCTTAGAAATGTAATTATACCAAAATTAAAATTACTGTATAATAACATTTACAGTTGCTCACCAAAATATGGAACACTCAGGATAAGTTTAACAAAAGACATATAGTATCTCTGAATGAAAACTATAAGATATTGCTTAGAGAAATTTTAAAGGGCTTAGAAATGTAGAGATACACCATATTTAAGGATTTGGAAAACTCAATATGCCAGAATGTCAATTGTCACCAAATTCACCTATAGATTCAATGCACTTCTGAGCAAAATTCCAGCAAAAAACTTCCTGTAGATATGGACAATCCTATTTTTAAATTTTTCTGGAAATGCAAAGAACCTAAAATAACCAAATTTATCTTAGAAAAGATGGATGATATAGGAAGAATACCTGCCTTCAAGACTTACTTTAAAGTTATAGAAATAAAAGGAGTATGACACTGGCAAAATAACAGAAGTATATCAATAGAACACAATAGAGACTCCGGAAATAAACCCATACATATATGGTAAAATGATATACACTAACAGAGCCCCAACAATTCAATAGGGAAATAAAAGTATTTTAACAAACAGTTTTGAAAAATATCCATATATTCACACTGACCTCACACCATCCACAAAAATTAATTTTATATATATCTTGGAGCTAAATGTAAAACTAAATCTATACAGCTTTCAGAAAATAAAATATAGAGAATTTTTTATAATTTGGGAGTAGGCAAAGATTTCACAGAGAAGAAACAGAAAACACTAATGATGAAAGAAATGATAAATTTGAATTCATCAAAATTTAAAACTTCTGCTCATCGAAAGAAACAAAACATTGAGAAAATATATATACTGTATGAGTCAAAATATTTGTGTCCTATATATCTAATTTATCTCTAGAATATACAAAGAACTAACTCCTACAACTCATTAATAACATGAAAAACAACTTCTCCACCAAAGAAATGGAAAAATGACTTGAACAGACACTTCACAAAATAAGATATGTGAATTGCACATATATGCGTGAAACAGTAATCAATATCCTTTGCCATCATTGAAATTCAAATTAATGAGATATCATTATAGTGTTATTAGAAGTTAAACAGAAAAGACAACATTAAATCCTGGTGAAGATATGGAACAATCAGAGTCCTATTTCCAATGGGAAGGTAAAACAGTAAAATCTCTTTGGAAATCTAGTACTTTCTTAAAATGTTAGAAGTACATCTACCCTAAGAACCAACACTTCTACTCTTGCATATGTATCTAGACAAATGAAAAAATACAACCGCAAAAAGCTTTGTATAGGAATATTTTTAGCAGCTTCTGTTTCTGTTATAATAACCCCAAACTGGAAACAGCCTGATTTCCTTAAATAGAACTGAAAATTCTGTGGCATATTCATACAATGGAATACTACTCAGCAATAAAAATGAACAAATTAAAAACATGAGCAATTACAAATATGAGCAATTACATGGATAAGTCTCACAAACATTTTGCTGAGTGAACAAAAGCCTCATATAAAAGAGTTCATACTATGATTCTATCTACAGAAAGATCTAGAATAGGCAAAACTACACTATGATGATAAGAATTAGACCAGTGAGGCTGGGCGCGGTGGCTCACGCCTGTAATCCCAGCACTTTGGGAGGCTGAGGCGGGCGCATCACGAGGTCAGGAGATCGAGACCATCCTGGCTAACATGGTGAAACCCCGTCTCTACTAAAAATACAAAAAATTAGCCGGGCCTACGCCCGGCGGGCGCCTGTAGTCCCAGCTACTCCAGAGGCTGAGGCAGGAGAATGGCGTGAACCCGGGAGGCGGAGCTTGCAGTGAGCCGAGATTGCGCCACTGCACTCCAGCCTGGGCGACAGAGACAGACTCCGTCTCAAAAAAAAAAAAAAAAAAAAAAAAAAGAATTAGACCAGTGATTGTTTCTGGATGCTGGAGATTAACTGGGAAGGATTATGAGAGAACTGATGGAAATATTTCATTGCTTGATAGTGGTACAAGTTAATGATTATGTGCATTTGTCAACACTCATGAAACCGTACACTTAAGATCAGCACATTTTTTGATATGTAAATTGGACTTCAGTTTAAAAAATTTGTTTGCCTTGTATGATGATCAGTTGGCATTCAACAAAAAAAGTGAGTAAAAACTAATTATAAGAGTGTACATTAGCCTGAAACTTATTGGCTCAAAGAAAATCAATTAGGCTTCTTAGCTTTTTTTTTTTTTTGCATTTACACACCCACTTACATTCAGTTTTTTAAATTAACCATTTAAAATATACATATAATATAAACATATTAAAATAATTCTCAGAAATAGGTTCAAAAAGATTAGAACAAATGATTCCAAGTAGGGTTGAAGTTAAAATGCAGATACTCCAGTCATAGAGATCTAAACAATTATTAAATTTGAGTTTTAAATTTGGTTTTGAAATTCTTGCTCACCCAAATAAAAAGAGAAGAAGCACAGTAAATTATATAACCCTCAATATTTAGCTTTAAAATGTCTAGTTTCACAGAGGGATAAAAGCTTTTTCTAGCGCTTAATCTTGTAAAATGAAGGAAAAAGGACAAGAAGATGAAGACTCCTGTGGCTTGTAAGATACTTATCACTAAGTTTATGTAGACTTGCTGTAAAATTATGAGACAGGTGAACACAGTAATTTCCCAATAGGGAAAGATAAAAAGCAAATACAACTTGACCGGAGAAAGAAAAGGGAGGTGAAACGAGTTTCAGGAATGCACTGTGAATGTGCAGGAACTCCACCACTTTCAGATTCTGCTTGCCCAAGAACACAGCCAGTCAGGTGTCTTTTTGATTCAGGCCAGGCGTGGTGGCTCACCCCTGTAATCCCAGCACTTTGGGAGTCAGAGGCGGGTGGATCACCTGAGGTCAGGAGTTTGAGACCAGCCTGGCCAACATAGTGAAACGTCGTCTCTACTAAAAATACAAAAATCAGCCAGGTGTGGTGGTAGGCGCCTGTAATCCCAGCTACTCGGGAGGCTGAGGCAGGAGAATCGCTTGAACCCGGGACATTGCAGTGAGCTGAGATCGCGCCATTGCATTCCAACCTGGGTGACAAGAGCAAGACGTCGTCTCAAAAAAGATTACTTTTGGTTCAAATTTTATATTTATAGGAGCAACACTTTTTCCTGAGTCATATGGAATATGCACATATACATATTCTATCTAATTAAATGTATATATACATATTTACATATGTACGTGTATATGTACATATTCTATATAATTAAAAATTACATATAATTAAATGTATTAAATTTAATTTAATATTTAATGTATTTAATATTTAATACAGCTAATACTTAACGTATTTAATATTTAGTAATTTACTTTTAAATTACATGTATTACATATTGCATGAATTGTATTACCTATTGCATAAATTATATTACATATAATTAAATATACATATAATTATAGTGCAAATAAATATATTACATACTATTACATACATTTAAATTACATATAATTAATATAATGTATATAATTAATAATTATAAATAATAAATCACATATAGTTTATATAATACATATATTGCCCATGAATATATTGCATGTAATATATTACATATAATTAAAAGTCAAACAATGCAGAAGGTAGGAGGGGTTAGGGTGTTGGGTCAGGAGTCAAAGGCTCGTAGTTTAAAAACAAAATCACCAAATGATTTACATATGCATGTCCACTAAATATCCAGTGAACTACACTAGTGATTTGCAAAATTTGGTATATTTCATTCCTCTGGAGCTTCTTTACATTCAGATTATGTAATGGCCCAGAAATGGGAGGCCCCCAAATCTACAAACTTAGTGAACACTCCAGGTGATTGTGATGAAAGTGGCACTGAGGCCACGCTTAGAACAAGAACAACTTAGAGAGTCACAAGGTCAAGTGCTGCGGGGGAGAGGCAGGTCACGCCAATGAGTGAAGCAGGTCTCACAGGACACTTGACAGTTGGGGTGGGCGGCAGAGGAAATGTGATCTGGAGTCCATGTGCCTCGCTCAAAGAGGGCAGGCACTAGGCACTACTAGCTGAATGCAGGGCATGTAGGTTCTGTGTGCTGGAATTTCTGAGTTTTGAAGAGACACTTAAATCCGAACTTTTCTGCAAAATATCCTGACTTTTTTAAAAATGTGGGCCCTAATATATGTAAGGCAAAACAAAGCATGTGAGTGTGGCCAAAACACAGCCTTCTACCAAATACGGACTATGGCCATCACTTTGCAAACTCAGCTCTTGACATTGGTAGGGTTTCCTAAAGTCTGGCTGGATCACAGTCAATAAGATTTTCCATTCTGGTAACAGGAGAATTACTACTGTATTGTACTTCATGAAGAAGAGCCAAACCATTTGATGCCTGATCCTTCAGTGGCATGTCTGATTTTTTTTAATATATACAAATTATGATCCTCACTAACTTCCAACCCAGAAGATTACCAACCTCTACATGGGGATGGGTAGCTTGGATGCCAATAGGCAGGGCCAATTTTTCAAAAGAATAGGAAAAGAAAAAAAAATGTGCTTAAACATGTAAACAAGGACTTGGTGAGGACCCAAGCCTTCTATTGTGCAGGATTTGAAAGAGAGGATTTGACTGGGACAAATTTCAGGACAATGAAGGTATTTTATTCAGCCAACTAGTCCTTGAAGAAAGTTCAGTATGAATCCATGGAATGCCTGACTGGGTAAACTGTCTCCTGCTGAGCCTCATTTGCATGATTAGTGGTAAAAATGTAATCTTACTACTTTCTCCAATGTTGACAGGAATATTTCGATGTAAACTTTTAGAAAGCATTCATAGCTTAGGCTTACTCTACAAATGTTAGGTGAACATGGGACAAAAAATTATATTTCACAATAAAATAAAACAAGATATGTTAATTACCACAACGAAATGCTTGTATGTAAAACTCACTCTCCAAAAACGGGTTATAAATTCTATCAACAATGGCTAAAACCAAAAAATAAAGGCCGATTGGATCAAAAGTTAATCTTGAAAATAAAATGTAAAATTAAAAGGGAAAGAAAGTCAAAACATTAAAGCTTATTTTTGTTGTTTTTTCTTAATATGAACTAACAGTTTTGCAGGTATTAGTTCCTTAAAGTTGTCTTCCAAGCAGTCTATATGATTTGAAGAAATATAGACGTGATTGATCAATTTAAAAGTTACTTTCTCCTTATAGCAAGTGCCAATAATCTATAATTATATTATTTTTTCTTCCTATCCAGTATCTAGTATTTCTGTTTCGCTTGATGTGGCAATGGAAGTAGAAATTATACTTTTGGCTGGTGGCATCATTTAACCTGAAAGCCCAACCATAGAGAACATTCATGTGGTGGTCAGTATAAATTTGAGGATCTTGGAGAAAAGTGACAATATGAGGATTTTAGACATTTAGAGAAGACTGAATCATGTAAAGGAGATTTCAAGTTGGAGATCTCATTCGTTTTATATGACAGCGGTCTTTGACCAGGTTAAAACAAAAACACTTTTGCTCTTTTCTAAGATCAATCTCCATGAAGACATATTTACCCTTTCACAAGAAATAACCTCATATTTGCACCCTCATTGTCTTATAAAGATACAAATAAATATGCATATTTACAGTTTTACCTATTTACAAAGGGATTTCAAACTGAAATGTTGCTTCTGTTCTTTGAAAAACCATTATATAAGCCTGGACAATCAGATACAGCTTGCCTACCTCAGAATTCCATATACAAGAGACTCCCCATAACACTGAGACAATAACATAGTTAGTTGTTTTGGTCTGTAATATACTCTTATGGGAATTTCCTTGATATTTATGCTCCACTTTATAAAATTTATGGAAGATAGGGCAAGAGAAATTGAGAGGAAATGCAACACACTGGTACAATTAGGTATTTTTTCTTTTTAATTTTTTCTCCTTATGTCCTCATGGACCTAACTAAATGTCACCTTTATTGCCTGACTTTGAATCTGCTAATGTTTATTACTAATATTGCAAAATATTATTATATTATTAGTATTAAAAATATCCTGTACTCTAGGCTTTCAATGATGTAAAGTCATCTTTACTACATGTCAATAGTACAAGAGAAAATAGTTTAAGCAGGTTATAAATTCATTTACAGAATAGGATAAAAGACTGTTTGATAACTTATACAGAAAAAATTGTTGAGGTCTTAGTATACTGTGGGAAAGATCGGCAATACTCACCAGACATTCTGTGTGGTCCCCTATGCTTCCCTTTTACCCTCTCACTTAAGTTGTAGCAATAAACTACTTTCAACCAGAACATATGTCACTCTGGGGTTAAGGCAGTTGAGAATCAGCGTATATCCACCATACTCTTTTTCCCTTGGATACCATCTGCTCCTGGCATCAGAGCTGAGGCGGAGGTGGGAGACTTTATTACGTTAAGGCACTGACACTTCAGAGTATATGCATTACTTAAACAATTCAATTTTCATTAACATGTGAACAATATAAACCAAGGAAGATACAGAGAATAAAATGATATATAAGACCAGCAGCAGAAAATGAAGGGAATAATACACAAGCTGTCATCTATGAAAGACTTAGGGTCAAAAATCAAAGAAGTCAAAATTTACCACCAGTTCTATTATGTAAGCATGCTAGGAGGTCAGGACCTAACTGGTGGAAAAAAGGAAGTGAAGAGTAGGATGATAAATAGAAGAATCGAATAAATTTTCTGGAAATTGCCTGCAATGATGGCACTTTTCACCAGAGTGGCTTTAGGGTTATGAAAGTGAGTTGGGCTCCTTTTGAGACACAAGCTTAAAAAAATTCAATCATGAGCTGAAGAAGAGGACTAGGAGATTATTCTGCTATGGAAGCCAGAAAACATGCGCAAATACATAGGAAGTGGACCGCTGGGAGGACATAAAAGACTTAGCTAAGTTTGAAGTTTGACTAAAATGAACATACCAGAGACATAGAGCATCCAACAAACTGTACATATAACAGAATATATAGAAGCACAGACTCTGGTGCCACTTTAACCAGGTTCGAATCCCAGCTCCCTTATGAACCCTCTGTGTGAGCTTGGATACGTTTAATCTCTAGCCTTATGTTCATCATCTATAAAATGATATTTCCAACAGTACCTGCATTACAAGGCTGTTATGGGGACTAAAAGAATTAATTTGCATGAAGCACTAGCACAGTGCCTGGCACACATCAAGTGCCAAGCACGCATTCGCTATTATATTCCTATCAATCTTGATAAAATTACTTTTAAAAAGCCACAAAATTCAGCAGAATACAAATTCTGAACATCAAGTTTTATGACAGTCTACACAAGTATAGCATTAAAACTTAAGAACAATTTACTCTGCTTAAGTCATGATTTAGTGTTTTCAGTTGAATGAAGTACTTTCTTAAGTACTGAGGCCCCAGAAATTTAATGTTCTTCATTAAGTTCACAAATGACTACTTACAGAAGTCTTTATTTTTTTAAAGGGAGAGAAAGAGGAATGTCTAATTCATTCTGATTTCATGACTTAAATATCTTAAGATCAAAATTTAAATCATTGTACTACAGTAGCAATTACTTGGAATAAAATATTACTTAGGTTTGGAAGCTATTACTCAACTTTAGCTCAGTGGTATTAGATATTTTTATTCCAAATATGGAAAATGTAAGACAGTGATAGATGATTATCTGATCTGATTTCCATGTTGAATTTATAAGATAATTTGACAACAATGAGATCAACATGAATAAAGCATACATCAAAATAAGGAAGTCCGCAATATGTATTCCATTTTTCATGCACATCAAATTATCCTTGACATAAGAAACTTGAGTTTGTTATTTTTCCCTTCTACTATGGTGATTATTCTATTTTAGCATTGTTCATCTTAAAAATCATAACTAGATACTTTAGGAAGCTAAGGGAGGTGGGGGTAAGCATTCCCTCAATTGTTACAGATTTTATTTATCTTTCCATTAATTAATGATAAGGATGTTTAAGCTCCCAGTTAACAACGACTAGAAACTGCAGTATCTTATTTAGAAGATGTATCATTCAAATTACAAATTGATATAATGAATTCTAATGAATACTTTCCTCCTACATTGAAGCTTAATCCCTATTCAAAGTGGATTAGTTAGTATTTAAATTTATCATAGGATCAAGGGTGATTAGCAGCCTATTATAAAAAAAGAATCCCATGAAATTTATGGATCTTTATCACATGCAACACTGAGGGTGAGCTATTTGAAAAGTTCTGGGGATGGTCCATTCTACTAAAAATCTTGCAAATGGTGCCTTTTCCTGAGGTGTTCTGCAGTAAATGCAACCCGGAAAGAATGAGGTCCACTTGTACAAAAAAATTGTTCTCTAAGAAATGAAGCAGCTGCATGCTAATGGTTTGCTAAGTTCTTATTATCTGCATTCCCATTGACTGTTCAGCCTCACAATGTGTGACTCTAAGTCCCCTTTGCTTGAAAGATTCTCTAAGGAGCTTTTGAAAACGTTAAAGCTCCTGAAAGACAGCGAAGTTAGAAGTTTGACTAAAATGAATGTACCAGAGATATGGCTTAGTAAAGGAAATTGTCATTTTCCTGTGATTGTGTTTATGCCTTCTCGGGATACATGTAGGAGTGAATCAGATTTGAGGGTACATATTGCAAACTCAGAAATATCAGAATAATCACAGTTATAATAACATCCAAATGTCGTACTTGTTTAGAATTACATTCTGTTTTGGGGAATGTAAGCGATAAAAATATTGAGGTAGATCAGAAGTGGTTTTCAGTGTCTCGTAAAAAGTCAAAGGTGCCCTGTATAACATCTTTTGTTTCCCTTAATAAACAGAGATAGAAATATCTTTCCCTGAACTCACAGAAACCCCACACTGTGGTACCTTTAAGTTCAAATAATTTACTAGTTTTTAAAACTAGATCCATCTTTTCTAGAGAAACACAAAATATTAATAAGTGTATTTTTAGTAAGTTTGATTGGTATTATTACATGGTAGAAATTCTTTCTCATGATCTTACCCATTTTGTTTGCTTTAGATGGCTGTTTACGTCTTTTAAATTAGAAAAGCTTTACTCTTCAGGTTGTCAAAACACCTATCTTCCTCTTTGAAACTGAATTTCCTGATTTGAGCTGAAAATTATTCCTCTTTCTAGACAAATAGGTCTTACATTTCTTTCTAATACATTGGTTGTTGTAAAAATTTTTACTTATGGTGTTACACATATTTTTATTATGAGAACCCAAATATAAGCTTTCTTTTTTCCAATTATTCTTACTATTATTGTACCATTTTTATGGGAAAATGTCACAATATAATGGACGGCCTAGAATTTTTATTTTGCGCACATTTTTTAAATGTGATTGCATGTATAGTGTAAGACCTACTCAGTATATACGTTTTTCAACTTACTTTTTCAAAGTCAAATGAATACATCCTTGCTTAAGATATTAATGAATTGAGACTAAACCTAACTTCTCCTTATGTATGTTCTCCATGAGTTTATAAACATTACCTCCATCTCCTCTTAGCATTTATTCTGCAACTGCTGGGCCACCCACGAATACTATGGAGTTTTTTAACATTGGCACTATTGACATTTTAGACCATGTATTTTAGAGGGGTGTCCTGTGACTTGTGGAATATTTAGCAGCAGTCCTGGCTTCTACCCACTAGATGCCAGTAGCACCTTTCCAGTTTTGATGATCAAAAACATCATCAGACATTGCCAAATGTCACTCAGGGGGTGTCTTAGTCTATATTGTGCTGCTATAGCAGAATACCTGAGGCTGGTTAATTTATGAAGGACAGAAATTGTTTGTCTCATAGTTCTTGAGGCTAAGGAGTTCAAGATCAAAAAGTCAAATATGACGAGGTTCTTCTTGCTCTAACATGTCAAGAGAGAAGGGAGCCAAACTCATCCATTATAAGAACTCCAAACTCTCCACACTGAACCCACTCCTACAATAACAGCATTAATTCATTCATGGCGGCAGAGTTCTCATGACATATTCACCTCTTAAAAGTCCCACTTCTCCACACTGTTGTATTAGGGATTAAGTTTCCAACACAGATACTATGGGAAAGACATTCAAACCATAGCTGGAAACAAAATAACCCCCAGTTGAAAGTCACTAGTATAGCAGTCCAATTACAAAATTGTTTTATGTGTATTATCAAGTGTGATTCAAACATCTTCCACTTAATACAACAGTGCAAAGATTAGTATTCCATTTTGAAGATGGACAACTAAAGCTAGTAGAAAGCAATAGCATACTCCACCCAGCAATAACAGAGTCTGCTTTGTTCTCAAGAGCACATGGAACATTCTCCAAGATAGACCATATGCTAGGCTATAAAATGAACCTTAATGAATTCAAAAGAATAATATAAACAAAGTATGTACTCTGACCACAATGGAATGAAATTAGAAACCAATAGCAGTAAAAACATTGGAAGACTAACAAATGTGTGGAAGTTAAACAATGCACATAAATATCCAATGGGTCAAGAAAAAAATCAAGAGGAAAATAAAATATTTTGAGTAAATAAAAATAAAAGCACAGCATATCAAAAATTATGAGATCCAGGTAAAGCAGTGCTTAAAGGAAAATGTCTGGCTATAAATGCCTATTTTAAGAAAGAAGAATGATCTCAAATAAAAAACTTACACCAAGACAAGAAAAAGAAGAGTAAATCATACCTAAAGCAAGAAATTTTAAAGGGACATAATAAAGATAAAAGTAGAAGAATGAAATAAAGAAGAGACAAAAAATTGAGAAATCCAATAAAACCAAAGTTTGGTTGTTTGAAAAGATCAGCAAAATTGAGTGACTTTTAGCTAGATTCACACACACACACACACACATGCACACACACACAGAAAGAGAGAGAGAGAGAGAGAACAGACTCAAATTACAAGAATCAGAAATGAAAAGGAGATATTACTACTGACTTTATAGAAATAAAATGGATTATAAAGGAATATATGAATAATTCTATGCCAGCTAATTAGATAACAGATGAAATGGACAAATTCTTAGAAAGATGAAAATCACTAAAACGAGCTCAAGAAGAAATAGACAATCTGAATGGACTTATAGCAAGTGAAGAGCCTGAATTGGTAATCAAAAACAACCCACAAAGAAAAGCCCTGGCCAAGATGGTAAATTCCATTTACCATTTATTTGGTATTACCATTTTACTTGGTATTACCCTTTCACTTGGTATTATTGGTAAATGTTATTAACATTTATTTGGTATTACCATTTTGGGATGGTAAATTCCAAAAAAAAAAAAAAAAATTCTTGAAGAAGAAGTAATGCTAATTATGTACCAACTCTTCCAAAAAATAGAAGAGGAGAAGACACTTCTTAATTCATTTTACAAACCCCGTATGACTCTGATAGCAAAACCAAATTACAAGAAAGGAAAACTATAGACCAAGAATTCTTAGAATAGGGATGCAAAAATCCGAATAAAATACTAGCAAACTAGATCTGGCATATAAAGAGAATTGTAAACCATGACCAAGTGGAATTTATTCCCTCAATGCAAGGTTGATTTAATATCAAAAAATAAGTTAATGCAGTGTATAGCATACCTGTTAGAATAGAGAAGAAAAATAAAATGATTACCTCATAGATGCAGAAAAAGCACTTGATTAAAAACACTAGCACCTTTTCATGATAAAAACACTCAGCAAACTAAGAAGAGAACATCCTCAGCTGATAAAGGGCATTTACCAAAAACCTCACAGGAAAAACATTTAATGGTGAAAGACTGGAGGTTTCCCATAAGATCAGGAATAAAACACAGACGTTCACTGTCATCACTTCTATTCAATATTGTTTTGGAGGTTTTAGCCAAAGTAATTAAGCAAGAAAATGAAATGAAAATGAAATGTTCATTCACTCGACATCATGGAACCCAATGTTCCGTAAACATTGGAAAGGAAGAAGTAAAACTCTCTCTATTCTCAGAAGATATAATCTTATTGATAAAAAACCTTAGGGTATCTACTAAAAGAAAGAAAAACCAAAAAAGAGTTTAGAGTGTTTACAGGATACCAGAAGAAAATTACAACAAAAAATTATATTTTTGTTGTAATTTTTACTTACAGTAAAAATTTCTGAACATGAAGAGAAAGTTTCATTGACAATAGCATCGAAATGGATGAAATACATAAAAATAAAATTAACAAAATACATACAGAACTTATACTCTGAAAACTACAAAATATTGTTAAAATAAAATAAATTAAAGAAGATGTAAATAAATGGAAAATCATTACATATTCATGGATGGGAAGAGTTGACAGTGTTAGGATGTTAATACTCCCCAGACTGATCTATAAATTAGATGTAATCCTATCTGAATTTCAGCTGACTCATAGAAATTGGCAAGCTGATTCAAAAATTCACATGGAATTGCGAGGGACCCCAAGTCCAAAAACAATCTTGAAAAGGGAGAACAAAGTAAGAACACTCACACATCACAGTTTCAAAATTTAGTATAAAGCAGTGATAATCAAGATAGCATATATTGGCAAAAGGATAGACATACAGACCAACAGAATAGAGTTGAGTCCAGAAACAAACCCTTCCATCTATTAATTTCAACAAATGGTTCTGAAATAATTAGATAACCACATGCAAAAGACTGAAGATGGACTTTTAACCTATACCATTACTAAAATTATCTCAAAAGGTATCAAACACCTAAACAAAAGAGCTAAAGCTATAGAATTCTCAGAGGAAAATACAAGAGTAAATCTTCATGATTTTGAATTTGGCAAAGAGTTCTCAGATATCACACAAAAAGCATAAGCATCAAAAGAAAAAACAGATAAATTGAACTTCATCTGATTAATAGCTTCTATGCTTAAAGGATAGCATCAAGAACATGGAAAATACAGAATGGGGGAAAACTGTAAATCATATATGTGATAAAGAACGTGTATTTAGAATATATAAAGAATTCCTACAACTCAATAATAAAAAATAAATAAACCAATTAACAAGTGGGAGGAGGATGTGAATAGAAATTTCTCCAGGGAAGATATAAAAATGGTCAATAAGCACAAAAAAGGATACTCATCACCATTAGTTGTCAGAAAAAAATGCAAAGCAAAAACACAAGGAAATACCATTACATACACACTATGGTGACTAAATCAAAAAGTCAAATAATGACTAGTGTTGATGAGGATGTAGAAAAATCAGAACTCTCATACACTGCTAGTAGGAACGCAAAATGGTGCTGCCACTTTGGAAAACAGTCTGGCAGTTCCCCAGATAATTAAACATAGAGTTGCCATATGACCCATTATATTCCACTCCCAAAGAAATGAAAATATATATCCACACAAAAACTTATGCACAAATGTTTATAGCAACATTATTAATAATAGCCAAAAGGCAAAACCAATCCAAATATCCATTATCTGATGAATGGATAAATGAAATGTTCATACAATAGAATATTAATTGGCCGTAAGAAAGACTGAAGTACTGTTACATGCTACAACTTGAATCGACCTTAAAAAATACATATTTAAGTGAAAGAAGGCAGTTGCAAAAGACCACTTATTATATGATTCATTCATATGAAAGTCCAAAATAGGAAAATCTATAGATACAGAAAGTAGAGTAGAAAGTCCAAAATAGGGAAATCTATAGATACAAAAAGTAAATTAGTGGTTGCTTAGGGCTGGCAGGGATGGGAGATGAGGAGTGATGGATAGGGATTCTTTTCAAAGTGATAAAAAATCTTCTAAAGTTGACTGTGGTGATTGTTGCATATATCTGTGAATATACTAAAAGCAACACCTTGAATGGGTCACTAGAATAGTAAATGAACTATATCTCAATAAAGTTGTTAAGATAATGGAGTGTTTCTTTTTTTTTCTTGAATGTCTTTGGTTTTGGATTTTTAAAAATAGAGTGTCTCCTGTTTTTCCTCTAATAATGTTACTGAATATGCTCAGTAATCTGCTTACCCTTAAAACCAAAAGAAATTCATAGAATTGTTTACAATGTTTTCACGCTGTTCTTTACCTGAAATGGTTAGCTATAAGCTCATTAATTTTTTTTTTTAGACGATTCTCACTCTGTCACCCAGGCTGGAGTGCAGTGGCACCATCTTAGTTCATTGTAACATCTGCCTCATGGGTTAAAGCAATTCTCCTGACTCAGCTTCCCGAGTAGCTGGGATTACAGGTGTGTGCCACCATGCCTGACTAATTTTTGTATTTTAGTAGAGATGGGGTTTCACCATGTTGGCCAGGCTTGTCTTTAACTCCTGACCTCAAGTGAGCAACCTGCCTCTGCCTCCCAAAGTGCTGGGATTACAGGTGTGGCCCCCATGTCCAGACTAAGCTTACTAATATTTATTCTACTTTTCCCCAGAGTAAAACATGTTTACTGGTTTTCTCCCATTTGTTCAACAACTTTGCATCAGTGACTGTGCTAGGTGTTGGGAATATAATTATAAGACACAAGATAATTTCCCTCAAGATTTCATTTTAGCAAAATGAAGGATGGGTGAGATTTATACAGGTAAAAGGATCACTGAACAGGGATTGGGGCTGCAGAGAAAGTTTCAAACACAGCAAGCAGTAGGTGCAAAGTTTCTGGGGCAAGAGAAAGAAAACATGTAAGAAAGACTTAAAGTGGGTTTATACGCTGAGATACAGTGTTTAGGATGGTAATCATATTTATCAATGAGATTAGAGAAGCTTATCAAGAGCAAGCATGTTATATGCTAATGAGGAGTCAGGTAGGATAAAGACTGAAAAGTGTCCATTGGGTTTGGCAACAAAATAAATGTTGGTGGCCTTGATAAGAGAAATTCTAGTTGATTTTTGTGATGGTTAATTTTATGTGTCAACTTGGCTGGGCCACAGGGTGCCCAGATATTTGTTCAAACATTATGGGTGTGTCTGTGAGGGTGTTTCTGATGAGATTAACATTTGAATTGGTAGGCTGATTAAATCAGATTGACTTTACTAATGTGGATGGGCCTCATCTAATCTGTTGGAGGCCTAAATAAAACAAAAAGTCTGAATAAAAGAAAATTCATTTTTCCTGACTGCCTTGAGCTGGGATGTCAGTGGCCATTTTCCCCCTTCCTTCAGATGTGAACTGAGATACTGGCTCTTTCAGGGTCTGGAGCCTCCTGGCTTTCAGAATGGAACCACATCATTGGCTCTCCTGATTCTCAGACTTTTGAACTGGGACTGGAACTACACCATTGGATTTTCTGGCTTATCAGATCGCAGATCTTAGGACTTCTCAACCTCCATAATCAGGTGAGCCAATTCCTTGTAATAAATCTCTTTATATGTGTAGATACGTATATTAGATAGAGAGATAGATGATAGATAGATAGATAGATAGATAGATAGCTACTACTGGTTCTGTTTCTGTGGAGAAGCTTGAGTGATAAAACTGTTAAAAAGTAAAAGCTTTATTTCACAGATTATAGAATTAATAGGAAGTAAAACAGTAAATTCAATGCCTGTATTGCTGCTATAACAAATTGCCACAAACAGTGACTTAATACAACACATATTTATCATCTTACAGTTCTGGAGGTCAGAAGTTGGCAAGGAGTCTACCTGGGCTAAATTCAGGGTGTTAGTAAAGCTGTGTTTCTTTCTGGAAGCTGTAAGGGAGAATCATTTTCTTGCCTTCTCCAGCTTCTTGAAGTTGCCTGCATTCCTTGGCTCATGGTGCTCTTCTGTCATCAAAACCAGCAGTAGTTGTGAAGTCTTGGTCATCACATCACTCTGACCCTGACTTTTCTTCCTCCCTCTTCTGAGTTTAAGAAACCCTTGTGATTACATTGGGCCACCTGGATAACACAGGATAATTGCCTTATCTTAAAGTCAGCTGATTTGCAACTTCAATTTCATCTACAACCTTAATGTAAAATAATATATTACCCATTTTGGGGATTAGGACACAGATATCTTTAGAGAACGATTATCCTGCCTACCATAGTGAGCAAGTGTAAAACAAGTCTTTCAAGGAGACTGTTTCTGAGTGGGGAAAGAAGATAGAGTAGCAGATAAAACAGCAATGGGCTCAATGGAGTGATTTATTTTCAAAGACAAGGAAGATTTAGGTGCATTTTATGGGAGAGAAAAAAATAATCAAAAGCAGTGAGCTTTCTGAGGAAGGGTCACAAGAGGCAGGGAGGAGCAGAAGATATCCTGAACAGAGGTGGAAATAATACCTTCAGAGGAGAGAGAAGGAGAAATAGGAAGCATGAGTGTACAGATTGCTATAGGCTTGGTGGCAAGAAACTTAAGTTCACTTCTTGCGGCTTCTCTGTTATAGGAGAGAAAATCATCTGCTATAAAAGAGGGGCAGGTGATAAGATTGGATGTTTTAGGAGAATGAAGGCTATGGGTGTATGGGAATCTGTATTAACTATGGACACAGGGAGGATGATCTAATAATGTGTAGGTCCCACTTGACAATGGAATCCAGGGATGTCCTGTAGCACTAACCTAGGTAGTTTTATTATTTTCACAGGCAATACAAGGCATCTCTGGAGGAATAAAAAGAATATATCCATTTGGATTAATTGAGAGGTTCACTTACATACACCTGGGAGATGCTCCTAGTGTTTAAACCTGTAAAATATTGCAATTGTTTAAAGAATTCAAAACTGCATTCCAATGCACACTCTGCCTGGGAACAAAAGCACTCTCTTACCAGGTTATATCAAAAGATTAAAGGGACATAAAGCTCATAGTCATTATGTTTCCTAAAGGCAGGAACTATGGAAAAACATTTGACGTAAGTTGAACCTATGATCAAAAGTGAATTGTGGGTGCCTTTAAACCAATTTACCTCCACTAAGAAAATGCAACAACATAGTCCTACTCACAATAGTAGATACTTTTAGAAAGTAGGAATCTAAAAAAAAGAAAGCATTTTTAAATAAGATTAACAAACTTGTCTCATTCTACATATTATTAGGTTTGCTGCAATATATTGAAAGAAACCTCAAGCACACCATAAAAAACTCTTGCAGCAGATTCTGTAGGTGACGCATCTATATCCACACAGCCCCACCACTTCAGTGGATACCAGTCTTCCAACTCCCCAATACCAGCTCCTGAATTCCTCCTGAATTTCTTTTCCAGAAGAGCTTTCTCCAGATGCTGAAGCCCTCTTTGCTACATGCTCAGGAGGCAAGAAGTGATACCAACCTCCAGCATCCTTCAAACAATGACTGATGTGGGTTGGTGTTCAAACATCCCACAAACTCCATTCACTTTCTTTCCTTCATGTCTTCCCTCTTCTCTACCAGCACTTCTTGCACTTTCTGAGTAAGCTATTTGGACTTTATCTAGAGGTTTGCTTTTGAAGGAAGACAGTTATGCTTTACAAGACAACTTAAAATATTGCTTAGCTAAACACAAAGCAAAACAAGCAAACAAACAACAACAATCTTCTAAGGCTAATAAAATGCTAAAAATTATACAATCATCTTTGGCCGTTTTGCCAATGTAGTATTCTGGGAGTCATGTGGGATGTCCAGGTAAGTCATGCTAAAGAAGCAACACAAGAATGGTCTAGATCGCTGCCTAAGATCTCTGCCACACTGTAGAGTGGAACGAACTACAAGGAGCAAGCGAGAAACCAGGAAACAGGGCATCACTGTGGTTTCTTCCTAAGGTTCATTTTTCTGCACTGAAATAAAAGCAGCCCAAACAGCTCTAATGTTGATGGGCTTCAGGGGTTGCACATGCCCCTAGAATTATATGCAAAAATTGTGGGCTAGTAAATGTGTACATTTTAATGGGACTAACATTCGCAGTTTCTACAAAACATCTAGATTGTCTTGTGGCATAAAAAAAAAAAAGAAAAAATATATGAACTTATGATCCCATGAGCTAGGAGTTGGAGGAGATGCTTTTATCACGGATCAAAATGGTAAAAATGTTTAATATGTCCTTCTGTTCCTAGAGTTGCAGAAATAAAATACCATTCTATGTTAATGGCAGTCACAGCTATGGCCCCCAGAAAGGTGTTCTTAAGAAAATAGACACATGCCAGAAATATGAATAATGCACTAAAATGTTAATGTAGATCATTAAACCATTTTCTGCAGAGTGAAAGCTTCCTTCTGGCATCCCCTCTTAAATCACAGAAGCATAAATCATGGAGTCGAAAGAGCCCTTGGAAACTGTCCACTTGCCCCACACACACCCTCATTTCACCATCATTTAGACAGAAGCTCACCTTCACTATCTCTTCCACCCCTCCCATTCCCCCTACAAAGACTTCAAAGAATCAAGAAGTCATTGCCTTCTGTTTTTGCTTGTTTATTTCTTAAAAATCTAATTAATAGAAATCTCTTTCTTTTTTTAACATTTTTACCTTCATTTTTAATATAATTTGTTTACTTGTGGATTTACATCATTTAATTTTTTGCAATTTTAAAAAATTGTATTCTTTTTTTTTTTTTTTTTTTTTTTTTTTTTGAGATGGAGTCTTGCTCTGTCGCCCAGGCTGGAGTGCAGTGGCACGATCTCAGCTCACTGCAAGATCTGCCTCCCAAGTTCATGCCATTCTCCTGCCTCAGCCTCCCGAAAAATTTTATTCTTAATTGATAAATAATCATTGTATTATTTACGGAGTACAATGTGTGGGCTACATGTGTTTACATTGTGAAATGATTAAGCTAAAATATGCCTTTCTTTTTTTTTAGTGGTTCTGCTCTCTAGAACAATAGAAAATACATTGAAACTCACTTATTTAAGACTGTTAATTCTGATTCTTAAGTGTTACTTTCATGGTCTTCTTTCTTCCAAGATAAATACCCCAATTCCCTCAACCAAAGTTTCCATGGCACAGTTCCTAGGTTCATTGTGCCCCCTTCCTCCATAGGCTTTCATCTATCATTTTTAGGCAATATCAACAGATATCCAAAAGATAGGCAATGACAAATGCTGGTGAGGATGTGGAGAAAAGAAAACACCTGTACACTGTTGGTGGGAATGTAAATTAGTACAACTGCTATGAAAAACAGTTTTCAGCTTCCTCAAAAACTTAAAAATGGAGCTACCATATGATCCAGCAATCCCACTGCTGAGCATATACCTAAAAGAAAGAAAATCGGCATATCAAATAGATATCTACATTCCCATGTTTGTTGCAGCACTGCTCACGATAGCTAAGATTTGGAAGCAACCTCAATGTCCATCATCAGATGAATGGATAAAGAAAATGTGGTACATATACACAATGGAGTACTATTCAGCCATAAAAAAGAATGAGATCCTATCATTTGTAACATGGATGGAACTGGAGGTCATTATGTTAAGTTAAATAATCCAGGCACAGAAAGACAAACATTACATGTTCTCACTTATTTGTGGGATCTAAAAATCAAAACAATTGAACTCATGGACATAGAGAGTAGAAGGATGGTTACCTTCTACTACCTTCCCGGAATCTGGTTACTTCCGGGTAGTGGGGGTCTTGGGAGAGAGAAGATGGGGATGGTTAATGGATACAAAAAGATAGTCAGAAAGAATGAATAAGATCTGCTGTTTGATAGCACAAGAGGGGACTATAGTCAATAATAACTAAATTGTACATTTTAAAATAACTGAAAAGTGTAACTGGATTGTTTGTAACACAAAGGATAAATACTTGAGAGGATAGGTACCCCATTCTCTATGATGTGATTATTTCACATTGCATGCTTGTATCAAAACATCTCATGTATCCCATAAATGTATGTACCTACTATGTACCCACAGAAATTTCAAATTAAATTTTTTTGAAAAGATTGACAGATAAGCTGGAGTATAATATGACATTTATACTATGGATTCATTCACTGTACATCTAAGTAACACAGAAGAAGTCACCCGATTGCAAAGTGTACGGCAAACTGTTCTCGATCACAGGTTCTATCACCTAAGCCATGTTAGCTATAAACTCAATGTAATCAACTAGCTTGTGCTTTCTCCTCAATAAGATTTTGTAAGACTTAGAGAAACATGCACAATATGTTTAAGGAAGCAAATTTTGATTCATCAAGGAAGGTGAGAAGTCTGCTCTCTTGTAAGTTAACAAACTGACTCGTATATTATCTGGCAACTAAATACGACACGGAGCCAGATCACTTCAGGGTGCTAGACTTTGGTTTGTTGCTATATCCTAGTTAGAGGGAATCATCACAAAAATGTGAATGAGGCTGGTGGCCTGAACTGCATTAACAGGTTTCTACCGCATTCCTGAAATACAAAAGCATGGTGATATGGTTTAGCTGTGTCCCCACCCAAATCTCATCTTGAATTGTAGTTCCCATAATCCCCACATGTCCTGGGAGGGACCAGATGGAGACAATTGAATCATGGAGGTGGTTTCCCCCATACTGTTCTCGTGGTGGAAAATACATCCCACAAGATCTGATAGTTTTATAAGGGGAAACCCCTTTCGCTTGGCTCTCGTTCTGTCGTCTGCTGCCATGTAAGACATGCTTTTCACCTTCCACCATGACTGTGAGGCCTCCCCAGCCACGTGGAACTGTGAGTCCATTAAACCTATTTTTCTTTATAAATTACCTAGTCTCAGGTATGTCTTTATCAGCAGCAAAGAAACAGACTCACACACGGTATTGTAACTCTATTTGTCTGCCAAAAAGAAGTCAGAGCAAAAGGCAAAGTACTATGTTAAATTCTCATGAAACTTCTACTTAGCCTAATTAATGTGAGAAACCGGTCCGTCTCATTTGTTCAGATTCCTTTATGGGGGTTGGAGATGGGCCATTCATGGGAGATAGAGCCATGATAGAAGCCCTGAGGCCACTGAATGTCCACATGAAGGGAAGTCAGAAGATCAAGAGGAGATTCTTTTGTTTGTTTGGTGTTTTTTGTTTGTTTGTTTTAAGCAAAGAGAACTCTATAGAGTAGGACAATAGTCATACATTCACTGTAGAAAGGGTAAAGAAATGCACTTCAGGTGGATGCAGAACAAGTCAGCATAGAATGGGAATCAAGATTTCAAAGGCAGAGAAAGCATCAGAGCTCTGCTTCAATATGCATTTCTGGTTATAAAATTGTGGGTTGATTTAATAGTTGAAAAAATCCTCTGCATTGTCTTGTTACATGAAACTTAACCAACACCAAATCTTCACCGCACTCCAACAACTCACAAAAATAAAACACTTGCAGAGGTTCTTAATCTGAGACAGAATGTGGAGGGGCCAAATTCTTAGATGGGGAAGAATTTTCATTTTTATTTTTACTAACCTCTAACATGTATGATTTTCTTCAATTATCCCTGTGACAAGCAATAAATCACAGTTGTGTTAGGGGATCCCTGCACTTCACCAAGCTGCCACACAAGTCTATGACACACCAAAGGTTAAGCACAGCACATACGGTAAATTTCGGTGAGAAACCATGCCCCAGACCTTAGGCTAGATGCAGGTTTTAAAACAAATTACTATAGCACAGCTTTAAAAAGAGGAACTACAGAATTACTAATAATTCCAGCCAATGTTTAGTGGAGATATTTCTTCTGACATTCTAACCAAGTGATAATCATATTTAAGTGTTATTAAAGAATTAAATAATACCATAAAAGTATATAGCCCTGGAACTTGCTCTATCATCTGGCATCTAGCTACTTGACTGCTATAATCTAATTGTAAACAAAAACAAAACTGAATACAAAATTTCCCTAAAGTCTTTAAATATAAGGTTTTGTAAACCTTCTTCTGAGGAGTAAGCCTTAATACTTTCGAGTCTCTTTACTAAATACCTCAGTCACCATTCCTTTAATAATAGCATAAAGCATCATTTGTCCAGCTTTCCGAAATGAATGCTCTTTGTTGCTAGAGTTATATCTTGGGTTCCTCAGGGAGTGTGAAGCCTGGGCCACTTTACCTACAAGTTATTCTGAAAACCGTCTATTCTGAAAACCAAGTAATGGGGATCCCTAACCTATTTTAAGTATCTCAGAAAGAGCTAGTGTGTGTCTTCTATTTTCCCCTGAAAAGTTAGTAAAGTGTCAGAGTCCTTTGCTTTTGGCTGGAATTACATCAACTCCTTCATCAAATAATCACTTTAGCAGTTATGTTATGGCTGTATTTTTTTAATGATAAAATATATTAGTTAACAGTCAACATATGCAGATTTTTGTGAGGTTCATGAAAAATTTGAGTGATTAAATGGTTGAAAAGCAGCAGCCTATATAGAATTTCAGGAGTGCCAAGTAACACTAACACAATTTCACCTTCAAATTGCTACATTTTAACTAAAATTTAGCCATAGAAAAAAAAAAAGAAAATGTGGAAGGGGCAATGCATTTTTTTTAGGAAGAGGCAATACATTTTTTTACGAAAACAATGTCTGGATCAGAAATCTGAGAGCAGTTAGTGGGATAGAGGCAAGACAGAGCAGGGTTCTGGAAGGATCCTGGGACACTGGAGTGTGGATCAAGGTAGGAAGGAGAGAAGATACAGAGCAGAAATGTCAGGAGAGCAAAAGCCAGCTTTGATCACATGACAATGCTGCAGGGGGCCAATCCTGCATGTGGGGGTTAAAGTAATCATCTCGCTCCTGGTTGAGCAAGCAGGTTTCCTTTGCAGATGTATCATGTTAGTTTGCATAAATTACTTCAGCCTGATTACATAGTAACACCTTGGCCCCACAGCTGTCTTTGCTGCTGCTAGAAGCTGTTATGGATTATGCTGTCTTTTGACCAGGCAATAATAGAGCTCTCCTCAGCAACCCACAAGTGATTAATGAAATGAGAAGATAAAATGCCCCACCTGCTCCAGCCGCCTGAAAATGGAATTAATGAGACAGAGAGAGAGAAAGAGAGAGAGAGAAAGAGAGAGAGAGAGAGAGAAAGAGAAAGAGAAAGAGAAAGAGAAAGAGAGAGAAAGAGGAGTCCTGAAGCAGCTTTGGTATACTGTACCAGGTAGATTTGGCTTGGCTTCTAATGATCCTGTTTGTGAATGAGTTAGTGCCTTCTGAATTAGCGCACTAGCAGCAGCCAATTTACAAGAAGTTATATACTCCTCAGATAATTACCATGTACACCAAGAAATTTTTACCTGACTGTAGGACTGTATTCTTACAGGGGGGAAGGAAATCTTATCCTCATTACTCCACATTTAAGCAAAATAAATTGACTATAAAAATTAAAAAGAAGCATCACAGCTGTGAGAGTGCATTGAAGGGGGATTCTCTTGATGCAGATCATAGCCAAGGTATGTATCCTGGGCTACAGACATTCAAATTTAGGTTTTGTGACATTTCCAAAAAATGAAGCCAATGAACACCACTGGAGTCTGCTTACTGGTTCTGTGTCAATGGAGAAGTGCAGTCCAAAGAGGAAGAGTTTGTTTGTATTACATGGATAATAAGCATTTTCCTGAAAATGGTGATGCATAATTTATTGTGCAGCAGGTGATGGATAGGGGGAAGTTTGCTTTTTCCACATTACTTCTAACTCTGAGAGTTAAAAACACCTCTCCAATACAATGGCTCTATCTCAAGAAGAAGTTATGAATATTCAGTTATGGCATTATATGATTATGTTTAGTAGTGGGCAAAATCACTGCCATAAAACTTCTGTCTACTTTTTCTCTCACCTGTGTTGTGGGAGGGGCACACTCACCACTGCCACTACTGTGGCCAGCTGGGGTACAATAAAGATAAGGATAACACTAACAGTTGACTGGATGAAAAAATATATAGTATATATACACCATGGAATACTATGCAGCTGTAAAAAAGAATGAAATCATATCCTTGGCAGCAACATGGATGAAGCTAAGACCATTATCCTAGTGAAATAACTCAGAAACAGAAAATCAAATGCCACATGCTCTTACTTATAAGTGGGAACTAAGCAATAGGTACACATGGACATAAAGATGGAAATAATAGACACCAGGAGTTTCAAAAGCAGGGAGGGCAAAGGAAGAGCAAGGGTTGCAAAATTACCTGTGGGGTACAGTGTTCACTATTTGGGTAATGAGTATACTAGGAGCCAGATCCCCACCAGTACGTAATATACCCATGTAGTAAACAAGCACATGTACCTACAAATCTAAAACTTAAAAATAAATACATAAGTAAATAAATTAAAAGATAAAAGGAGAGCTTTTTCATGTGACTTCAGCCTAAGTTAGATGCTCTAGGCCAGCTCTGACACATGTCTGCTTTGAGATATTAAGAAGTACTCTGGATTATTTTTTAAATGAATCTGACCTGTTCCACATTTTATTTATTTGCTTACTAGAATGTAAGCTCGATAACAAAGCATTTCTGTCTCTTTTGTTCACTGCAATATCCCTAGCACTTTAGGACAGTGCCTGGCATGCTTGTTGATACTTGATGAAAAATTTTGAATGAATTATACTTTGATTTCTATTCACATTATACCTTAGATGTACAGTTGCCTTAAAAACATCACAGAAAACAGGCAGAAGTCCAGAAGAGGATTTAGATATATCTGGGTTACCTGACTTGCAATTACCTTGAGAAAACTAAAATCTAAATTTCTCCACTAATATTTATGTTTTGCCAAAATTGGTAAGATCGAAAATCAGTGATATGTTATGATGTTTAAGGGATACGGGAAATATGTAATATGAACTAAATGTGAACATTTTATTTTTGGTTCAATGTACTTTGACTCAGCCAATAAAAACTTAATAATACCTTAAATGGTGTGTCACAATCCAAGCTAAGATAGAGTATAAATACCTCCTTCCAGCCTAGTACCTTTTGGCAGAAATTCCACAAAGACCTTTCCCCTAACTGACTCCTATAAACTTAATACGGTCAGCTCATTTTCATGATTTTTAAGGGATATGTAGGATTTATGGGGACTAAAACACAAGTTTCCATTATAAAAGAGAAAATGGATGGATCTTCAACTGTGTTTTATTCCTAATGAGAATTCTATCCTTTACCAAAACTACTCAGGGGAAAAAATTCTTTCCTTTTATAAAATGTCACTTGTTTAAGTTGTAAACCAAATTCTTTTTATTGTAATCTAAAAATAAAATATTCAACACCATCAATTAGCAATTCTTTGTGGCCGTGTGTGTTGTGTTGTGTTTTAGAATGCATTGCCTTTGAAATGAGAAAATGGTCCTTCTAGTGATGTTTCTATTTGTCTGCTTAATTAAGCCAATTATAAACTAATTGTGCAATACAAAACACTTATATTTTAATTAGTTTCTCAGACAAAGAGGAGTCAATATTGCCCAATTTCACCAACAAAAAAGTCTAAAAATGTAGTCCAAGTTTCTATTTAAACATCTTCTAGGCTGGGCCCGGTGGCTCATGCCTGTAATCTTAGCACTTTGGGAGGCCGAACCGGGCAGATCATGAGGTCAAGAGATCAAGATCATCCTGGCCAACATGGTGAAACCCCATCTCTACTAAAAATACAAAAATTAACTGGGCGTGGTGGCATGCACCTGTAGTCCCAGCTACTCAGGAGGCCAAAGCAAGAGAATCACTTGAACCTGGGAGGTGGAGGTTGCAGTGAGCTGAGACTGCGCCACTGCATTCCAGCCTGGCAACAGAGCAAGACTCCAGCAAAAAAAAAAAAAAAAAGTCTTCTAGTAAAAAAGGAGAGAATTACTTTTTCTTTCTAGTACTAGTTCATAATATTTCTGAGATATGACACACTTCCCTAGGTATTCTACATTTTTGTTGTTGAATCAATGTAAAGTATTTCTTTCTTTCCGCTTTCCTTGTTCCTTCATGTATTTACCAATATTCAATCATACTTTAGCTTGATTTAGCCAAACTTTTGTATTGAAGGATTATATAAGATTTAGCATACAAAATTCACTGCTGGGTGTATTGTAGAGAAGGTATTGCAGGTATATCTCTCTCTATTATAGAATGTCTTCTTTGTGTAAGAACCCATAGCAGACACTGTTCGAGGTCCCAAAGACAGTTATACTTCCTTGAAGCAACTCACTTTAATATTTAGAACTAGGTGTCTTTTAATACCAATAACATCATTGCCCTGAATGCTGAGGAACTTAGAACTAAATTTTGGCTACATGAGTACAGGATCGTATAGTCTGCATTTAGTATTGACCCTAACTTTGTCTTCCACACAGTACTGTGGAGAAAAAGGAGAGTCAAAATTATAACTAGAATGAAAAATGCTGTTTAAAATAAGATAGTTCTCTAATCATGCCTAGTTGGTTATAATTTAGTAATTATAAAAGTCTCACCAACCAGAGCAAAATACAATGATCCTCAATGCCTGGTGTTCATAATAAACTTTAATTAGGAAAATAGAAATATATGAAAAAATGAGAACTAGATAAAATGTATTTTGATCATTTGAAAAACAGGACTAGTGATTGTCCAATTTTCTTATTGCTGTTATCTCCTATTTCCTATGACTTGGTACCTTTTAAAGTCTTCAGGCTCTCATTTTGCAAAAGCTCTCAAGAGAAAACACAAAAGCTATGATGTTCAATAGCTTTGGTTTGGTTTAATGAACCAAAGACAAGATTCAATAAATAATAGAGCTCAATGGGCCGAATTGTGTCTATACCTCCAGAGTCACTTCTCCATCCATTCTCTGCTCATTCTTTCTTCCTGTAACACCACTGAGTTTTCCAAAATTTGACCCTTTTCCATCATCCAAACTGCCATTGGATTGGAAGACTGGTTTTCACCACCCTAAAACTGACTACAAAGTATGAATCAGTCTTCCAAATGTTTCACCCTTTCCTCACAGCCCACAAAAGCAAGCACGCAGGCGAGCCCTTTTGTTTAAGCAATATAGTGTAGATACACAGACCCAGATAAAGTTACACAAATTATAATCATGGAGAGATCTTGCACAAGTTTTGTTTTTCATCTTTTATTTTCTATTTCTTTCTTTTTTAAATAGTACTGTGAAAACTGCACCATTAAAAAATAAAACTTGGGCAAAATACTAAAAGTTAAATCTTCTTAAATTGGTAGTTGACTCTACCAACAAGCTCTTGACTGTAATTAGCAAAAGTGTGCCAGGGAGAGTTGACTCTCTATGGTTGCCTGTCAATGGCCTTACTGCTCTTATTCCCATAAGATTAAATAAGGAGCTTTAATCAACTAAAGCAAGGGGAAGTTTTCATAAAGTCCTTCTCTCCTCATGTTAACAGAGGAACAGTACCCAACTTCTGCCCACCCCTAAGAGTTGTCAGGCCAAAGAAAATAATATACTTTTTTACTTTTCAGGGATCCTTTCTTCTATTCAATTTCTACTGCATGAGAAAGAGAAGAAAATTCAAAATGGAATTTATCTTGGTTTCTCCTCAAGGCTTTGAACAATATCAAAAGTTCTAGCCTGCTGTTACACAATAAAGTGATGCAAAGCCCAGCATGCTGGATTAACAAATAAACCACAGACAAAACCAAGGCATTTTAAAAGAAACTAGGAATCCTGGTAGATATCTGCCAACAGCTTTATGATGGTGTTCTCTTGGGAGCTGTCTTAATCCACTTCTTGCTGCTAATAAAAGAATACTTGAGATCAGATAATTTATAAAGAAAAGAAATCTATTTGGCGCATAGGTCTGGAAGTTAGGAAGTCCAGGATCAAAGGGCTTCATCTAGTGAGGGTATCCTTGCTCTGTCATCTCATGGCAGAAATTAAGATGTCAATAGAACATGAGAGAGCAGGAGATTGAAGTTCATTCATGAGGGTGGAGCCCTTATAACCTAATACTTCCCATTAGGTTTCACCTTCCAATACCATTGCACTGGGGATTAGGTTTCCAACACATGCTTTCTTGAGAGACACATTCAAACCATAGCAGGAGCTTTGGTCTGCAGTTATTTTCAGAGCCTCTTCAATATTTGGCTGACAAAGAGCTTCTTCTATGAGGACAGGCTCAGTATTGGTCACAGATGTTTAATGTCCAAATTAAAGTGGAAAATTCTTACTTCTCTGTATTTAATCCTTCAAACCAAACAATTCTCTATGTGGGCTTCTTGTTAGAGCTCAATAGATGAGAATCAAACAATCACACTCCTCTGTGGAGTTCTTCCTACAATTCCATTTAGATGTTATTTTTCATGCTTTCATTCCTTCAGCAAATACTATTGAGTATCTACTATGCATCAGGCAATGGACCTATTACTAAATGAAATCAATAAAGTTCATGTTTTATAGAGCTTATAACTCAGAAAGTGATCCAATCAATCGATAAATCCAAAATCATATATAGGTAATCACACATTGAAATCAGTGCTAGGATGAAAGTTAAATACTGTAAGAGGAAAATGAGAGGACCTAAGTAAGACAATAAAGGTAAACATTTTTTGATCAGTTATGAAGGAAGAGAAAATGCCAGAATATCCTGGAGGGAGGGAGCTCCAGGAAGAGAAGACAGGGCGAGAAAAGATCGTAAAGCAAGGAAGAAGTTGATATATTTGGAAAACCAAAAGGACTGCAAGGCTGCTTGAAAAGAGTACATGAGGAGACAAATAAGACTGGAGATGAAGTTAAAGATGTAGACCAAGGTTAGGTCATGCACTGCGCTGTAAAACGTTGGCCAGAGGATGGATTTTTAGTGTAACTGGAAGAAGATGGAGGCTTGCACAAGTTGGGCAGCCGTGAAGATAAAGAGAAATAATTTCCTATGAAATCCATAGGTCATACGGGTTAAATGAATGAGGAAGATTCATTGCATAGAGGACAAAAGAAAGAATAAATAAGGATGATTCTCAAATAATCTGGTTTTGATAAGTGGATAGGACCATTTTCTAAGATGAGGAATGCACTGAATAAAAAATAGATTTGAAAAAGAAAACCACAGGCTAAACTTTAGAGGTTTGGGGTTTGAGGTGCCTGAGAGATATTTAAGTGTTGTTGTGATGAATTTAGTCATGTATTCAAGACTGAAGCTCAGAGGCATTCTTTTAGCAGGAGATGGGGATTTTAGAGTCATCAAGAATTCTGGCAATTAATGAAAACTTTTAGGGAGATTATAGAGAAAGAGAACATCTCCCTAAAATATGGGCCTGAAGACTGTCAACAAGTAGAAGTACTTTTTCCAAAAGGAGCTATATTAAGAAACAACAAGAAAATAAGAGTAAATTTTCAGAAGAAAGTATCAGCTGTGCCAAGGAAAATGAGCAGGGAAGTGTCTGTCGATTTGATTTCCTTAAATGGAGTTTATTGGTTACTTGACATACGCAGTCTCAGTGGAGAGTTGGTGGAAGAAGCCAAACTGGGGCACAGGAAAGAATAATTGGGAAATGAGGAAGCAGAAGCAACCTCTGAAATGGAACAGAGAAATAAAGCAGCTAAAAGATAATGACAGAACATCGAGAGTTGTTTTGCTTTTTTTGTGATTTAAAATTCGTGATCATGTTTATCTGGTGACAGGAGTAGTGCAGAGGCAGAGATTGTCAGGGATGGTGTGAATTTTTTCTTGAAATAAAAACAGAAATCTTGAGGAAGTGAGAGATGTTGCATTCCAGAAGGCATTAGCCTTTAAGAGAATGAAGAACAGCGGCACAAGGATGGAAGGGAGGTCAGGTGCAGATGTGGATTCATATGAGACTCTCTCTTGGGAAGATGGTAGAGCTCAGAGCTGTTGGTTTCCTTTTTCCCAGTACTATTTAATGAATGTGAGGAAGCAAGCAGGGATTTTGAAATAACCATTGCACAGAGTAGAGGACAAACCTCGTAGAGAAGGGCTGGGTGATACAGAATACTCACTTGAGGCTAGTAATTTTAACTTATTCTGATACAAGTCTGCTAGTTTACATGGTTTTCTCCAGTAATACTTACCTGCAAAGGGACCAGATATAGAAGAAATTAGCTGACTGAGGTTGATCTAGGACTGAGGTTTGTCAGGGAAAATAGCGAAAGACTAGGAAGTGGAGAAAATTTGTAAGGAAGTGACTCTAACTATGAACCTTAGGATACAAGCTACACAAAGAAGTGCAGGTCAGCAGAGGCTTTTACATAGAGGATCCATACAGTGGACAGTTTTATAAAGTCAATAAATTTTACCAGTGGTTTAATCACATGTCTCTATTTATAAAAAGTGATAGTACATCTTGTTAAGGAGAGGTTCATGCCTCTTATTTTTGTACCAAAGCTTGAGTATGAATACAAAGGTGCTTATGGATGCTGAGTACCTTAAAAAGTGGACTGCACTCAAGGGTGTCTGCTGCTTTCATCTCTATACTTGCCTTTCTATAATCTCCTGTGTACACCAGGGCTGGAGGCTTGCATGCCACATTTGTAAAACCCCCTTGCCAATTGACCTCCTAATGAGTTCTTTCAATGGGAGACAATAGCAGAAGGTTGGAAATAAGGGAGAAGGGAGATGACATTTATTTTTCCTTTTGGCCAACTCATTGACAGTACCAGCCACAGGCAACTGAAGGCAACTATAGGTAACTGAGCTCTAGCTGCGTGGGTGGCCATTTCAGCAGCATCAGTGAGACTCCAACCTCCTGGATGAGTCCAACTCAGTGGCATCAGTGTGGTTCCAATTACAGCAGAGGCAGCAGCAGCACCTCCAGCAACTCAGTATGAGGAGCAAGGTGACTCTAGCTTAGCAGCTTTAAGAACATGAATTTAGAAAACAAAACCAAAAATGTCCTTTGGTTGTTCCAGTCCCTCTCTACCTTCTCCTATTTGCTTTCCGACTTTCCAATACCTTTTACACAATTCCCTGAATCAAATCTCTGCTTAAAATATCTTGAGATGTTTCTGATTGCCTAATTGAACACTGCCTGAAAAAAGGAAGGAAACCAAGAGAATGAGTGGGAAACATTACTACTGTGGCCAGAAGCCAGATGTCAAATAACATAGAGAAAAATTAGAAACACATGTATATCAGACCTCAGGACAAGCAGAGATCTCAGATATACACCATACCCACAGGAACCTATGAATTCACAAAGTGTGGCCCAATCAGGAGTGCACAATTCAATAATCATTTAATAATCCAGCAATTTCCTATGGTCTTATAAGACCAACAGTCCATGGGTATGCTTTACAAATTAGAAGTTTTCTAGAAAATAAATCGGAGAAATGATCAAATTAATTTGTTTCTTATTCCTTTTCAAAGTATGTTGGTGAATTAAAGGTTCTGAAAAATCTTGAAGGAATAAATCTGTTTAACTTCATTTAATTCAAATGTTTCTCATATATGTATATGATATGAGTATGTAAATCTCACGCTCTGCTTTTATCTCTATCTCTGTTTCTTTTCTCATAACACCTAGTAACATCCCATTTAACACCCCTCGAAACAAGTATTCTGCTGAATGCACTTTGGGAAACTCTACTGTGAGGGAAGCTGCCCATCTGGTCCGTCTATTCTGGACTCTCAAATCTCAACTGCAGTTGGCAGTGCAGCACACTTTGACCAGATATCTATATATAAAAATGTTCCAAAAACTTTGAAGGCAACAAAAAGATTAGTGGAAATGATTAAACCAACATTGTAAAACAAATAATTTTCAGTTTAATAGCTGTTCTCATTCTAAATGTACATGTGCAGGTTTACATGCACACATACATAAACAAACAACAAACTCCATAGGGCAAGCAGTGAGTTCTGGTGTTATCAACCTCTTCTGTGAAATCATTAATGAAAATATTGCCTAATGAATGACCAAATAAATAAATGACCTAGAAATCAAGGAAGTTCTCGACCTAACCAGATAGGCTGTTTGTTAATTCGTACTTTACTGAACTTTTTTACTCAGTTTATCCTTTTGACTCAATAAACACCTAACTGGGTCCTTTCTATGTACGAGATCCAGCAACATTTTAGGAATATAAAGATAAATAGGACAGAGCCCCTGTCCTCAAGGAGTACCGGCTCAGGAAGTGGGAAAGACAAACACATAAAGAGATGACTCTGAAAATAGTGTGCTTAAAGAACAGCATTTTGTGCAGTGGCAGGGAACAATGGTAACAGCAAAACTAGATGCCTAACACATCTTTGCATATAAGTGTGTGTGTGCATATGTATAGGAGTGTGAAAGAAGAGAGAGAGAAGTGGAGGGTGTAAGTGCAAGTAGGAGCGTAGGAGTAAGGGAAGGCTCTCTTGCAATGTTGTTTGTGGTGGCAAAAGGAAAACCAGGTAGGAGAAAGAAAATCATCTCAAGGAGCTGCTATGTTCATTTACCATATTGAAATAGAAACTAGGAAGTGACAATAAGAATAAAGCCTGAGGGTTATACAAAGGTGACTCTGAGTTATGAAAAAGGTGTACTTCCTGTGCAGTCCTCACCTTTAATAAAGGACACAATTTAATTCAAAGATATGAATACTTTATGAATGAATTTCAGATCTCTGCTACCTGCCTCCACCCCACTCAAGACACACCAGGTAAGCCCTCACTTACGTCTTGTGCTTCTGGCTGAACACGAGTGTCACACTCAGGACTCCCAGATAAGAACAGAGCACTAAAAGGATGAGGATCCCATGAGAAGGAAACAAGAGCAGCACATAAATTATTCTGTGAGAGCCATAGCCTTCCTTTGCATTTTTCTTGTAGAGCTTCCCCCTTTCTTTACCCCTAGACCCCAGACAACTAGTTCAGATATGTCTGGCGTCATCTAACAATTCCCTTACATTTCTTGCTCATGCAGCAGGAGGCATTTCCTATTCTACTTAAGGAATCCAAAAGGAAACTAAGACGTTCATAAAAACTCATTTTAACAGACAATTTAATATGAATACTGATATTCATATTAAATAGTGCAATAAGTAAACACTGGCAAAAGTTCTCATCAGTGGATAAATGTTTCTTAAATCCTTATCACTAGAAACTAGTAATCCTGATCTGTAGAATCATGTCTCCAGAAACTGACTTGTCTCCAGGGGAGCAGAGGCAGGTGCTCAAAAGCTTTGCTTGTATGTCTATTACCAGTATAACGTCTCAGATATTAAACCTCTTGCAGACAAAGATCACAGACATATGATGAATAAATAAATAGATTTCATGAAAGTAACTCAACAGTACATTTGTTGACCATGGTGACCTTCACTAATAGCAACTGAAGAAGTCTTGTCAAGTGGAGAATTGCTCAAAAAAGAAACAATTATGTATAATATGGCACCTATAAAAATGGCAGTAATTAACCATAAGCAGTCAGGAGTATGGGTTGTGATTTGTAGTATGTAAAATCCAAATGTAAATTCTATGTAAATTTGGGAAGAGGTTTTAGGGATTACCTAATTCAACTTCTTTTTTATTTGACGTATGTACTACTGAAGGCCAGAGAGGCCCCTGCTGAAGGTCATTGGCAGTATACAAATTAGAACTCATGTTTGAGTCTCTTTATGGATTATATCGGGCTGCCTTATATATTCTTCAGAGGTGTCATACTGTTGATATGACATATCACTTCTCAGTACAAAGCAACAATCAGACACTCTAATCCCACTTCTCTTTTACACAGATATTACCATTTCAATGTGTGGCTTCTCATTTTGCTGAGAGGTTTTTCTTCCTCACCCACCCCCTCCTTAAATCAGGCAAAGAGACAAGTAACTGACTTCGGTTTCAAAAATGTAACCCGCAAGTGCATAATTCTTCCTGTCAGATTTCCTTTTCTGTAAGTTGGTGAGTTTATTGTGGTAGCACTCAAAAGGCTGAGCCTGAAAAGTTCTATAACATATGGCATACATTTAACATGGCTTGTGAATTAAAAATAACAGCCTGCCATCTGCCTCTGCAAGTTGATTTTATCAAAGTCTAAATGAGAAGCTCAGAGACGTGAATGTTGTCAATTAAAATAAGAAATACTCAAGTTCAATACAGAGTGACCAGTCCATGCTTTTTTTTCTTCTGCACTGGACTAAAGTTACCCATCCCCTTCACTCCTGCCAATTGAAAGAGCTGCCTAATTTTCAATCTACAGAACTATTTGTAACCATACATCTAATTTCTTTCCTATCTTCCCCAAAAAAACTTGTCACAAATTTAGCTTCCAAAGTTACCTTCCTCTAGGAATATGTTATGTGTATTTCTTCTTGAGGTTTTAGACTCCTAAACAATTGATTACAGTTTGTAAAATCTTTTCTCCATATAATATTAAAGTTCTTTTCTTCTAAACTTGACAGCCAATTAAGTAATAGATGTCAGAAGGAGGAGTTTGATGATTTTTTCATCATCATACATTCTCACATCCTGTAGAAATTTCTGGAAATGATCTAAAATGCTGAAGTGTGACTCAGAAGCCCACACATCAATTTAGCCAGATTAGCATTTATCAAGCAACTATATCAGAGACATCCCTGGAGAGGTGATGGTCACGTGAAGGGTTTAAGGCAATTGATGCTTTCAGAAAGCTGGCGCCAATAGTTGAGAAGATAAGATTTATGCCTAAGAAATGATTTGAGATGAAGCCCATCTTTGTATAGCCAAGTGCTTATCTGAGTATACTGACAATAAATACAATAATAGTTCTGAGAAAGGAGAGTTTCCTTCCTGAGTCCCTGTCATTTTTAGTCTAAGGGCAGGAGGCTTAACCTGTTTATTTTCCAATTTTATTACTGCATAAACATTTTGTGTGCAGAACAATAAAAAATATGATCATATAAAGTGCTAAATTTGTAAGCATTTTACAAAAGCCAAAGGGATAACCGTAGAGAATATAAAGTGTGCTTATTAAGTAATCTAGGTAAAGTGTCCAAGTCCACAAGAGTATCTTGATTGAAATTTAAGTAGGAAAGCTTTATAGGAACATATAATTTCTTGACTGAGATTAAAAAACAAGTAATTCAAAGTACAATACAGAAATTCCATGAATCAGATGTCACAACTATCAACACCGGGGAGTAAATCTTGCAATGGATAACTGCATGTGTTATAAACATGAAGATCTGGGCTATCTAATCATGCAGGTCCCAAGTGGCACAAATCTAGGGGGAGCCCTTCGTGTGGATGACAGTATGTATATTTTATTAATTTCTCAAGGCTGCTACAACAAATTACCACAAATGTGGTGGCTTATCACACAGAAATTTATTCTCTCTCAGTTACGGGAGCCAGGAGTCCAAAATCAAGGTGTAGAATAATGCTTCCTTGGAAGGCTCTAGGGCAAAATTTTTCCTTGCCTCTTCCAGCTTCTGGTAGTGGGCATTTTGGCTCCTCACTCCAAGCCTCCTGGCTGTGGCAGTGTAACTCAATCTCTGCCTCCATCTACACATTGCCTTTGTCCCAGTGTGTGTCAAATCTCCATCTCCTCTCTTATAAGGACAACAATCATTGGATTCAGGTCCATTCCTAAATCCAGAATGAACTCATCTCTGGATCCTTAATTGAATTATATCTGCAACAGCCCTGTGTCCCAAATAAAGTCATAGTCACAGGTACTTAAATTAAGACATGGACATATCTTTTGAAGGATACAGTACAAGTTACTGTAAGTGTGTAAGTGTCATTTGCTTCCAAATTACGGATGCTAGAAATTTGTACTAGGCGGTGGGAACCTTATTTACCAAAACTTTTTCTCTAGAACTTTCAATAAGTGTATCTGGCTGACAATATTCCTCTCTCCCTGTGTACCAAATCACCCATATTATATATATACATATATTATATATGTATATATTATATATATATAAATTGTATATATTCATATGTGTGTATGCATGTATTTTTTTCCTGAGTCAGATTTTCTAATAAGCAGCAATTCACTTAGTACAGTGACTCCACAGAATCACAGTTCAAAAGGAGTTTTAAAATGTCATCCAGCAATTAAAAGAACTAGTGTGAGTTGTTTCTACTCCTTTTAGTGTTACAAGTTGAACATCCCTTTGATTATAAATCTGCTTCCAATTCTCGTTATAGGGGTCTGAAGAAACTGGCAATCACTGATATCAAGTAGAAGAAACATCTAAATGTTAAGAATAATAATGTTCATTAAGTACCCCCCCAAAATCCGGAAAAACATTCAATGATTCCTATCTTACTCCTTCAATGATAATAAATGTTTACCTAATCAAGGGAAGGCTCTTGGAAGAATGCATGTTTAAAATCCCATTAACAGCAATGCAAGAGAAGAGCCCAAATGATGAACTGTGTACATTTTAAAGTGAAAATTCATACCACAGGAATGCCCACATATCAAACAAATCAATGCAAGCAATCAATCATCTTAATGAAAGCTTATGGTTAGCAGGTATAAATGCCACTGTGATCTCTCACACTTACAAGAAGAAAACTGATTGTGGATATAAACAATTCACTGTGGTTACATATAAATCAACTTCAATAGCAAGAACTAAAAGGAAACATAATTGAACTTCGTTAAACATCTACAGTCTCCTCATTTATCTTTCAAAAATAGAGCACCAGGCACTGTGGCTCATGCCTGTAATCCCAGCACTTCAGGAGGCCGAGGTGAGCAGGTTACCTGAGGTCAGGAGTTTGAGACCAGTCTGGCCATCATTGCAAAACCCATTCTCTACTAAAAGTACAAAAAGTAGCCGGGTGTGGTGGTGCACACCCATAATCCTAGCTACCTGGGAGGCTGAAGCAGGAGAATTGTTTGAATCCGGGAGGTGGAGACTGCAGTGAGCCAAGATTGTGGCACTGTGCTCCAGCCTGGGCAACAGAGCAAGACTCCATCTCAAAAAAAAAAAAAAAATAGAGGAGAGCTAGAGGGATTTTGCTGCCAGTAATTAGACACTTTTCCTCTAAAAACCCATCAACGGCTGTTTCAAACAAAACAATGCCTTCCATTTGAATCACTGAAGTTCAAGGGAAAGGGAAATTAGAATGTAAGCATGGCAGACTGGTTCTTGAGATAGTCAAGTGTCCAAGTTTGAGCCCAAGTTCTAAATCTTTCACATCTAATAGAACAATAATTTATTGAGTGGTTAAGAAGGAATTATCAGTTGCATGAATTGCATGTCTTCTACTAACTCTGATGGGTCATATATAATACTTCTATTGATGTAGACATTGGGTTGCGGCTAGGGCTACACTGACTAACAGTGTGATCTTCATTATGTAAGTGTTCACCTCTTTACTTGGGATAGGTGTGAAATATCATTATCAAATTTAGCTGGGCTAAGTTGTAATCATCAATAAACTCTTTCAGTTACCCTAAACCTGCCATTTTGCAAAACTTACTACAAATACTGGCAATATCATCAATTAAAATTTCAGCTGGTGAATCATACCTGAGGTTTTCTAGTTTTTCACCAATGCTACCTGGTGAGTTCACCCACAAAAGAAAATCAGGAGATATACTCATAACCCCCTATATATGTGGAAGATTCACATGGAATTAACAAAATCATTTTAGCAGCACATTACAATTTAAGCAATCAACTTGGCTGAAGAGTGGGGGGGAATCTATCACACTATAGTTTGATGTTATGCTGATGAAACAATTCATTGACCAATAACTTTTATTTTTATCCAGTTACCTCAGATGTGTTATCTCACTCACTTGATAAGAACTTCTACTTTAAAAATGAATTTTTTACCTTTGGTTTCTGGTGCTCCATCCATTCATATATTTTTATGTCATTTGAAGCACTTTAGTTAAGGTAAAAAATATGGATCAAAACATGAAAAAAATATGTGCTTCATCTATTTAAGTGTGGCATTAACACTTAAATATAGAAATATATTCTATAAATCTACCCTCTGCATCTCCAAGACTATTTTTTGCCTCTTCAATCTCAGTCCACAGACTTTCCATTTATTCCAAGAATAATGAAACTGTCAACCAATTATCTTCTGTTAATGGATGTTCAATTACTTATACAAAGGGCCAAAATAAGCACCAGTTACTACAAAACACTTGTGTGTAATTCAAATCAGAAACAGAGGGACTTTAAAAGTCTCTTAATATGGCAAGGGCAGGAAGTGCTGCACAGACTGAAGGCGCCCCATAAAAATCAGAGGGGATGGAAAGAAGATGCAACCAGAAAGGAAAGAGTAAGATTTCAAAAAGCAGTCTTCATTGAGAAAGCTAAGCTGACAAATACATGAAGATTACAGTTGGCTGCTTTGAGCCCTCTTTCTCTTGGGAATACTTCACTTGGCCCAATATTCCCTAAGGGTTGGTCCTTGAGAAGTAAAATGCCTCAAGGGATGTCTCCAGGCATGAAAGTGATTGTTCTTCTCTATTGAGCCTTATGGCTCCAAAATTGACAACAGTACAAAATGCTTTTTTAAGTAGTCATAATCTCAGCTAGATAAATTTTGTCCAAACAAGAAAAGATGTAACAACAAATGACACAAAAACTTTGCATAGGAGTTAGAAGGCCATGTCAGTTGCCAACAAAAAATTAAGGTTGTAGGTTCAGCTTAAGCAACGGTAACTGAAGATGGCAATCACAGAAATGAAGTCCTCAGACCTGAACCTGTTAGCGGTGGAAGAGATCTGAGTTACCCTGAGTTACAGGCAGCGAATCTGTACATGACTGCAGCAACTTCAGCTCTTGCCTACTCAGAAGAAAGAATTCGACTGAGGAGCATAGAGCGGAAAAAGAGACCCAGGCAAGTTCCAGAGCAGGAATGGAAGTTTATTAAAAAGGCCTTAGAACAAGAAAGAAAGGAAAGATCTCTTGGAAGAGACCCAAGTGGCTACCTGAATGTCAAAGAGAGAAAAAGAAAGCTTTTTACCTTGGACTTTATAGGCTCACTTCTTTCCCATGACTCTTCCCTTAGGGTGGGATTTCTGCAAGCACGGTGCCCTCCTTACCCTGGAGAACTGACCACAGGCAGTGTGTTTATGGAGTTATACACATGCCCATCTGAGGCTCTTTTCTTTTCTGGAAGATCATACTTCACCATTTTTGTCTCTTAACATGCATACACAGGAAGTTGCTTCTCCCTGGGGCCTAGATTCAATTAACATTTTGATGTGGACCATCAGGAAATGGCCTCTCCCTGGCAACAGCTGCCAATTTGTCACTTTTAGAGAGGCAATGTGATCATTGCCAAACCATCATTGACCATTTCTAGTGAGTAGGGGGAAGACCCCTCCCCTGCCCCACTCATGCTTAACTACCTGTAACAATCCCAGCAAGGACAAACAGTTTTTAAACAGCCACAAAAGTAAGAAATGGGTTAAGTCTTAGAGATCTTTTGAGATTAACCATCAACCGAAAAAAAAAAAAAATGATGGCCCAAAACAATGCTAAAACTAGAAAAGGGGTTTGCAAATTATTCCTGATATACGATACTTTAATAAATACAAATTTGACTTTGCAGGCCATACAATCTCTGTTGCAACAACTTTATTTTTATAGCAATGTATGCAGGAATAAATATGGCCATGTTCCAGTAAAAAAAAACTTTATTCACCAAAATAGAATGTGGACCAGATTTAACAATCCAGCTATAGTTTACCAACTCTTGAACTAGAATGTAAACTTACATTTTTTGTGTATATCTGTTCTCAATTAACTACATTGGGTTTTTGTTTTCTTAAAATTGTAAGCTTTATCAAATAAAAGACTGTATTTTGCCTTTTATTATCAGTATTATAAGTATTATAATTACTGTATCTAAAGCATAGTTCAACTCTTTATTCATTATAAGCACTCTATAAATATTTTATTTTAATTTCCCATCAGTAAAATATTACTATTTTTAACTTCTAGTGACTTCCTTCATTAATTGAATCTTGCAGCCAAAGATTTAATATGATATTAATTTTGAAGTGGGGAGAGGGACTTTATCCCCAGATGAAATACAGTAGCTTTTGGCAAACCAATATGTACATTAAAAATATTTTTTGAATCTGTATTGAAAACAAAAACAAAACCTGTTTTTAAGCATCAGATAGCTGTCCAGGATGCCAGTACTGACCGCGCAGACATTTCAAAGAGAAGGAAATAACAGAGAGGAGAGGTGAGCTGATATGTCCTATGAGCTACTTTTCTGCTCAAGGCATTTCTGTATTTTTGGTGCAGATGAGAGGCTGAAAATCTGGGAAGGAAGACATTGCTAAGAGACAGAAAAGCCAGAAGAGTTTTGAAATTCTCATGGGCTGAGGAGATAAAGTTCAGGTTTTTCAGGCAGCTAGGATGTAAGGAGCAAAATTTTTTTAAAAAGAGGGTGGTGCAGTGAATTGAGCCTAGCATTCAGTAGTGTTTCACTTGAGTATTTCTTGAACTTTTCAACTGCATAAGGAAAGAAGCTAAGAAGACAAATGGAAACGCTCTGAAAATCAAAGATACTTTTCAGCAGTCTCATCGTGACGAGAAAAAGAAAACTAGAGTTGAGAATAGAAGCAATATTAAAAGTGCCAGTCCCAAAGTTTAGAATTTAAGACTACATCTTAGGAGGAGAGACAATGCAGAGGTGGATCAAAGTTTATAAGGACTATAACTTGGTCTCTACTCAGCTCAGTCTCTGAATGAAATAAGTTGATGTGGCCTCATTCAAGCTCTCCATGATAGGACAGGGTGAATGCTCTGCAGTAGAAAAATCATCATCTACAACTTCTATAATTTTATTTAAGATATCTAGTAATCAATTAAAAGCTACTAGGCATGTCACAACAAAGGCCCAAGAGAAAAACTAGACAATAGAAACAGACCCCATACACAATTCAAATACTAGAGTTAACAAACATGGACCTTAAATGTGATTAATATGTCTAAGAACATAAACAACAAAATGTAAAAATTAGAAACTACTATAAACTGTACAAAGCAATCAAAGATAAACCCAGTGACTGAATTTAACAAATAAAAGAGTGGGCTTAAAACAGAAGGGATACATCAAAAAACAATGTTTGTAATACAGAAGATGGGATAATAGAAAATAATCCAGGTAAACATCGAGAACAAAAGATATAGAAAATATGTAAAAAGAATATAAATTACATATGGAATAGAGTGAAATGGTCTAAGATACATTTAATTGCAAATATAGAATAGGAGGAGACAAAATAAGAGGCAGAAGAAATACTTGAAGAACTAATGAGCAAGAATAGTCCAGATTTATAGGAGAATCAGAGCACAGATTTGAAAAACAAAATTCTAAGCAGGATAAAGGAAAAGAAAATCACAACTCTGAATGACATAGTAAAACTCCTAAAGATAAGAAAAAATGTTGCCAAACTAAAAAGACACATTACATCAAAGAAAAAATAATAATAAAACTCACAGCTGACCTCTCAACAAAAACAGTGGAAACAGAACATAAGTGAATGGTATATTTTAAATGTTGAGAGAAAATAACTGCAAGCATAGAGTTCTACACTCTGCAAAAATACCATTTGGATGTGAAGTGAGTGAAAAAAATTGTGTGATGTATAGCAAGGAAGCAAAGAGTAAGATATTTGATATAATCATATCTCAATTATGACAAGTAAGACAGAGGTAGAAAGCAAAACTTAATTATTTGCAGTTTACAATAGACAAACCTTAAATATATGACCAGAAGAAAAATTAAAACACTGGAAAAATATGCCACGTAAACACTTCACAAAAGAAAGCTGGTATAACTGTACTAACATTGGTTAAAGTAGACTTTAATGCAAGAAGCATTACTAGAGAAAGTTTTTTTCATAATAAAAAGGTCAATTTTGAAGAAGATTTAAAAATGCTAAATTTCTTGAGGAATATAATTAATAATAATGTATACTGAAAATTTGTTAAGAGAAATTTTAGATGCTCTTAACACATGCTCACACACACACATAAAAGTCAACCAAAGAAAGTGTTGGATTTATAAATTTGTTTGACTGTAGTAATCATGTTACTATGTATGTGTATATAGCAAAACATCATGTTCTACAGTGTAAATATATACAATGAAATAAATTTTAAAATGCTAAATTTATATGCATGAAAAATATAGCTACAAACATAAAGCAAAAAACTGACAGAACTAAAAGGAGAAATAGACAAACATAGTCATAGTAAAAAGCTTTCATTCTTCTTTCTTAATAACCGATAAACCAAGTTGACATGAAATCAGTATATAAACTCAGCTAATTGACATATATGGACATATATGGAGCACTTCACACAACTGCAGATTTCTTTTCATGAACCAAATTGAACAACATGTTGGGCTACAAAGCAAGTCTAATCAAATTACAAAAGATTCAAGTCATGTATATTATATTCTCTGACCACATTGAAATTAAGCTTGAAATAAATAAAAAGATGACTAGAAAACCCACATATTTAAAAATAAAGCAATAAACTTCTAAATAATCTATAGGTCAAAGAAAAACTTGCAACAAATGTTAGAAAACATTTTTAACTGAATGAAAATTAAAATATAACATAAAAATCTGTTGAATGCAGCAAAAGAAAGGCCCAGAAGGGAGTTTATAGTGTTAAATCCATATATAGAAAAGCTAAAAATAAATTATATAAATAGCAGTCTCCAACACTAGAAAAATAACAGTAAATTAAACCCAAATAAAGTTGAAGGAATACATTAATGATAAGAGTAAAAATTAATGAAATAGAAAACAAAGGTGTAATTAAGAAAAATCAATGAAGCCCAAAATTAGTTCTCTAAAAAGACTAACAAAATTTATAAATCTCTAGCAAGACTGATAAGAAAAAAAGGCAAAAGTTGCCGATATCATAAATGAATGCACCTACAGATGTTTGCAGCAATAAATTCTTCTAAATAGAGAAAATAGAAAAAACTTTCAATCTTATAGAATTCTTCTAGCAAAGAAAAAAATAGTGATCCCTTCCCAGCTCATTCTATGAAGCCAATCTTAAAACAAAAAAACCTGATAAGGACATAGTAAGAATAGATAATTATAGGCACCTTTTAAAAATAAATACAAGTGGCTGGGCACGGTGGCTCACGCCTGTTATCCCTACATTTTGGGAGGCCAAGGCGGGTGGATCACCTGAGGTCAGGAGTACAAGACCAGCCTGACCAATATGGTGAAACCCCGACTCTACAAAAACTGCAAAAATTAGCCAGAAGTGGTGGCAGGTGCCTGTAATCCCAGCTTCTTGGGAGGCTGAAACAGGAGAATCTCTTGAACCCGGGAGGAGGAGGTTGCAGTGAGCTGAGATCGCACTAGTGAACTCCAGCCTGGGTGACAGAGTGAGACTCTGTCTCAAAAATAAGTAAATAAATACAAGCTCAGAAGTAGTAAACAATATATCAGCTAGCTGAATCCAATGATATATTGAAAGAATGACTAAGCTGTATTAAGCTGTATTTATTCCATAAATGTGAAGTTGACTTAATCTTTAAGAAGGAACTGGCAGGGTGCGGTGGCTTATGCCTGTAATCCCAGCACTTTCGGAGGCCGAGGTGGGCAGATCACCTTAGGTCGGGAGTTCAAGCCCAGCCTGACCAACATGGAGAAACCCCGTCTCTACTGAAAATACAAAATTAGCCTGGTGTGGTGGCACATACCTATAATCCCAGCTACTCGGAAGGCTAAGGCAGGAGAATCGCTTGAACCTGGTAGGCGGAGGTTGTGATGAGCCAAGATTGTGCCATTGCACTGCAGCCTGGGCAACAAGAGTGAAACTCCGTCTCAAAAAAAAAAAAAAAAAAAAGAAGAAGAAACCAATGTATTTCGTAAATCAATATGCAAGATGAATTTTGGATATCACAATAAATGCAAAAAATAGTATGTGACAAAATCAATACCCATTCATAATTTAAAACTTAGTAGAGTAAAAATACAAAGAGTCTTACATTTGATTTTGAAAGTTTTTTGTCTAATGTAAACATTATACATAAAAGAATATTAAAATATTCCCCAAGATTAGGAAAGAGGCAAAGACAGCCTCCATTACTACTTTTCATCAAGATTTTACTGCAGAAGGTCCTTAACCTTCATTCTACTATCTGAGATTCCGATGTAATGGCTGGAGTTCCGGAAGCTATTTTAGGCAAAGGCCACACTGTAACAATAGCAGAGCCAACACATTGAAGTCCCCGAGCTGCACAACTCCGGACTTGTTTTCCATAAGAAACATTAAATGTCTATTTTGTTTAAGCCACTGGTACTTGGGGTTTCCTACCATTTGTGGCAACACATTTTCCTAGCTGATGCATCACCTGTTTGTGAAAACACAGTTCTGAACTCCTAGGACCAAAGCTTTAAAAGAATGTTCTCTAGCCAAGGTTGGTTGGCAGCACAAGTTGCTTACTACATGTTTTTTGTTGTTGCTGTTGTTGTTGTTGTCGGGTTTTTTTTTTTAATAATGCTAAACCCCACAGAAGAGATAGGAAATTTTTCCCATAGATTTTTTCCTAAATATTAAGCCACCAGGTTAAGATAATCAAGGGTTGAACTAAAATTATTTCATTTAAATGAATGTGTCTATCTTTAAAAGTTTTCCCTCACAAAAGCAATCCTATTTTTTTTTTCAGAGGCTCCAGATGGGACCTTTCCCTGGCATTCAAGTCCCATGAGAGATTAGCTCTGCCACAGGGTATGTAAAAGAAATAAAGGTTAAAAGATCATAAAAATGAGACCATATGTCCAAACATACTGCATACGTGTTGGCAGGAAGAATATAAGTGTTAAGACAGATCATTTTCTGCTTGCCAGGAAATTATATAAAAATCAGAATAAAATAACTCTTATCATTTTAGTTGGGCAGCTTGACAGCAGTTCCCCCTAAAACTTAAAAAGCAAATTTGGCCAATACATCAAAATACCTTCTTATTCCTACATGTAACCTTTTACACCCCAATGGCCAGAAACAGAAAGTCCAAAACCTTGAAAACAAAAAACTAATATTTGTTTACAAGCATAGATTCTAAAATCCCTAAAAATATGTAATAGAACTTTTTTTCTTTGATCTTGATGAGCCATTTTTCTAAAATAATACTTGGTCACTGTGGAGCATGATCTAAGGATTCTATCAGATTTTAAAATATGCTTCCATAGCTCTTACTATTTTCCTCATCACTTGGGGCTGTTCTTTCCCCTTGTGTGGTGTACCCCAATATTCCAGGTCAAATGGGCCAAAATAGAACTTAACCAACAAGTTCGTTCTAATAGAAGATGAGTTTACCTAAACTTCTTAAGGCTTCCTAAACCAAGGCATTAGCAGTGGAACTCTAAGTGAGAAAAGGTATAATTCTCACGGATTTTTAGTAAAGGAAAGAGGAGTCAACAAATGACTAGATCAAGAATTGGGAGATAATGTCACTTTGTGGTCTTAAGTTTCAGTGAGTAAAGGGCCAAAGAAGAAATGACTTTTTAAAATAGGTGTGTGTGCAGCCAGACTTCTCAATCAGGCAACAGTGTTTCTAAAGAAGTAATTTATTTTCAGTAATAACTGATAGAGGATCAAACAAGAGGAAATTGGCATAATATCAAGAGAATTATCAAGGTGGCCTTGAAGCTCAACAACTCACCTTTCTGACACTCTAATCATCCTAAGAGCAGCACTTAGATGACAGACAAAAGATACTAATGGATCAATCTTGACATTCCCATGATGTCTTTCTTGGGAGACATAAGACTAATTTGAAAGGAGAACCACCTCTTTAATAAAAACCCAGTCTTCTAAGAAAGCCAAATATTCTAAGGAAAAAATATAACAAATTAAAATTAAGACTAGCCCCTTTAAAAACAAAAAGTTATTAGAGAAATCTCTTCTTGAACCTCTAGTTCATTTTCTACAGATAATTACTATTAACAAACTCTATTTCTAAACGTTCTGGTAGTTACCAATGTAACTATATCTTGACATAGCCACTTCGAATAGTATGAATTGACAGTCTTTCATTTTTAAAGTTTTTTTTATTTCCTTAGGTTTTTGGGGAACAGGTGGTATTTGGTTACATGAGTAAGTTCTTTAGTGGTGATTTCTGAGATTTTGGTGCACCCATCACCTGAGCAGTATACACTGAACCCAATTTGTAGCCTTTTATCCCTCACCCCCCTTCCACTCTTTCCCTCCAGTCCCCAAAGACCATTTTATCATTCTTATGCCTTTGCATCCTCATAGCTTAGCTCCCACTTATGAGTGAGAACATACGATGTTTGGTTTTCCATTCCTGAGTTACTTCACTTAGAATAATAGTCTCCAGTTCCATTCAGGTTGCTGTGAATGCCATTAATCCATTTCTTTTTATGGCTGAGTAGTATTCCATCATATATATATATACACACACATATATATATGTTCCATCATACATATATACACACATATATATGTGTTCCATCATACATATATACACACATATATGTGTTCCATCATATATACACACACACATATATGTGTTCCATCATATATACACACACACATATATGTGTTCCATCATATATATACACACACATATGTGTTCCATCATATATATACACACACATATATGTGTTCCATCATATATATACACACACATATATGTGTTCCATCATATATATACACACACATATATGTGTTCCATCATATATATACACACATATATGTGTTCCATCATATATATACACACATATATGTGTTCCATCATATATATACACACATATATGTGTTCCATCATATATATACACACATATATGTGTTCCATCATATATACATACACATATATGTGTTCCATCATATATACATACACATATATGTGTTCCATCATATATACACACATATATGTTCCGTCGTATATATACACACATATATGTTCCGTCGTTTATATACACACATATATGTTCCGTCGTATATATACACACATATATGTTCCGTCGTATATATACACACATATATGTTCCGTCGTATATATACACACATATATGTTCCGTCGTATATATACACACATATATGTTCCGTCGTATATATACACACATATATGTTCCGTCGTATATATACACACATATATGTTCCGTCGTATATATACACACATATATAGTTCCATCATATATATATACACACACATATATACATGTTCCATCGTGTGTATATATATATTCCATCATATATATATATATCACAATTTATTCAACCACTTGTTGATTGATGGGCATTTGGGCTGGCTCCATATATTTGCAATTGCGAATTCTGCTGCTATAAACATGCGTGTGCAAGTTGACAGTCCTTTAAAAGGTAAAACATGTAGTACATATACATCACTCCTCCACTTCTTCCTCTAATTCCCCATTGTTTGCTTGTAATTGTAATTGTTTGTTTACATCTTAAACTAATACATTTAGACTTCCATTACTTGATTAAGTAAGTTTAGGAAAAACATACTGGCCCCTTACTTAGAAAAATAAGTATTGTGTAACACCCTTAAACTTCCTTCCACCAGTCTTCCTTTCCTCCAAAAGTGTTACTTATAATATTATTTTTAAATTGTCAGGATTCATGTTTATACTCTCTCCTATAACAATAATTATCTTTCTATTTTGTATATTATAAATCTTAAAATTAAAAACTGACTAATATTATGACTGAATTTTTCAATGTATATGTACACAAACATAAATATAATAAATGTATTATAATTATATAAAAGCTAAAATAATTGAAATAATGTGGCAATGTAATGGAACTCAAGATATAGATCAATGGAACAGAAGAGAAAGTCAAGAAACATGCCCAATATTTTAAACATATTTGAAATATAATTAAATACATATATATGCTTAAGTATAGCAGAATATAAAATGGCACAATTTCAAAACTACAAGAAAAATGAAGATTGTATTATACACATGATTTTGGAACAACCAGCTAACCATTTTAAACAGTACAGTAAATTACATTCCTACATCATACTGTATAGTAAACTACAATCCAGATAGGTTAGAGACATAAACATGGAAAATAAAAGCCTAAAATTACTTAAAAATATACAAACATAGATAAATTTCAACCATATTATTATAGTCACTAAGAATTGCTAGTTGTATAACAATGCATACGGTATTCCATTTACATAAGATTTTAAATACTTAAAAATATATAGTACCACTTTACTACATGGACAAGAAAAATACACACAAATTTCAGTGAGGTGATCTTAGGGTGGGGAGCATCAATCTATGTATAATAAAAGACGAGCATCAAAAAGTGCCAAGAGGGATTCAATTCTAACCATAGTTCTTAAAGTTAAGACATCCTAAATGAATTTGGTAGAACATTAAATTAAGATTTGACCAAATGGAGTAGTGGCTACACAGGTCTTCATTATAATTTCTATACTTCTCTTAACATGTGTAATAGTTCAAATAAAAAACACTCTAAGAAAATATGATAATAAAAATAGCTCGTGTTAAGTTTTCCAATGTACCCATTAGTACTCTAACTACTTCGCCTGCATTTTGTCACTTTCTATCGTTAAGGTAGAAGCTGTACTCATGCACAGATTTAAACATGAACAAATTACAGAATAGATAGATTAAGTAACTTGCTCAAGTGTAAACAGTCTCGTGATGGCATCCGATGCCAGAAGATGCATTATAAAACACTCCCTTAAATGGCCTTTGTATGAAGCGTGCAGGGAAAGCTTTTCTAGATATGACACAAAACTCGAAAGCTGTGAATGAAAGATTGATATATTTTGACTGTGTAGAAATTTGAATTTCTGTATGTCAAAATTACTGCAAACAAATGATTAAAGGAAAAAGATTATCCTTTTTTAAAAAAAATCAGCTTTAGTGAGGTATAAGCTACATAATTTCAAATGCTCCAATTTTAAGTGTGTGTAGTCCAGTGGGTTTTGTCAAGCTATGAATATTGCAACCACAATTATATTCTAGACATAGTTCCATCCTCCAAATTGTTCCCTTATGCCCATTACCAGTTAATCATCTCCCCATCCTGGTGTCATTCCTCGACCCCGGCCCCAAGCAACTACTAATCTGCTTTTTGATACCATAAATCAGATTAATCTTTTTCAGATGTTCACATATGGAATCACATAGTATATACTCTCTTATGTCTGGTTTCTGAATTTTTATGATTCATCCATGTTGTGTTTATCAGTAGTTCATTTCTTTTTATTGCAGATAATATTTTACTATTATATTTTGTTTATCCATTTACCTAATGACGGACATTAGGGTTGTTTGAAGTTTTCAGATATTGCAAGTAAAACTTAGAAGCATTCTTGTATAAGTCTTTGTGTGGACATATATTTTTATTTATTTTAGGTAAACATCTGGGGAGAAGAATGGCTAGGTCATATATTAGGAATATGATCAACTTTATGAGAAATATCTAAACTATTTAAGTTGTTTTATAACTGGACATTTTCATCACCAATATATGAGAGTTCCAGTTATTATACAAACTAGCTAACACTTGGTATTGTTAGTCTTTCTAATTTTAGTCATGTTAATGTGTATGTACTAATATCTCATTGTCATTTTATTTTGCATCATTTTGGTAGCTAATGATGTTGAACATAACTTCATGTACTTATTGACCATCAATATATTTCTTTTGTGAAGTGCCTGTTTTAAGACATTTGATAATTTTTCTATTGAGTGATTTGTCTTCTTGTTATTGAGTGGCAAGGGTTCTTTATATATTCTGGATGTAACTCCTTTGTCAATACATGTATAGTGAATACGCTCTCACAGTCTGGGGCTTGCCTTTTCATTTTCTTAACGATGTCTTTCAAAGGGCATGAGATTTTTTTTTTTTTTTTTTGAGACGAAGTCTTGCTCTGTCATCCAGGCTGGAGTGCAGTGGTGTGATCTGGGCTCACTGCAAACCCCACCTTCCAGGTTTAAGCAATTACCCTGCCTCAGCCTCCCAAGTAGCTGGGATTACAGGCACGTGCCACCATGCCTGGCTACTTTTTGTATTTTTAGTAGAAACAGGGTTTCACCATGTTGGCCAGGCTGGTCTCAAACTCCTGACCTCAGTTTGAACCGCCTGCCTCAGACTCCCAAAGTGCTGGGATTACAGGCGTGAGCCACTGCACCTGGCCCAGAAGTTTTTAATTGTGATGAGTTTCAATCAACATTTGTTTTAAATTTTAGAGTTCTCATAAGATATTTGTGTAACATAAAAGTTTACCTACCACTGGGTTTCAACGTGTTCTCTCCTATGTTATTCTCTAAAATTTGTATAGTTTGGGCTTTTACGTTTAGATCTATGGTCCATTTTGAGTTCTTGTTTGTGTTTCTTGTTTCCCCCCACATGGATAACCAGTTTTTCCAGCATAATTTTTGAAAGACTCTTCAATCTCCCATTGAACTATCCTGGCATTTTGTTGAATATCACTTATCCATATATGTATGGGTCTATTTGTGGACTATATTCTGTTCCATTGATATATATGACTATTTATATGCCATTACCACACTATATTGATACTGCAGCTTTACGGTAAGTCTTGAAAGCCAAATTTGCTATTTTTCAAAATTCACTGGGCTCCTCTAGATTCTTTACTTTTACACGTAAATTTCAGAATTAGGTTTTCATCTTACACTTGTTTTAAAAGCCTGTTGAGATTTTATTTAAGACTGATTGAATCTATAGATCTATTAGGGCACATCAGCATTTAACAGTATGGAGCTTTCTGATCCATTAGCACAACGTATCCCTCCGTTTACTTAAGCCTTCTTTAATTTTACTCAGTAATGATTTGTAGTTTTCAGTGTATAGATATTGAACATACTTTGTTAAATTTATTCTCAGGAATTTTATTTTTTACATCATGAATTACATGTTTGAATTTCATTTTCCAATTGTTTGTTGTTACTATGCAACTTTTTAAATTTAATTTATTTATTTTATTTTATTTTATTTTATTTTATTTTATTTTATTTTATTTTATTTTTTTGAGACGGAGTTTCGCTCTTGCTGCCCCGGCTGGAGTGCAATGGCACGATCTCAGCTGATTGCAACCTCCGCCTCCCAGGTTCAAGCGATTCTCCTGCCTCAGCCTCCCGAGTAGCTGGGATTACAGGCATACGTCACCACGCCCGGCTAATTTTGTATTTTTAGTAGAGGCAGGTTTTCTCCATGTTGGTCAGGCTGGTCTCCAACTCCCGACCTCAGGTGATCTGCCCACCTCGGCCTCCGAAAGTGCTGGGATTACAGGCATGAGGCACCGCGCCTGGCCTGCATTGATCCTGTGTCTATGAACTTGCGCATTCACTTATTAGTTTCAGCAACTTTTGGAAGATTTCTTAGAATCATTGGGCTCTTCTAGATCCTTTGCCTTTACACTTAAATTTTAGAATTTAGAATTAGGTTAGAATTAGGTTTTTGGTAGAAAGTTTTGGAGAAGAGTGGGTATTCTTGTCTTGTTCCCAGTCTTGGGGAGAAAGTATTCAATATCTCACCCTTAAGTACAATGTTAACTGTTTTTATAGATGCCCTTAATAAAGTTGAGGAAGCTCACTTCTAATATTGGTTTGCAGAGAGTTTTTATCATTATTGGGTGTTCAGTTTTGCCAGATGCTTTTCTTTCATCTCTTGGATAAGTACATGGTTTTTATCCCTTTTTTAATTATTATAATATGATAAATTAAATTAATTTTTGAATGTTACAACAATCCTACATTCCTGGGACAAACCCTACTTAGTCATAATGTATTAAGCAGTAAATAACTTAAAAATATTTTAAAATGAGAATAAAAATCTTTGTTTTATGTTTGCCCATTTATTTCGATGTATGATACTCTTCATTCCATTATACAGACTCAGATTAAAATCTGGTGTCATTTAACATATAATCTAGCTTGGCTACTAGCAATAAATCTGCCCAGCTCTCAATTTTCTGAAAAGCCTTTTTAGTGCCATCATTTTAAATAATTTCCCTGGATATAGAATTCTAGATTGACAAGTTTTTCTTTAACAACTTTAAAATTGTCATTTTATATTCTGGAATCCAGAGTTTCTGAAAAAAAAATGTGGTCAATCTTATGTTTGTTCCTCTGTACACAGTGTTTTCATTTTTGTTTTTTCCTGGATGATTTTCTTTTCATCATTGGCTCTTGGCAATTTGATTTTGATGTGTCTTAGTGTGTGTTTTCTTTCTATTTATCATGCCTGGGATTTATAGGGTTCTTAGATTTATTGTTTTTATCAAATTTGAAAAGTTTTTAAGCCATTATTTACTCAAGCATTGTTTTCTGCCTTTTTCTCTCTCTTTTCCCTAGGTCTACAATTGCAACTGTATCTTCCACATACTGTGCAGCAGGTTAATCAGTATTTGCCAATACTCATTAACTGTCAAGTATTTTTAATCATTTTCTGTATGTACTTTAGTTAGCATAGAATCTATTGTTATTTCCCCAGATATGTTGATATTTGTTCTGTAGTTTCTAACCTGTTGTTATTCTCATATGGTAAAATTGTCACTTCAAATTTTTTTTGTAATTTCTACAGGTTTCATTGAGTTCTTTTTGATGTATCCATTATATTCATGTTTTCCTTTAAATGCTTAAACATACGAGCATATTTTTAATTAGTGTTTTAGGGTCTTTACTAATTCCATCATTTTTGTCATTTATAGGTCTCTTTCTATTGACTGATTTTTCTACTATCTAATAGACATGTGTTTGCATGTCTCATATTTCTGCTCAGATGCTGAAATTTGCAGTCATATGCTATTGTGGGTTTGGATTTTGTTGTCTTTCTGTAAATGTTGTTGAAATTCATTTCGGAAGGCAGATAAATCACTTACGGTTCAGTTCGCTCTTTTCAAGCTTTATTTTTAAGCTTTGTTAGCATGCTTTGAAGTAGCCTTTATTTTAGGGATAACTTAGACCTACTACTACTGTGTCACTCTACCAGGGTCACTACTTCTCTCGGTATGGAATGAGGACTCTCTACTCTGGGTGACTGGTGATTAATCATTTCACCACTCTGTGTGAGTTCTGGGAATTGTACAGCTTATAGTTCCTCAGTCATCCTTTGCTCAACTTCACAAAGCTTAGTATTAAGCAACGACTGAAAAAGAAATCCCTATCCAGATTACTAAAGCTTTTCTCAGTAGCTTCTTCCTTCCAAAACAACTTCGAATGTCCCAGCCATCCTTAGTTACAAACTCTGCCTCTTCACTTCAGCAAGCCTGCCATGCTCTGTTGAGCAACTCTTCTTTAGGAGAAAGGATACAGAATGTGTCACTAGACTGAAAGAAGGGGTGATCATAGGCTTGCCTCACTTGTTTCTCTTCTCCTAAGGATCACAACTATTCAATATCTGAAAATAGTTATTTCTTATACTTTGTACAATTTTCTAATTGTTTATAGACAGAATATATTGATACCCTGTTATTCTACCATGGCCAGAAACTGATGTCTTTTTTCTACGAATCAACAATAAAAAGAGTCTATTGTTATTTCCCCATATATGTTTGGGGAAATAACAATATATAATAAAATAAGTCTAAACTGTCTCAAAAAGAAAAGAAGCCAAGTAGATGAATAAGCAATAGATTTTTCTCAAAACAAGCAAATGGTCAATAGATTTATTATCTCATTAGTAATTTAGGAAATTAAATAATACACAACATAATCTGTCCACTTATAAAATTACCAAAGAGTTTAAATGTAATATCTACTATTCTGCAAGCATCAAAAACTAAGTATTTAAAGTCTTATTCGTTTGCAATAAGAAAAACTTTTCTGTTCTCTTTGAAAGTCATTTTGCCACTAGACACAATTCTTTCAAATTGCTGTTCTCTACTACTTGCAAAGATTAAAATTTGATTCCAGTGAAAATAAAATATTGCAATATATTTTGAGATTGTCTGTTTCTTTTAATTTAGTATTCCCATCATTATTGAAAGTTAGCAAGTATGCAGAATTACCGTTCAAACTAGGGTAGCCATACTAATCTGGATTTTGTCTTTATTCATGAAAACCACAAGTACAAACACAGTTAAGGACTGAAGGGATAAGAAAGCATGTCTCCTTCAGCATTTAACCTCTGAAGGATGTTTTATGTTCTACTGAACTCCTTCCCTACAGAGACCAGATTTCAAGTGTTACTTCTTTCTTTTCTTCTCCTCTATCCTTCAGACAACAAATAGGTTGAAATCACTTATATTACTGAAACATGATTTACCATGGTTTATCCACTGGCTTACTCTCTTGAACAAGTCTCTCAAGAAAAAGTGCCATATTGGAATTAAGACTGGGACTATAAAGCAATACAATCCATAATGCAATTGTTCCAACCTGGGACTTTGACAATAAACAGGTCTCTTTGTTCTCACCTGAGCCTTCTTTTTCTTCCCTACATCATCTGCAAGCATTTCTATTTCCCCTGTTACACTCTAAGTTTCTTTAAGTCTGGAAACGGTAACTTAGGGATTTTCATATTCCTAATGTATATAACCTCCTCTAAAATGATATATGAGAAATAGGAATCTGTGAACAAGCTTAGCCTGCCAATGATGTTTAAACAAATTTCATAAAATTTACATCAAGTCAAGATTATTTTTAATCTATAAATAATACACACTGGAAAATCCAGATGCGAGTTTACTTGTAAAATTTCAAGTCACAGTAAGATTTGCAAAACTAACCAACAAAATTTCAGATTAAAATAAATATAAATTTCCAAATACAAAGAGTAAGAAAGGATAGTTTAATTTGAATATCCTATAAAAGTCATGTATTCACAGACATAAAATATATTCATGTCAAGGGTTTTTTTAACTACATCTAGTTTTATAGATGTTAAAGTTAATCAAATTTTGCTTCTAATTTAGTTTGTGAAAAAATCTACAAATAACAATAATTCAATTCTTCTTTAAGTCTTATGTAATATCACTCGATTGGATAATGTATCATAACTGGTTTTGGACCGGGGATACTTGCTCAAATGTTAGGTCAGTCTAAATACTATACTCCAATGCTCATATCAATTACAGCCAAAGTGTAACGTTTTTCTCACAACCAACACCCTACAAACTCGAGGTGATGATAACAGATCCCTGTATGATGAATACTAGATTGTTTGCATTTCTTCACATTCTCTCATTCCTCATAGGAGTTCCAGTGACATTCAGAATCTGAATCTGGCAGAATACACCAAAAATCATTTTCATCATATCGAAGAGGTATTCAGACACTTACTATATCTTCACTGATCCCATCCTGTCTTTGGAGGATACTAAGAATAATAATTACCCATCATTTATTTTTATAGGAAAGAGCCTGATTAAATAAATCTAAGTCTATTTCTAAGTATTTCAATGAAATCCAACTGTGCATTAAAAAGCTGAGTCAGCTTGGTTAACTGTATTGTCCTAAAATCCCATTAAACCTGTTGATATCCCATTTCAATTGAGAAGTATTCCCCAGGACAATGAGCAATCACTGGCTTCAGAGGACAGAGCTTATGTTCTGTATAGCTATATAATGAGCCGGAGAAGGCTTTATGACTCCCACAATATATGGCACCAAGATGTTCTCATAAAGGAGGTCCATAAAAGGTCCATAAAAAGGTCCATAAAAAAACTAATTTTATGCAAGTTCTTAGAAATTTTGTTTCTGATTCTGAGACTCTGCTGTATCACTGTAAAGATAATTATGACCTCATTTCTAAAGAGTTTAAAGGATAAAAGTTTCTAAGAGATGAGAGAAATTATGAGGTTGAAAACAATACATATCAATACAGATCCGAACTAAGTATAAGAGCAAGAGTAGAATGTGAGGATCAACAAAGGCCTGGGAAAAAATTCTAAGGCAACAGCTATGATGAAAGCAGAAGGTAGGGCCACAAAGACGTGATATTAATTGAATAATAGAATTACTGAACTCCTGTTTTTATTCTGCCTTCCCCATCAAGAATTACCTTCTAACTGAAAAGTGTGGAGCACATTTCATTTCCTGACCAATGCTTCTGCTGAAAATGACTTATGTTGAATAAGACATAGAAAACTCACCCACAAACACACACACACACACACACACACACACACATCTGTGTCAAAAACTAAGAGCAAACAGGAATCCAGAGAGATGAGCAAAGCCCACAGAAGTCCACTTTCTGACTAAAATGAGGGGATTTCCTGAGATCTAATGAACTTTTCACAGTCCTCAAGGCATGCAGAAAAAGTATGTAAAGGTGGAAGACAAATAGGAAACAGACATACACTTACATTCGAATTTCCCGAAGCTCAAAGCCCTCAGCATAATTGTAAATAAAAAGTAAGACTGCTGGCACTGCATTCAATAGGGGAATATAAAGAAAATTGCTTATCTTGATGCCGGGGGGAATAGGGGACACACCATAAGTGAGAAGCTGTGGAACAAACAGAATAATATCTTCAAGGAAGGGGGAGTTAGTATGGCAGTATTCTTCTTTTCTTTTTTCTTTTTTCTTTTTTTTGAGACGGAGTCTCGCTCTGTCGCCCAGGCTGGAGTGCAGTGGCGCGACCTCGGCTCACTGCAAGCTCCGCCTCCCGGGTTCACGCCATTCCCCTGCCTCAGCCTCCCCAGTAGCTGGGACTACAGGCGCCTGCTACCACGCCCGGCTAATTTTTTGTACTTTTAGTAGAGACGGGGTTTCACTGTGTTAGCCAGGATGGTCTCAATCTCCTGACCTTGTGATCCGCCCGCCTCGGCCTCCCAATATGGCAGTATTTTTCTGAGGGGCAGGGAAGGAGATGGAATTGGCAAGGGTACACAAAGGACTTCATGGTTAATGGAAATGTTCTCATGCTCAAAGTGCACTTATGTACATGGATATTTTTATGTCATTGTCTTTATAACTAACACATATTTTATAAGGGTTCTTTTTTATTTACTTAGTATTTAATTTTTTAAAAATTCTTTAAATGTCAGGGAATACATCAATAAAAGGAAACCAAGAATTAGTTTGTAACAGAGAACAAACAACTTTAAATACATTCAGAATTAAGTCCATTACATTTATATAACAAGCTATTAAGCATTTGCACATATAATCTCCAAAATACTACAATATTTGAGAATTCATGAACAGGTAAGGTCCAGGAAATGTCCTGATTTTCAAAAACATTCAAAAAGAAAAATTATCAACGATTTATGAATTTTTATCAATTCCGGGCAAAATTCTAGACTAAGTTACTAAACAGAAGATTAGTGAGTTCATAGGAAAGAAAGATCTCTTTCCTTTACTAACGAATTTACTAAGGATAAATCATTTCACAATAATCTCCTTTTCCTTTTCTGTGGAGTTAACAGATTTTAAACAATGTCTTAATTCCAGTAAGGCATCTGCAAAAGGGCCTTCATAAAATGTTTTTGGGCAAGGAGGAAAACATAATATGTGTGAATACACAATCAAGCATAAACATGCATGATTTAACAACAGTTCCAACATATCTTGGTTAATTAATTTTCAATCTAGAACTAGATGCAATAGAATGAAACAGGTTTGTTCTCTGTTGTTTTTTGGCTTCATTTTGGTTCTGTCCCTGTCCTGCTGAATACTTCTAACAATAATCTGAACAAGGACATAGAAAGCATTCTGAGAATTAACAGTTGCATGAGTCAAAAAGTAGTAGACAAGGTATTGATGAAATGAAAGAATTAGGACTCAAAAATATCCTGAGAAGTTTGTACCCTGGCTAAGCTACACAAGATAAAACATAAGAGTAAATACAAGACCTAGTTTAACTACAGTTTATATAAATACTATAAAACAAACAGCCAAATAGTATGGTTGTTAATAGAGCAAAATGCATTTGATCCCCAGCTCTGGGCTGATCAGATAACATCTGAAGCATTTTATCTAGTTAATCAGCAATTCAGTCTAGAAAAAAGTGAAAAGCACATTGTTCTGGGAGAGAGGAGACTATTTTTATGACATGGAACAGTTTGCATTGCTTCTCTGGGCCCCGTTTCTATTTTGTAAAACGTGGATGTTCCTTTCCTTTCTAAAGTTCTTTATATCTATCAGCTCTGCTATGTTCTGCTCTCCTTGTAATACACATTAAAATACACCTAGCTATCCTAGGTTGTGTGCGCATAAAGAAAGCCAGGACAGAGAGGGATCTGGAAACCTCATCACAGAAGAAATCTGTACTTTATAGTCCTGAAAAGGTGACTCGGTGTGGGAAGGATGCAATAGTTAAATGCTTTTTCTTGTTTTGCTTTATTTTTTCCATTTATCTGAAGAGATGTTCTGTAGAACAGAGATTCAAAAAAAAAATTACTGTAGAAACTACCTAGAGGCAAATTTTTGTTTTTCACTACTGTCAGTACAGAAAAGCTTATACACAATGCCTAGAAATATACAAGCAAGAATGGCGATTTTCTGTCAAGAATATTATAAAAAGATTAGGATGGACTCAATGCTCTAAGGTCCCTTCAAATTCTTTGATTCTACACTAGATTTTGATAACATAAAATAACCTAAAATATTGGATCAAGAGATATAGTTCCCAAGTTAGCCGTAAGTATCAACAGAAAGGTATTTTTATGTTGTTGCTTTACCTTAAATGGCAACAAACTGAAAATAAAGCGAACCACTGTGGATCACAGCAAATAGAATAGCATAAGTCTCCAACTATATGACATATAAGTCATATGCTATCAGCTCAATGTCCTGAGACAGAGATTTAAATGTAAGGACCTTTAACCTGTAAAGGATGGCTATTCCCTGCCCCTATGTCCTTCTTCTTCCCACAGACATTATGGTCAGGAAGCTGGTGTCTACCATCCTATAATCAAAACAAACAGCTGGTACAGTCACAGTAAAGATGGACTTAGTGGAGAGAGGAAAGAGACGATTCTCTCAAATTGACAAATCTAAGCTGAAATAAAGGCATGCCAGAGCATTACTCTTCCAGAGCGGATGCCAGACAAATCAGATCGCCTTCATCTCGCTTGATTGATCTGGTCCTCTTCCCTGTTCCATGTGTTCCTTTTACCTTGTCTTAGCAAATTGCATTTAAAACAAAGAGGTAAAAGATAATTTTGGCATTCGGTCTGTGTGATACTGTTGAAAGGGGCATCTCGAAGAAAACTCATGTTGTTCCTTCCAACAGCCTGCAGTCATTTTGATGTGAATAGCTCATGATTAAGAGGTCAGTTCTTACCAACAGCAGCAGATGTTGTTGGCGTTATCTGGGTAGACTGTTCACTGTCTGCAAACAAAGTTCCCATTAAGAGAAAAATTCTAAGTGTATCTTTCCTAGAGGATTACACTCATTTAAATTTGTCTCCTGGCTTGTTTCCATGAGATTTGGGGTTGTTTCAAAGATGTGCTATGGAAATTTTCTCCTCCCAGCAGATGCCATCATTAAGTTGGATAAGAATTTCTGGATTTACGGAGAGATTGGTTCATGGCACACAATCGAGTCTTGTTACTTGGCTCTGTAAACAATCAGACTTCTTTATTATTTAATCAAGAGGAGTTTTTTCCTTTCGTGTAAATGAAGATGAAACTTAGAATAACACATTGCATCTCTAATAAGATTGAAAATGTTACACTTTTATCCTTTGTAAAATTTAACTAAAATAAACCTTAACACAACCTCTTCAGCATAAATAGCAGGAACCAGAATATTAAAATATTGTGGTTTTGTAACACATGGGCCTTAATGAAAGTGTGTACTGCATGCTTGATTACTTACTAGTCTCTGTCCCCTGATTATGCTCTCTGACCTCTTCTGGAAATAAATGCCTCCCTCTGCTCCTTCAGTTTTCCATATGACATGAATGTCAAGATAACTAGAAAAATTAAAAACAATTAATGCGATGTGAGGAAAAATGGAATAGTCTCATTAAGGGTCGCATATTTGGAAAAACTCTTTTTTTCTCTTTCCATCGCTCTCTTTCCTAAAATGCACCAAAAGGATAAAATAAGGATAAAATCAAATTGTCAGGCTTAGAAGTTTAAGGTCTCTCTCTGAAGATTTCTGGCAATGTTTTACCTCATCTAGAACCAATACAACAGCAAAGCCATTGCAATGATTGCACTTAGGATGAGAGTGAGGATAGGAAACCAGCCTGGGGTCAAATGGAATGAAGAATAAAATTCTTAAAGGTATTATTTTATAATATGACAGTGAGGAAATGAAAGATTACAATTCAGCTGGGGGCAGTGGCTCACGCCTGTAATCCCAGCACTTTGGGAGGCTGAGGCGGGTGGATCACCTGAGGTCAGGAAATCGAGACTAGCCTGGCCAACATGGTGAAACCCTATCTCTACTAAAAATACAAAAAGTAGCCGTGTGTGGGGGCAGGCACCTGTAATCCCAGCTACACAGGAGGCTGAGGCAGGAGAATCGCTAGAACTCAGGAGGCGGAGGTTGCAGTCAGCCGAGATCGCGCCACTGCACTCCAGCCTGAGTGACAAAGCAAGACTCTGTCTCAAAAAAGAAAAAAAGAAAAACAAAACAAGAAAAATAGAACAAAAAACAAAATGAAACCAAAACAAATACAATTATCCTTTTGTGACAATTGATTAGGTAAGAACTGCACTCCAGCATGGGTGACAGAGAAAGACTCTGTCTCAAAACACACACACACACACACACACACACACACACAGAAAAATTACTATTCAATAAGTAGTTTTGTGGCAGGTTCCCCTCATGCCCTCTCTTCACCTGTAAGAGATAATGAAAATAAAATCAAGTTTTACAGGAAAAGCAAATGGGTCATTCTTTAGCCCTTAGTCAAGTTGTGTACTAGAAATTGAATTTGGAAATAAACTGGGACAATGCCTGATTTTTGTGAGGAAACTGAGAGACCTACAAAAGTTAAGTAGTTTTCTTGACTCACACAATTGACATAATCAATAGTCTGGAGCAAGTATTTCAAATATAATTTAAGTTATTTAGCAAGAAGACATGTTCTTAATGATCAAAACACATTTATTGGCAATTACTTAAGCGTGGCATTGACCAACACAAGGTAAACTGAACCTTGTCTTCCCTATCAAATGTATTTTCTGCTTTCTCACCTAGAACAGAAAAGACTTACTCTGATAAGGACTTAGACCATTCAAAGCTGTATTTTAAAACATAAAAATGAAACAGTGAAGTGCCTATCATTTAATCTTAGTAGATCATATCTTTTTAGCCTGAGTTCACCATTCTGCAGTTCTGAAAGCTTATGCCACTGCATTGATGCATTTTACCTTATATTTAGAGCATATGAATTCTATATTGTTTTCAAAACAATAAAACAACAATTCTATATTGTTTTCAAAAGTTTTTACAAAAGACCTTAATCAGGAAGGATAAGCTTATTCTTAAATATTTATATAATCCAGCTCTTACTGCACTCTCTGCTGAAGTCATTAATATTTTTCACTGCTGTTGCATAGGATATAAATTAGGATGCTGATTTCTTATTTTAAAATTTTTGCTATTAAGAGCCCAAGTCTGATGGTGAAGAGGCTCTGATCTGATACTAATTAGCTATATGACTTTAAGCAAATTATTTAATGGCTAGGTGCCTTGATTTCCTCATCTATAAAATGAACAGTAGTACTATCTGTCTGCTTATCTGTGAGAATCAAAGATATCATTAGTACGAAACTGCTTTGTAGAGTTAATAGCACTTTTTGACTGTAAAATGGTGGTGATGATGATACTGATTAGTGTAGCATGGGCAGGTCTTGAAACTATGCCATTTCTCTAGTGAAGTAAGAGAGTGACTTGCCTGTATCATTACCTGAGTCACATTTGACACACACCTGGGATTTATATGTTGCTTCCTGGTTGTTAAGGGCTAGAACCTTCCTTAACTATCAGATTTCTGTCATCACTGAGTAATAGCTCCCCATCCCCCCTCAAAAACATTTTTAAAACTTGTGAACCTTGTCACCTGCTTTAGCCTAAGCAAAATCTAAGAATGGTAGTCTAGAAGGTTTCCATGGATACAGTCAAATATCTTATACTACTCCAGTTACGTTTCTCTGTTGGGCAAACAATCACACAAGATTTACTTCTCTTCCTAATTGTTCCTCCACAAAGGATGCTGAAGTAAGAGATGACATAACGGTGGCTTGTGTTCCACAGGACTCCCAAATGTTTCTTTTGAAGAGACTGAGTCACCTATTTATATTTGCGGAAGTAACCAAAATTATAAACAAAAGTATCTATCATATACAAGCTAGTAATATTTGTAGGAGTAAAAGCTCCAGAAGGCAGGAACGATCTGTAACATGAAACACCTCATGAGCAAAATGGAATTTTAGGTCATGAGTCCGTAGATTAAAGGCAAAGAGAAAATTTATCAAGGCTTGACCTTAAAAATGTGTTTTCAATTTCCTTCATTCGTAATTTTACACCCACATAATGTGGCAATAACCGTTTTATTCAAATTCTTAATATAGTCATTAAGTATAAGACAATGACACCCTGGATGGGTCAAATGGCATTTGAATAAAGAGATAAGCTTCTTTCCCAAAATCACTACTGAGTTCCTGGTTGAATTTGCCTAAATAATTAGGCTCTTTTCCTTCATAAACAAGTTCTCCACTTCAAAGTCCAAAGTGATTTGAGGAGCTGGTCTTTTCTCCAACAATCCCCAGATTAATAGCATTAGCCTAGAGTGAGCTGGGGGTGCTGTCCAGCACAGATGTCAAATCAGCGTGTCCATAACTTGGTTTCCTTTCCACTTTGCCCTGTAAAATTTGATCGTTGTGGAAGATAAAACTGCTCTTCCAAGGCTTCTGCCCTATCACATGGGACTTTGAGAGGCCATATTTTCATAGATTTTTGATTGACACAACATAGGAAGCTCAGCAACTCTGCCTGGAGGCCACCATGCTCCTTCAGGTAATTTCTAGGACCTCGAGGCCCCTAAGTAATGTGTAAACACTGCCACAACAACAAGCTTGTTACAGATTATGGTACTACCCCTGAAGCAAGACAAGTTTTTCAGTTTGCTACTTTGTTCCTACCCATTGAAAAAATATCTATCTCATATATTTTCCCCCAAATGCATTGAGCATGGCTTAAATTTACATTATCCTTCTAAATAAATTTAACCAAACACAAAGTATCTTCTATTTAAACAAGGATTTCCCCACTCTCATCTATAATTTTCTAATTTTATATTGAGTGTTTCTTTTTTCGGCTTGCCTTCTCCCCATCCCAGCCCATGATTGCCAGCCTCTCTATGAGAGCAAATTGCTCCCCATCTCCTCTGCTTCCCTCCTGTACTTACTACTTCCTACTATCAAGGATTAAAATCTCATCAACAATTGATCAGGAAAGTAAATCCTACTCGAAGGTCTCCAAGTGGTTTTTCTTCAGAAGTACAATGAATTTCCAACGTTAGTCACACTGCAGAGACTAATATAAATATTTATGCAGTGGTTTACTTATAAATGGAGGGTCATGCTTATATTGGTCCTGAGTTTTCTTACAGATAATTAACTGTATCATTGTCTCATTAACTAAATGTACTGTATCAACAAATGCTACCCACTCCAGGAACTAAATAAAATGTTTCATGGATATGAACTTTGCCATAAAAGAAAAGCGTGCAATACTGGGTAAATTAAAATTTTGACCAAAGGGAGAAAAATTTTTTTAAAAAGAAATGTGTAAAAAGTAACAGAATATAGCACTCTATTGTATCCCTTGTGGTTAAAAACAGTTCATAAAAGTATTACACAAAATAGATTTAACAATTTTATATTAGTGAAATAGCTCAAGCCTGTGGGTGGAGAAGTAGGTGGATAATAAAGTTTTTAAAAATCATTCTTTACATCAACAAAGGGTGAAGTCTGTTAATCATTGTGCATGACAACTTTTGTGTGTCTATTTAATTAGATATAAATGAATCACCCTCTTGAGCTATTTCATTTATTATTTGCACTCAATTAAGTGAATTTTGACCAAATGGGTTATAATTACAACAGCCATGCTGAATATAATAGTAAACATTTCCCTTTACTTATTTTCAGAGGAACATAGTGATTTCCTTATGTGAGTATAAATTTGTGTTTCCTCTAGTACACAAACTATGAAAGACACCAATGTCACTGATACCCAGATCCTCACTGGTCCTGTAGAGTATTTTATAATTCTATCAACCAAGTCACTTGAAAGGGACTAAAAGATCTTCTTTCTTTTTTGTCTCAATCATAAATGTACCAGGAACAAGGTTTCTTAATATATTAACGTTCTCAGTCTTCCTTCTTCCTATAAACCATGTCCACTAAAGACAATGTTACTAACAAAGGGCTCTTCCCTTACTGTCTCTCATGTGAATTGTAGTCTTAAGACAATGCTATAAATATACTACTCACCACCCTGGCTTGTCTGTGGAATTATTAGGAATCATTTTGCCCAGTGTTGTCCTTTCAAGCTATCTGACTCCTTCTGTATTAGATATGTCTTCTTTAAACTGCATAGAGTTGAATTTAAAAAAAAAACCAGTTCTACAATTGGAGCATCTCATCTATTTACATTTTGTTGTATTCTAGACTCAATCAAGTCTAACAGGTAGTTATGTGACCCTCTATGTGGGCAGCACAAGCATTTCTGCGTTCTTTAATTCCTTTGCAGAATGAAATGTATTTGTTTATGTGTATTTACATTTTACTTATATATATATGATACAATAAATATAACATTAATATTATTTATATAGGCTATGTTTATTTAGATTAACCCATGGATGTACAATTTGTCTTGCCCTGCATTTCTACCATCACTTTATTTCCTTCTGAAATAATTTTTCTCCTACCTAAAAATACCCTATAGTATTATTTTCAGTGTAGGACTGCAGGTGATAAATCTACTTCAATCTACTTCAACAAATGTAATATTTAAAATGTCTATTTCACCTTCATTGTTTATTTTATTTTATTTTATTTATTTTAAGTTCCAGGGTATATGTGCAGGATGTGCAGGTTTGTTACATAGGTAAACATGTGTCACGATGATTTGCTTCACCTATCAACCCATTGCCTAGGAATGAGACCAGCATGCATTGGCTATTTTTCCTGATGCTCTCCCTCCCCCCTCCCACCTCCGACAGGCCCCAGTGTGTGTTGTTCTTCTCCCTGTGTCTATGTGTTCAGACGGTTCAGTTCCGACTTATAAGTGAGAAGGTGCAGTATTTGGTTTTCTGTTCCTGTGTTAATCTGCTGAGAAGAATGGCTTCCAGTTCCATCCATGTCTCTGCAAAGGACATGATCTCATTTCTTTTTATGGCGGCATAGTATTCCATGCTATATACGTACCACATTTCCTTTACCCAGTCTATCACTGATGGGCATTTGGGTTGATTTCATGTCTTGGCTATTGTGAATAGTACTCCAGTGAACATACATGTGCATGTATCTTAAAAGTAGAATGATTTATATTCCTTTGGATATATACCCAGTAATGGGATTGCGGGATCAAATGGTATTTCTTGTTCAAGGTCTTTGATGAATTGCCACACTGTCTTCCACAATGGTTATTTCACCTTCATTTTGAAGAATATTTTTAGTGAATGTAGAATTCTCTATTGGAAATTATTTTCTTTCAGTTTTATAAAAGCATCATTTAATTTTCTTCTGTGGAAAAGTCAGCTACTGTCTACGAATTGCTCCTTTAAAGTCCATTTCCCTGTTTCTGGTTGCTTTTAAGGTTTTTTTCTTCTCTACCTTTGATTTTCAGCAATTTTATTATTATAACAAGCCTAATCATGAATTTCTCTCTCCACCTCAGTTTCATATAGTTTCTTGAATCTATGTCTAGATATCTGTGATTAGTCCTGAAAAACTCTTGCTCATTAACTCTTCCAAAAATGCATCTGGCTTATTTTTTTCTGTCTTATTCTTTGACTCCAAATAAAGAATGTTATACCTTCTCTTTATATCATCTTTTATTTTGTATCTTAATTCTTGGTGACCTCATTGCTTCCACTTGGATATTTTTTCTCACCTATCTTTTAGATTACTAATTCTTCTGTTCAACTGTATCTAATTTGCTATTAAATCTATTCATTGGGGTCTAAATTTTGATTTTTTTTTCCATTCAAGAATTTTCATTTGATTCTCTGCTAAAATTTTGAATCTTTACTTTTTAACTTAATAATCCCTGTTATTTTAGTGTTTATGTATAAGTAACTCTTAGGAATTATTTAGACTTTATCTTAATTTGATTTCATCCATTATTTATTTCATCTGCTGTATATTCTGGCTTTTCTTCATGTGAATTTGTCTTCTTAAATGCCTGATTATTTTTATTTTGTACCAAATATTTTATTTATGAATCATTTGTAAAAATAGTTTGAGACTTGGACCGTTATCTTTCTCCAGAGAGGATTTATCTTTGCTTTTGACAAGTACTAATGGGCATTAACTCTCTGGGAAAATCTTTGCACAAGTTCACTGGCAGCATAATAATTCATCTTTACTCCTACGATGCAGCCCATTTGGGTTCCTACGCTAAGATGAGTTTTTCTGCCTGTTGGTCCTGGGCTTCAATAATTGCCCATTTAGTGCTGTTCAGCCCCTCATCCTCTCAGCCACACCTTTTGGAATTGACAAGTACCTATGTCAACCTGCTTTTCCAACAGGAATACAAACCCAAATGCCATGGCTGCTTCTTTGGATCTTTATCTTCTCCTGGCTTCTACTTGATAAGTCTTCATAGTTTTGTTAACAGTCTGATTCCTTTAAAAATACTTTTTTTTAGCACACGATCAACAAGTGTATGAAAAAACCCTCAATATCACTAACCCTTAGGGAAATGCAAATTGAAACTACAATGAGATACCATCTCATACCAGTCAGAATGGCTATTATTAACATGTCAAAAAAATAACAGATGCTGGAAAGGTTGCAGAGAATAGGGAACACTTATACACTGCTGGTAGGAATGTAAATTAGTCCAGCCACTGTGAAACGCAGTCACGAATTTCTCAAAGAACTTAACAGAGTGTTACCATTCAACCCTGTAATCCCATTACTGGATATACACCCAAAGGAATATAAATGGTTCTACCATAAAGACACATGAATGCATATGTTCATTACAGCACCGTTCACAATAGCAATAACATGGAATCAGTCTAGACGCCCATCAATGGTAGATTTGATTTTAAAAAAATGGTACATATATGCTATGGAATACTACACGGCCATAAAAAAGAATGAGATCATGTCCTTTGCGGCAACATGGATAGAGCTGGTGGGCATTTTTCTAAGCACATTAATGCAGGAACAGAAAACCAAATACTGCATGTTTGCACTTATAAGTGGGAGCTAAATGTTGAATACACATGGATACAAGGAAGGGAATAATAGACACTAGGTCTACTTAAGTGTGGAGAGTGTGAGGACACTGAAGATTAAAAAACTACCTATCAAGTATTGTGCTGATTACCCGAGTGACAAAATTATCTGTACACCAAACCTCTGCAACACACAATTTACCCATGTAACAAGCCTCCACATGTACTCCTTGAAACTAAAATAAAAGTTGGATAAAAAAACACATACGGCCAGGCACAGTGGCTCACACCTGTAATCCCAGCACTTTGGGAGGCTGAGGCGGGCAGATCACAAGGTCAGGAGATAGAGACCATCCTAGCTAACACGGTGAAACACCGTCTCTACTAAAAACACAAAAAATTAGCCAGGCATGGTGACAGGCGCCTGTAGGCCCAGCTACTCGGGAGGCTGAGGCAGGAGAATGGCGTGAACCCAGGAGGTGGAGCTTGCAGTGAGTCAAGATCGTGCCACTGCACTCCAGCCTGGACGACAGAGCAAGACTCCATCTCAAAAAAAAAAAAACAAAAACAAATACATCACACACATATATAGAGAGATACATTTGTTTGAGTATATAAAACAAAATGAGATTTTGTGGTTAGTCAGACTAAAATTTACTGAGATGAAATCAATATCCTTGGCCATTTCTTAATCTATCTAAATAATTGGGTCTAAATATAAAGATAATCACATAAAATAAAAACTATGATTTCTAATAAATAAATAAAATACTTTTTAAAGATTTAAGCAGTTTTTAAAATTGTCCTTATAAGAAAGTTTGGTTCAAATTACTTAGTTCACCATCATTAGATGGAAATCCTAATTCTAACCATCTTCTAAGGTCCAGTTCAAATTTAATCTCCTCCACAAAGCTCCTTCTGCCACTCTTTCTTCTAGGCAGAACTAAATCCTATTTCGTCTCTGTGCCCATACCTGCCATTTTAAGCCAGAGATTAGAGAACTTCTATCTGTCATTATGGTTATCTATGTGTCCCTTTATGAGAAGGGATGATATATTTTTGATACCTTTGTCAAGAAACCAAAAAATGAACAATGTACTTAATTTTTTAGCTATTGAAACACTTTTGCACTGACTTTGCACTATTTTAGCACTCTCAACAAACATGCCCTGAAAATCCAAATAAAATAATTTAAAATGGAAAATTATTGAGAAAAATGGTGTTATTCTCATTTCTAATAACAGTTTTCAAAATCAAACTTATACCATACAAAAAGTATCATGTGGTATTCTATATTGGATAGAAAGAATTATGCTGCTGTAATTTACCTTCAAGGCCATCACCACTGTCTGCTAAATTCTTGGAAGTACAACTTTCATCAACAAAGTGAAAACTCATTCAGTAAATTCTGGAGAATATAAAGGTAAATCTTTCAAGATAAGGAGAAAACACAACTTCAATTCAAATACATGAGACATAATCTGACGGGGCAGAAAAAACTTGAAATATTTCTAATAATTGAAGGCAATAAAGAGATCCTGGTCTGTCCCCAAGTTATCAAATTACCTATGTCTTATTCCATTTTATATATATATATATATATATATATATATATATATATATATATATATATATATATATAACAGATACACAAATATATATAAGTATATATATATAGAGAGAGAGAGAATATATATGATGGAAAATATAGATATACATATCTGAGATATATATATGTCAGAGATATTCTTTGCCTTTTTAACGTTAATCATTTCTAATCCATTCTATCCTGGGTTCTATTGTTCTTCAGTTCTTTTTTTCCCGCATATAGTATTGACGTCTTCCATTCTTGTCATCTAAAATTCAGGATGTACTTTCACAAAAGTTCCTAAATTGTAAATGTTGATGCTTATGACCTATTTGGAACAAAAACAAATCTGATATGGGTAGAAATGAATGAATCTTTGTTTGGTTAGTCTAGGTTAGATACAAGGCACTTCTAGGATGCTATGGGCAAAATACTAAAAAAACAGGAAAACCTAACCATGGAACACAACTGTCCCTTGGACCACATTGCCCATAGTGTGCCCAAGAGAGAGCATATATTGACAGATAGGCCTGTGTCTCTGATACTCTGAATTGACGAATGACTTGAAAAACTTTAGATATCTATAGGCACTGCTAAGATGGCTTTCCATGTTTCTCTTTTCATTATGTTATTCAACATCAGAAGGCTGCAGCTCCAGGAATACGAAGCACCATGTTTTGTGCCCTCTCATCCTGCTCAGTTGTGTGTGACTACTGCAACATATTAAAAAAAGAAAGCAGGTATATGTAAATGTGTGTGATGGTGTGGTATACACAGTATATGAGTGTGTGTGTATGTGTATGTGTGTTCTAGGCTTGTACTATACATGGAATGTGTATGGGTAGGGGAGGAGCAGGGTACTGAAAGTTATAATGCATAAAACTAGAATTTCGGCCTTAAAAGATAGAATTAAGAATTGAGAAATATGAGAAAAAGTAAATAATCATATAAGTATACATTTTAAAAATCCATGAAACAAGACTTTCCATTTACAATTGCCTCTAATTAGTAATACTTGACATACTCTCTATCCAAGTTATCATTGGGGCACAGATGAAAACAGAGTTGAGGGTGAAAGCCAACAATACCACCAGCAGCCCAATGCTAGAATATGAGTGGGATTTTCATTTACTGTGAAGCAGGTGGAGATAGATTATGAAAAAAAATTGTGAAGTCTTCACCTTATGACATTGATAGGCTTTGTCCCATGAAATAAACACAACCTGAGAAAAAGGTAAACAGACACTTTGTACCTCCCTCACATATGACCTTGAACTCAGAGATCCTGAGTCCGTGCTAAGCAGAAATTCTGGGCAGTTCTCTTTTTTGTTTCCTAATAATTCTAATCCACTTTTAGATTCACAAAATTCAGGCCTCCTCATTATCCCAGATCTACCACTTACAACTGCATAACTTGGACAAACCCCTTAACTTTTCTGAGTCACTTAACATTTTGAAGATAGTGTCTATGTCATTGGTGTCAAGAGATTTAAGTAAGTACAGGGCTTAATAAATATTAGCTTATTTTACTTTTAAGAAAAAAAGGCAAAACTGGCACAAAAAAGGCAAATATTTTATTATATAAAGACAGCATAGTTTTATTATTTCATACTACTGTGGCCTGAATCATCAATTCTGTTTGCTGATTATTGCCAAAAGGGAGTGCAGAGAAATTATTCTAAAACTAAAGTAGTTATTTTTGGAAGCCATTCTATTACTTTTAATTGGTATATAAATAACAACCGCATACAATGAATTACCTTGTTTAGTTATTTTGGTGCATATTCACTCACAGTTTATTCTGGAGGGTACACCAGAAAATAGCACTACTGAAAGCTTAGCATTTTATGGATAGTTTATGGATATTTTACTTTTGTCCAGGCAAGCGTGTGATTTTACTTGCCTTAAATTCTTCAGGTATAATTATTTCTGTGATATAATATGGAGTATATCTTGGGGGTTTTATTGCCCATTTGTGCAGGCACTGAAGCCAATTTGAAACAATCTTCTGAACAGAATCCTGGCCCCCTGGCATAATTATATCCAAGCAGAGACAGCATGCATGCATTCATACTAGATTTCTTAGTTATCCCCCCAATATCAGGCAACTTTATTCCTAACTTGATTATCTCCTAGTAATACTGGGTCTATGTAGAAATGGCAAAATCAAAGTCATACTCAAGCATCACTATGAAGTGTAATCTGGAGCTGTGTAACATGTACATTTAGTCTTACAAATCTCGATTCAGGGACAGGTTTTTAGAACACTCAGACCAAACTGTCCCATGTTCTAAAATATGCAAGCTAGGTCAGTTGCCTACACATCTAAACTGCAACCATTTCTATCCTACCTGTTCCCACTATAAGGAATTATTTCTACTGCATCATATGGTGGTATAATGTCATCAGCATGTATGGAAAACACTTATGTATAGCTATAAGGAATGTCACATATCTACTGTGATGTGTTACCTAGGATATTATTCAGTATATCACAGGTAATTCTCATTATGAGAACTATAAAGAAAAATAAACACTACCAGTTGTGTCTCCCTCTGCCTTTTCTCAACCCTCTTCTCCTTATGAGTTTCTCAGGCTCAAAAAGGCAGGTGCTCACACTCCCAGCCTCTCTTGCAGGTTTGAATGGCCATGATGACCCAGTTCTGGCCAGTGTGACATAAACAGAAGTTGATGTAGGGGAATTCCAGGAAAGACCTTCCGCAATCCCATGAAAGCCATTAGAGCAGAAATTCTCTCCTGCCCTGTACTTCCTTCCCCACTTCCTACCTTTGATAGTTGGAATACTGGCAGGCATCTCACCACCAAGAGAAGACAAACTAAAGGATCAAAAGCAACGTACTGAAGATAGGAGAGCAAAAGATGAAAATAACTTGGATCGTTAGTGATCCTGAAGGGCCACCAAATAAACCTTTGGATGCTTACCTCTATACTTCCTATTGAGTGAGATACTCAAATATCTTCATTATGAAGTCACTATTAGTCATACATTGTTATTTATTTCTGATAGTATTCATAAGTGATACAGGATTCAGAAAGAAAATTTAATTGAAATTTATACAACGAATTTGGAATTTTCCTAAAGATTTGGGTTTGTGTGTGTTTTTTTTCCTTCTCATTGTATCATGAACACAAAAATAAATAATATTTTCTTTTTTGTGGTGGCTTCTGTAAAAGTTAAATCAAGTTTTTTATCTACTTGATATAAAGAGTTTTGTTACACATTTTATTTTGTTTTAGATTTGTTGTTGTTGTTGTTGTTGTTGTTTTGGTCTCATTCCTGACTTTATTTTCTTCTTCTTTGGCAAAAATTTCTCACTATTCCCAAAATTCCATAATTTTCTCATTTTTCTTATTCAGCAAAACACTTCTCTACTTCAAGTTTTATCACGGACCAGGACTGATCAACTAAATGCGAATAGATGTGTTCTATATCAGCTTCCCTAGAACACAAAGCCTGAATCAAGGATGAAAGGAAGATGCTTTTTGGCAAGGCATAAATTCAGAGGATCCAGGATGAGGACAAAGGCAAGTGAGCTATGCAAGATGTAAAATGATGTTTCAACAACACAAAGCTGATTGTTTGGCAGTTGCATCTATTTCATGCATAGAACTTCTCCAGATGGACTACCAAGAAACACTGTGCTTCAAAGAATTTGATAAGGACTATGAAAGGGTACGTATGATAAAGAAGAGAGAAACCGGGTTTCCTCCATTCTTCTATGTTGGTCCAAACTTACCCCCTGGAGAATTACCTGCACACCTAGATTGTATTTGACCCATTGGCAGGCACTCAGAGCCCCAACACCATGTGCTCTGGCATTCACCTAAGTTCAGATAGGATGACACAGCCAAACAATTTAGGTATGAAGCCTGGCTGATCAGTAGAGGCCAAGTAGAGAGCTTTCTGAGGGCAAAAGGCTGAATCTGCCCTAGGTGTCCAACTGCCAGACCTAACAGACAGGCAAAGTGAATCAAATAGCTGGAGGTCACAGAAGGGTCCAACACCCAGGGACTCCGAGGAGCTACAGAAGAGAGATGTATAATGTCTCAGCCACTTCCTTAAGGGGAAGCTGCTCGCTCCCCACACCGTAATTTGATCTTCCTACAGACTAAAATTTAAACATGGTGTGGTGCTGATCAAAGCAAAAAGAAAGAACAATGGCCTCACTGAGCAGAGCTGACCCTAGACTACCCACCTATCTCTGAACGATTACATTAGAGATAAATAATTTTCCATCTGGTGTGAGCAATTGTATAAATCAGTCTTTTAGTTTCAATGGCATCAGTTCTTTTTCTTTCTTTTTTTCTTTCACAGTATTTTAATGTATGCCATTTTCTAACATTCTATATATTCTTGTAAAAGTGCTTGACTTCTTTTTGGAAGAATATACTTTGTGCCATTTGTTTGCAACTCCAAATCCCTACCTACACCTTTCCACCTGCCTTCTTCCCCACTGGCAGATGACATTAATGGGCTCTTCCTTGCTTTCTGGCTTCGTTAGAATTAACAATGGGGATATCAGCAAGAAATCAGAGATGAGTAGAAAACAACATTACAGGATTTTTTCTGCTGGGATCCCCTGCCTCAACCTGGCTGTGTCTCTCCAATGAAGGTCACTGCTCCTCTCAAGACAGCCCTCTCAAGAAAATTTGCTCCTTCTGGGTCCTAGTAATCACTCTCTCTCTCCTCATTCCCCTGGGCCTAGAGGTGGTACCAGCTCCATGGTTACTAATCCAGTGTTACTGTACTATTTCTTGTGGTTTCTATCAAGCCCACACTTCTGTAATTGGTTCTTATGTAAATACATTTTCTTGGAATATTCTTAATTTATGCTTGACATCTGTTTTCTGTTGGGACCCTGATTGCAACAAAACAAAACATTGTGTAAGTACATAAAATTTCCAGATATCTCCCTCCCTATTCCTTCCCTTTACCATCACTGCATCTCTCATCTTTATTTGCCCTTAATGTATGTCAAGCTTTGTGGTTACTAGAAAAAGCAGCATCTAACAGAGAAGACAAACTTATGCTTTTCTGACTCTTCTCTGATTTTGTATAATTTTTCTCTTCCTCCCACATTTATTTAAAGAAGAGCCACATTCAACATCACCATAGGATCTGCAAGGGTAATGTTAGTTGGTTTCCATTACATTTCTTCATGAAAGATATTTTTCAAAAAATAATGAATGCCTATATACCAGATTTTAGTCTCTACTCTGCCTTAGCTTCTGTGTAATCCTTAAAGTTCTTTTAACCTCCTCAGGCCCCAGTTTACTTATTTGTAAAGTAAGGGAACTAAATAAAAAATACTTTCAAGTTTCTTTCAACCCAAAATATCTATAAATGTATTATTATAATTAGGTCCTGAATGATAAATTGATAGATTTAAAAGACCAGTGTTTTACACAGACTTTATAGACACAAGGTACATATGTGTGCAGGTGTATTGATATATTTTTGTTTATGAAGAAATGTGTAGGTGTGTAATACAATGTCTCTCTAATCTTGAAGTCATTATCCCAACAAACTAAGCACTCTAAAATATAGATTTTACCCAGAGAAAAGTATACAAGTGTCAAGTGTTGCAAAACCCCTGAATATCTTCCCACAGGAAGGGCATTCATTCAAAGACCATCATCAGCCTTTAATTTTCACCAAATTATACTTCTATTAATCATCCACAGACTATCTGATCTAGAGCCCAACGATTGCACAAAAGACATATAAACTTACCATACTAATTTGTAAATTAGGAGGAAAGCAAAATCAAATAAAAAATGACTCCCCCATTTTATTATTCATTCCATCAGTGAAAGTAGTGAGAAATGAAAACTGTCAGTTTTCAACTTGATATGGCACATATTAGACAATAGCCTGAGATTTAAATGAAAACTGCATATTTTGAAGTTATCAAACAAGATACTAACAAATTTCTGGTCTCTCTAAACACAACTGTACATAGTGTTAATCTCCATGTCCGTAGGCAAGACTATTTGTTTATCACTGTAAGTTTAGCATCTACTACATCAGCTGACTCACAGTAGGCATTCAGAATATATTTGTAAATTAACAAATGAATGGATGAAAGAATGTACTTCTCCCTCACAATTTAGACCATATGCAATACTGATCTGTCTAAAAACATTCTGGTAGTTTAAGTTCTAAGTCTTATAAAAATGAACATAAAATTAGTGATCTAATTTTCTAACGTAAACACTTAATTGTCCCACAAAATGTATATCCAGATGCAAGCAAGTAATTGCATATGCGAAACAATAATTTGCAAGTAAAATGACTCACTTGCATGTGTGAGGACATATTTTACAGGTGCAATTTAGGTGCAAATTTCTGAAATTTTGAACCCAGGCATTCAGCCCATCTAACAGTTTTACTGTGATGTGAAGAATAAAATAGAAAAGCTGTCTTGGTTCTGAAAGTGAGCACCTAGACTGCTATATCAAGCAGCTTAAGTCCTTAGGGTATTTGGGCAGGGGGAGTTAAAAATAATAACAAAGTTATTTCATTTGGGAATATAGTTCTTAACCCAAAAGTTACTGTAGGTTTAAATTTCAAATACATTTTCTCACCAGTTCATCCACTCTCACAGGGAATTGCCTGCAGGCAAAATCAAGAAGTAGAGGAAATTTGTCTCAGGTCTCAGGAACCCATCTGTTGTTCTTCTGTTTTCTTCTTCTTTTCCCAATATTAAGGTCATTCCTCCATATCCAAAATTTTCAATAGTTAGCTAGCGTGAGAAACCAATTCAAAGCCTTAGCACCTCATATTTCAATTATTTCTCACTCTCCTTACTAAGATCAAAATAAACTTGCTTACACATGTTAAAGAAATAATCTACTAAATCTGACATGAATAGTAGTTATTAGGTGAGCTTAGTAATAATACAGATTCCATGGCCCAGTAGAAATAATGATTCTGTAGGGCTATGATTGGGCCTAAGAATAAATATTTTAACAATTAGTCCAGGTAATTCTGATGTAGACTACCACATTTTGAGAAACATGCCTTTAAAGCTCCAGTTTTTACTTTCCAAGGTGACATGTAACTAAAAATAAGAGTTAAACTATTAAAAGTTAGTAATAGATGATAGGTTTCAGCATGAGAATTAAAAAGACCTGAGACTTAGCTGAAATCGTTGAGGCAGTCCAGCATAATGGGAGAAACTCGAATCATGAATTTAGTTGGACTTTGCTCTGAAAGTGTACTCCTCCCTTTGTGAACTATATGACAGTGGACAAGTTCCTGAACTTCTCTGAGCCTCAGTTTCCTTGAGAAAGGATTTAATTAAACCTTCGCTTCTAGGTTTGGGAGGATTGAATGGCAGTAAAGGAAAGAGCCCAGGAAGCTGAGAAGCACATGGAAGCAGATCTCTGTCTCTGGAGTTGTAAAGGAGCAGCTGAATATGTCCTGAGAGCCTGGCAGTGTCAGGAACTTGGACTCAGACTGAGAGGTTTTGCAGGGAGCCATGAAGGCAGTCTAGGTGGTGAGCTGCATTGACCAAACTCTCAGAATCAGACCTGTATAATAATATTTCAGTGGACATCAGCACTGATAGATGAAGTTACCAGGAATTAGGTTCAAATCCTAGCATTTTCTAAGACCCCTGAATGAAAATGCAAAGCATGAAATTAAAGAAGAAAAAGAGCCCCAATTTGATTAAGTGGTGTCAACTGATGAATGAAAAGGTTCATACATTTTTAAAGTGGAGCTTTATTTCTCATAAAGGATTGCAGCCTGCAGGGTGGCCATTCTGACAGGCTGGGAAACATAGCCTCCTTCCAGAAGCCAGAAACAGACATTTCGAGGGTGGGAAGAATAAGACAGAGATGTATGCGGAATGAGGTGGCTGACTATACATATTCAATAAGCTATAGGAGGAGTCATGAATATTTATGAAAGGAGAAACATGGGCAGGTGCAATTGAGTTCATGCCTCTCCATGGGACCCCATCTTCAAAAATGGCGGCATTAACATGATCTGAGAGTGAAGTTTTCAGCCCTCTGACATCAAAAGGTGAAGCAGAGGACACAAAAACCCTCACTGCTCGTTCTTCGAAGACTGGCCAGAACCACTTCGTGGTCAGTGGTTTCTTATGGAGAAGGAATGCTGATTGGTTGTGCAGAAACTGCAAAAGGGAGTGGCAGTAGTTAGGCAGTTGGGTGAAATCAGCAGTAAAATTTCTCCAAAGGGCTTGTTTCTGTTTACCCCTTAGGGAAGAAAGCCTAAGAGTGGTTAGCAAGGGAAAGGATATAATGGGACATGTACATCCTCACATCCTGTCATGGCCAGGGGCTCAGCTTCCAAGTTTTCTTTGGCATCCCCTTGGCAAAGAAATGGTCCATTCAGTTGGTTGGGGTCTTAGAATTTTATTTTTATTTCTTCATGGGTATAACTCAGTGAGCTATAGGGGATTCAAAGTAGAGAGAAATTATAATTCCTGAAAACTTAACAAAGTTTTATGTATTACCCACCTGATGAACACCTGAGCTGTTCCCCCTTTGTTTGTAATGTGCTGAACAGGATGTGCTTTACACAGAGTAATGTGTTCAAAAAGTGCTGACTTTCTCACTAGTGACCTAGGGCAAGCAGGTCAAGGAATAAAAGTGAAAAAAGAACTACGGTATCAGGCTGATCTTTCAATGCCCTGGCTGACAAGCTTGCATTAAAATAAATTATGTCATTAGGAAAAAGTAAAATGTATGATTGTGTGCTGCCTACTATGAAATTTTATAAAACATGGCCCCTGCCCTCTGAATATGAATAAGGAAGGCAGATAAGTCTAGACCTCATGGAAGCTAGCTATTGATCAAAACAGATTTCAAAGGCAAATGAGAGCTTGGAAGAAGTGACTTTTCAAAACTGGAGAACGACTAGTAGGAGACTGGCCTTGCGCAGCAGTTGATGGACCACTAACATACTTTACCTAAAGTCATCTGCCACCCACTATGAAGTAAAGCTGTGATGCAAAGCTACCATTTCCTGTCCTCTCCTAAATAGAAATAAAAGGAGATGATTTTTGAATGAATGTCCCACCTTATTAGTTGCCATCCAGTGAGCATCTACCATAAGCCTCGTCTGGCCCTGAACTAGAAACTTCATGCATCTTTCTTATTCTTTCAATGAGGCTGATGTTATTGTGCCCACTTTTTACAAAGAATCCAAGAATCAACTGAAGGAACTTGCCCAGTGCCACAGACTAAGCTGAGTTCCACTCAGCTCTATCTGACACCAAAGCCTATTAGGTGCCACTGTCTATGGCCTATGGTTTTCCATGAAGTCACTGAGCCTAAGTAAAGGTAAGAATCAAGCTCCATTCCTTCCTTTGTAGTTTCCACCTCTTTTCTTCTTCATTTATCCCAAAATAATCACACTACCATTTCTACAAAGTAATGCACCCTGGCATATCAGTTACATATCTGTTTTAAAAGAATAAAAAATTAATAAACAAAAAAAGAAAATATTAATTTCAATGCAATAGCAAATAGTTTTGTTATTGGTTGCTCTAAAATTTTCTGAAAAGTAGCCTGTGGAGAATATTCCCAATTTTACTCTCTTTAGCTTCGTTCTCTTCCAGCCTAAAATCCTCAAAAAAAAAGCTTATGTTGTATTTTTTTCCAAAAACATTTACTTTCTTACATGAAGAACACAATTTTGAATATTTGTCTCAAACTGTTGTAAATAGAAGCTTAAAAATAAAAACAGCATCTACTATACCCATAGCCTCTATAGTGTGGCACTTTCCTATAGAAAATGTGCTGAATTTCAGTCAAAACACATTTTTTTCCTTTTAGTATGTGACTTAAATTGATCTTTTCTCCTACTAGTTTTGCTGAGAGTGAGATTATAATCAAATGTTACATAGCAATAGTCAAATGTTACAGCACACCATGCCTTTCATCACTGTAGCCTATCCAAGTGTTTGTCCCGAGGTGAATCTGCCTTTTACTATTGAAAAATTGATGCCGGAGACAGTTACACATCTTGCCTGAGGCCATGCAAAGCCAACAGTAGAAATACGAAGTTAATCATGGAATCAAGTATCCCTTTTTCCCTTGTGTTTACTCTTAGATATCTCTACTCCAAAAACTTATATTTTTAAGAAAAAAATTTTTATTTAGTGCACATTTTCTAGTAAGTCCATTATTTGGTTGTAAACTTCTTGAGGGAAGGAGCAATTCTATTGATTCTTGGTATTTAGCAATGTACATCCAATGGAAATTTGTTATAATTACATAATTAATTATATGTCTTCCTTTCCTTATTTCAGAAAGTATTTAGAGGAGCTTTCCGGAGCATGTAAACTTAGGATATAAGCATATAAACTTAGGATATGCTCTTTCCAGAGCATATAAACATATACAATATAACAAATTAAAAGTGAAAGTGAAATATAATGTAAAATATTGTGTGAGATGTAGAAGCAAGATGAAAGGTAAAGCCTGGGGATGCGGCTAAAATGTGTTTACAATCTTGCAAAATGTTATACCGGCTACAAATGGCTCCCATATTTACTTCTAAACTTACTAATAGCAAGTAAGAAAAGGGGAATTAGATCAGTTATCCCATTCACAGAAACTGACTACTCAAAAAACCACCTACTGCCTAAGAGAAGGAATCTTCTTGATACAACAAGCAGATACATACCCTCCAATCTACTGTTACATATGTGTTAAGTAACTTGTAGTGATTGATTTTGTTTTGGTTTAGTTTGGCTGGTTGGTTGGTTGGTTTCCTACACATTTCTCTGCCTCTAGGAACTTGGCAACTTACTAATACATTTACTAGCTAGTAATACCCTAAGCTAAACAATGTCTCTTATTCATAAATTTGTTTAACAATATCAAATCATGTCCCTTGATGGCTGGTGAAATGCTAAAAATTGGCAGAGTGCCGTGATTACAGTCATTCCTAGGATTTGATCAATAAGAAACATTCTGATCTCTGTATTGTCTACCCATTTCTCTCTTGACCCATATAGGTTCTTAATCTTCTAGCCTTTCCTACAAAATCTGTTTCTGGAATTCCCCTGACACAGGTAGGCAGCAGCCAAGAGAGAAGGCAGTAGTGCCACCTGGTGCTCAAAGAGATCAGAGCTTGTACATACCTACTCTCCCACTTTCTGCTCCTCCCACCACTTCTAATAAGATTGCCTATAAACAGTACCCACCCCCTTCTTGGGCCTTCCACACTTAGCCCTCAGTATGCATTCTGCAATGCCTTCTCCCATTCATTCTCCCTCCCAGGCTGCCTTCGATGCTCATTTTATCAGTTTTCACTTGTAAACACATTGAATGGTGGGAGGAGAGTCACATGATGTGAGTAACCCCACAATCCTGGCTGGTACCAACTCCAGTGTTAAAATATAGATGTACCAAAGTAAAAATATTTATTGCATTTTTGGGCATTGAACATTGAAAGGATTCCAAATATCGAGGACCAGGGAGGAAATAAGCACAGATGCCGCCATTTGGTGGGTTGTTGTTGTTGTACATTTCAGAGACAAAATACAGTAAATGTTTTACAGACATAGTTGCATTACTATGCGTCCCCTGACATACTGTGCTTGTCACTTTATTATTTAGCATTTATGCGGTATTTTATCTGTCCTATATTATCTTTCACAAGCCTATCAAATAGACTATTTTTATTCCTATGCAGAACCTTGTCACAAATGACCAGACATGTTAAATTTCCCTCTCATCATACTGAAAGTTCCCAGTGAAAGCTGAAGGAAATTTCAATGCCTTGTCCTTTGCCTTCTATCAACTGATTCATGAAATGACCACTAAAGTCCTAATAATGTATGAGGAAAGGAAATAGATATAAAAATATAGGTCTGTATTCATGGAGCTTTCTACTCTGATGGCCTGGGGATTCCTGAGCATCAAACGAAAATTTGTATCACAATGTGAGTGTCCTAGCTAGGTTAATAGACTAGAATTAAGTTATGCACCATAGAGTATAATCATTTGTTGTGTTTGTACTAAACTCCTGAGTATGGCACAAGAGAGAGGGAGAGAAAACAGAAAGAAACAGTTTAAATGTGCAGCTAATTCCCCACACTGTTCCTTTCAGTGAGCATACACCCTACCGCATGCGTGTGACAGAAGATGGCGGTCAGTGGTTCTCAGCCTTAGCTCCTCATGCATGTACCTCTCAGTGTGGAGCACTGAGTACGTGTCTAGTTTTAAAGACACTATGTGTCTTTATTATATATAACCACGAAACATAAACTACACATAATCCAACTGCTTTACGTGTGCTTAATTCATGAAAGCGCAAACTGGTCCCAATATCTGAGGGAAGCATGCTCTATGTAGGACTCACGGAGCAATAGTATGTCAGTCTCAATGTGGCATCAATGTAGACTTAACATGTTCTATTTGATGGGCTATTTAAGGTATTTTCAAGGGTGATATAACTATTTGTGATTTCCACTTTATGCCTTAATTTCAGACCCTGACACCCAAGGAGATGTAACTCAAATGTTAAAGTTGATCTGGGGGAAGGAGGAAGGAGTGTGACTTCTTGCTTACATGTGTCAGGGAAGGTCTGACAAAGGAGATGGCCTTTAAGTTGAGTCTTAAAGAATGACTGGGATTTGTCTAGGCTAGTTGGGAGGACAGAGTACTCCAAGCAGAGGAAACAGCAATCTGCAGAGGCAGAACTCTCTAAGTGATGGCATTTTCTAAGTATTCTAAATAATTTGATATGGTCAAAGGTTAAGGTACATGAGATGCTGAAACTCTATTTTTTATTTATTGGGACATCAAAGATAATTGTTAAACAGAAAAGTAGCATGATAACTGTGTCCCAAAAAGGGGCCGTCTGATGTCTGTGTAAAGACAGCATTTGAAGTGACCAAAGAAGGAGCAGAGATAAGTTTGGAAATTATTGCCTAGGTTCATGTGAGAAACAATAACAGATTAAACTAAGACACTGGCAACAGCAGGGAGTGGAATGTACAGTTTTTAAAGAATATTGGAGTCAGAAATGACAGAATTTGGTGACAGATTGGATGCAGGAGATGGCATTTTTCCAAATTCAAAGATATCTAAAAAGTTGATTTAGTCAAGCCATGAAGAAGTAAAGCAGCTACATATTTATAAATTTGCTCCAACTCATGAGAGGGGTGTGGGAGTTAGAAATGTACCCAAAAGCAAATCACCAATTAAGGATCCTAGGGAGAATAACCTTCATTGATTTTACAGAGAACCTTTCCCAGAAACAGCCATACCAAAATTGCTTCTCCATTAATTATAAAACAATAATTCTTAAAAGCCTTGCCTATGATATCAGTCAAGGTCCAAAATACAAAATTATATATGAGAAACCATACCATATTTTGGAATTTAATGTATGGAAAAACGGTCTCTACTAAGAAAATTGTCTTAATAAAAGACTGCATAAAAGATATATCTCTCTTTTTTCCTAGGCTTACTAGGAAGCTCAAAATTAAATTTAAAATCAGTCTTAGGGCCATGTGTGGTGGCTCGCACCCGTAATCCCAGCAGTTTGGCAGGCCAAAGCAGGAGGATCGTTTGAGCCCAGGAGTTTGAGACCGGCCCTAGCAATATAGCGAGACCCTGTCTCTGAAAAAAATTTTAAAAACTAGCTGGGCCTGGTGGTATGCACCTGTAGTCCTGGCTATTCAGAAGGCTCAGGTGGGAGGATCATGAGCCAAGGGGCCAAGGTTGCAATGAGCTATGATTGTGCCATTGTACAATCTGCCCAGGCAACAGAGCAAGACCCTGTCTCTAAATAAATAAATAGATAATAAAATCAGTCTTGATGAGATGGTTAATTATATGTGTCAATTTGATTAGGCCATGGTAGCCAGATACTGGATCAAACATTATTCTAGACGTTTCTGTGAAGATTTTTTTAGGTGCAGTGAACATTTAAAGCAGTAAACTTTGAATAAATAAAACAAATGAAACAAATTATTCTCCACAATGTGGGTTGGCTTCATCCAATCAGTGAAATACCTTAATATAAAAAGACTGATCTTTCTCAAGAAAAAGAGAATTCTGCCAGCAGGCTGCATTTGAATCTGAATTGTGAGTCTGGGTCCCCAGCCTCCCAACTACCCTGCAGATATGTGTATTAAGAAATATATATATATACCGAGAGAGCAACATATATATAGAAACATATGTATACAGCATATATGTACAAATATATCTATTTAGCAGATATATAAATATATATACAGCAGATATATATAAATATAAATATCTACTATTGGTTCTGTTTCTCTGGAGAACCATGGCTAATAGACTCAGCAATTATACTGGTCCTGACAATTTCTTTTCCTTCTTTTGCAAAATCTTAATTTTTTGTTTGTTTTTATGCTTGTTATATATATCTTATTGTAAATACATCATGTTTGGGGGATGTCTTTCAAAATTAGAAAATGTGTTTTGAAATTTAAACACACTAAAATCAGACAGACTCTGCTACGTACTTTTATTTTTCACGTCAATTCTTAAACAACACTGTATGATAAATGATATAGTCCTTCAATAAAGAGGAGAAAATTGAGCCTTAGGAAATTTACATGACATTTTTAACTTCCAAACCCTGCAGATAACAGAGCTGTGATGGAACTCGAGATCTAAGTGATTCTAAGTGACCCCCCAACACACAATGAAGCCTCTGCAAAGAAAAGCTTAAATTAAAATAGAACACAAACTCTGAAGGCCTTTGCTAGACTTATTTTAAGCGTAACCTCTTGTGATTCAATTTACCTTTTTGCTTGGAAATGACAACTTCTAAATGAAGTATTCTTTCTTACAAAGGACAGGAATCCATCACACAACAAGTTAGGCCAAAAGAAGACAGTGGCTCTTTCTTGAATCCTCAGGATCGAAATCAAAGTTTCTGGGCCTCAGAAACTACAGGAAGCAGAAACTCAAATACTTCCCAGTCTTTTCCCCACACCCATATCTTTTTCCCCTCCTCTAAAAGTGGACTTACTTCTTCTCTCCCTCTTCAGACAAGGTTGCTGGGTTTCCTGGGCTACATGGCTGAAAATAGCCAATGACAAGAGCACCTGGGTTTATATTCCATGAGTTTCAAGAGACAGGTAAAATATATATATTTTTTTTCTGAAATCAACTTTCAAGGAAAGACATTGATTAGTCCAAGTTGGATCAGGTATCTACACCTAGTAAAATTAGTGGAATCAGAGGCTTTGGGTATGGAGTAGATAGCATGTGTCATGTGATGAGCAGAATTACCAAAAGTGATCCTGAGAGCTCCTTTATAATTGCCTGAACAATGAACCGGCTAGGCCCAGAGTTGGGGGAGGGCAGGACAATGGGGAGAAAGGTGAAAGGAAGATTCCCCCTTTCTTCTCTCAGTAGGGGCTGCTGCACTCCCTTCTCTCTATAGGAGGTAACTCCCATTATCTCTCAAGTTCCCAAGTGTTGGATAGTTGGAATTACTAAATTCCTGATGTGAAGGGCTGGCGCTCAAATCCACATTGTCTAGTACCAAAGTACACTGGTTATCCTCCACTGATGGTTGCCCTCATGATTTCTCTATAAGAGGAACACGCCCAGGAGCATGAAGTTCCCCTAATGGGACACAGATAACTCCACATTGCCTGTCCAGTAGGGTATCCTGGCCCTGGGAAGTCTCTCTGTGGGAAAAAGAGTGGAAAAAGTCTAGACCGTCTCAGCTAATCCTGTCCTTGTAACTTTCTTTTTTGCTTTATAAAGCCTATTCCTTAAACCAGTGATTCTGATCCCCTGGTGTGATTCCTAGACCAGAAGCATTAGCACTAGCAGGGAATTTGTTAGATTAGCAAATACATGGACCTGACTCCACACCAACTCAAATCAGAAACTCTGGGAGTGGAGCGTGGAAATCTACTTTACCAAGCACTCTGTGTGATTCTGATGTTTGCTAAAATCTGAGAACCACTAAATTCATGCCATGTGACATTGTGGAATTAGTCCTGACCCCTTGAACAATAGCACAGTTTTCCCAAATGGGTCAGGTGCTCAACCCAAGATCAATCAATGTTCAAGTAAAAAGGTTGTGTTGTATTAACATGGTGGCTGCCACTGAAACCATATAAATGTAATCTCATCCTCAATCTTACTCCTTTTCTCTACTGGAGGGAGGTGAGAGAAATGTGAACTTAGAGTGGTCTTGTGTACCAACAACTTCTGTGGTTCTCATCATATTCTGAGCCACTGTGTTGACATCAAACAGCTCCAAAATAAATTTCTGTGTCCAACATCCTAACCAGAGATACCCCTCACAAACACACCACAATTCATATTGTCTTAGACATAAATAAATGCTCTAACACAAAAATGTCTATACAATTACCTGCCATTACATTTTGTAGTGCTTATGTCCTACCCATGATTTCTTGCACCAGCAACTGCTGAGGAAATCAAGATTGATCTTCTAGGACTGAACATCCTCCACTACTTTAAGTTAAAAATATCAGCTTGTTACCTTTTTTCATTATTCTTAATATCTTTTAACCTTATTCTTATCCTTATGTCCTTTATTCCCTATTCCCATTCCACAGCCAAATCTCTTCTAGGGAATTAAAACTATTAGCCAACATACTAGGTTAGAGGAGGTTTGGGATGGAAATTGATACCCAAATCTTAGCACTCTTTCTCTTCAAAAATCTGCGACTATACATAAAAAGCTTAGAAAGATGAAGCGCAGCATTTATTTTATTGCTCAAAGTGCAGAACTCTCTGGTAAACTGGACTGGAAAACCAGGCACAGATCTGAGGCTAAATACTAGCTTCCACATGAATGGAGGCTGGCCAAGTTCATAGAGCAAATCTCAAACTGAACAGCTTAACCAAAGGCCTAGCAGGATTAACAGAAGGCTAGGCTTGATCTCTTAAACTTGAGCATGCATTAGAATCTCCTGAAGGACTTATTAAAACACAGATTTCTGGGACCTACCCACACAGTGTCTGATTCACTCCCTCTGGGGTAGGGCCCAAGCATTCACATTTGTAAAAGTTCCCAGGTGATGCAGCTGTTGCTTCTAAGAACCCCGCTTTGAGAGGTAATGAGCTATGTGGTTTACAGCGTACTTACAGGGAGCAAAGAAGAAAGCTCACTGAATTGAGTGCAGAAAGTTCCAAAAATAAGTTAGAGTCAAGCCAAAAAGGAATGTGCTATGATTTGGGGACACTGAGGGAAACCAGGATATGTTACCCCAAAACATGCCTCTTTGACACAAAAATTATTTGGGGCTGAAGCAATTAAGAAGCAAAAAATTCAAGAAAAGCTCTCTCTACCACCCTATTTTCTGCCTAAAGGAGGGATATAACTTCTTCTTTAGTGGGGATGACACTAGACTCTTTACCCAGGGACAGCGCCAGAGGAGTTCCAAAACAAACCTTCCTCCATGCTTTCCTCCCATATATTTACTTACCCACAGCTCCCCACTCTTGGAAACCTAAAAACCATTTTCCTTTGTTTTGTCATTTTTCTGCAAATGTGTTGTTCTTTGTTGTAGTTGCTACAAAAACCAGAGTTCTAAGCCACCACTTTGAGTTACTTTTCCCTGAGCATTCTCCTGTGTGATGTGTTCTACGTGCATTAATAAACTCTTTTTCTCGTGTTACTCTTTTTGTTAAAAAGCCCCTGCTAAAACCTCTAAAACAGGTAGAGGTTACATTTTGCCTTCCCTCCAAAACCTAAAAGTAATTTGGATTATGCATGAAATACAAGTGAGTCAGAGAGGAAAGGAAGTTAGAAGAGAAAAAGCATGAAAGAGTCTACTTTCTTTTGGCTAAAGTTGAAACATGGGAAGAAAAAGAGAAGGGTTTCTTCAATCTTTCAACAATTTTAGTCCCTGTTATTCTCCTGGACCTGAAAGTCTACATTCCCTTTCCACATTTCCCTCTCCCCATGACGTCTGCTTCTCAAACTTCCCCTTTGGATCTTCTCCTACACCTCAAACACCTCCCCAGTATCCAGTCTTTTCAAGGCCTACTGTGATCTAACCACTTTCATCAGACTTTAGGCAGCAGAAGTCCCTATTTGCTTCAAAGTATTTGTAAAATAAATTTACATCTGCTATGTGTAATTGAAAAAAAAACACAATTTAGAGCAAAAACAGCTGACTTTTTATATTCCAGCTTTCCAGGAGGAACACTTAAATTCATAGCAGGGAAAAAGACAAAGTTATTGTGACCACTTTTCTCTTACATAGGTGGTGTAGGAGGAGGTCACACCTAAGACTAGGATCTCATGAAAGAAAAGAGACAGTCATTACAAAGATCGGGCAAGTGTTACATGTGATTAAAACACCTACATTTGAAGTGCAGAACCTTTGTTTAGTCAAGTAATGTTATGAGGTTTTAAATAAGCAAACATAGAACTGGGTGAAATGTAAGGAAAGGGAGGAAGGAGTTGAACTTCATGAAGAGGCATGAAAACTTAAACATGGAGGTTAAGAAAGAAGAGCTATGAATAGGTAAGAAGGAAGAGGAGAAAATGAGAGGAGAGGATCTTAGAAACCTGGAACACAGAGCAGTCCATTGGGGGACTGGGGACCTTTTTGGTAGAGGGAGGTCTAATATTCAATATGAAGCTACTGGTTCTTCTGGGATATAACCTCCCTGTATTTCTTCCAAGCCTCATGAAAAAATTTGATGCAACTGCTTCGTTTATGATACAATGGAAAAAGAAAAGTTCTGCCTTACCACATGGCAGCAACTGACTAGCACTTAGTAGCAACTAAGCCAACCCCATCCTGCCTTTAGATGGTACCTATCCTGATAGTTTCCACTGCCCCATCTCTATGTGGATTGGCACAGGGCTAATAGGAGCAACAGCCACTGGGTACAATACTTGAGTCACAGAGCAAAAAAGGGTACTGAGGAAATAAGCCCTGATGATTGGTGGGGATTCAGGGGAAGGCACTGTATTCCCAGCGGAAAGGGAAATAGTAGTAAAGGGTCCCACAAGAACGAAGAAATCGGGAAAACATGGGCAGCTGATCCTTGAGTTGTACTAATTCTAATTGGTTGCCCTTGAATCTTCAGTCTTCATTCCTGAAGCACTGTGCAGATTTAGAGAATCTATTTGAACTTTCTTGTTCCCATTCTATCTTTACATAGTTTACTTGGAAGCTTTGACTGGGGAAACATCCAAAGCCTTGTGTTATTTCTTCTTGCAGATCTTGTTGGGACAGGTCATTCTTGTTCCTATGCAGTTATGCATATGCAAAGGTTAGTGTATCAGGTGAATTTGCAGCATAAATTAATTGTAAATCCTACTCGTTCATTAAGTTTGACCTAATCCTCCAACCTTTTAATGTTTCCACCTCCCATATACCCAGTTCTGTGATTGGCCTATGGATGGCATGTCTACTTAATATCAAAAATAGAGTTCAAAGATCAAACTAGATTATCTGTCTATGCTCAAACCAGGTGGATCTTGTTTAGTCAGCCCACAGAGTTTGTAAAAAACAAATAAGCCAACATGTATATATCAAAAGACTAATGTAAAAATTCTGATTTCCTGTTTCTTTAGAAAGATCAGATCTGGCAAACTTTCAATGGAGCATACACTGCTCGTTTGCCTCAACTGACCCACCTTGCGTCTTTATGTTACCTGCCCGGCAAGCCATTTGAGTTTTGTGCACTGAGCCGATGTCTGTTCAAACAATTCTCATTATGGAAAATGGTGTATCTCAAAAGGCAGCCAAAACTATTACCAGAGTGTTCAATTGTTAGAAAGTTTATCCTCGTACTGAATAAAACTCTATTTCCATGAAACTTAAATTGAATTTACCAAATGTCCACCTTCTGGTCTTGGATTTACCTCCCGAATCTAAATGGCATTGCTTTAATTACTAACAGATAGTCATCAGTTCCCCCAAGACTTCTCCAATCCAGGCTAAACATCCTAATTATTTTAACCTTTCCACTCATGCCAGTGGTTCTTAACCTTTTCTCCTTTCTGATCACTTTCCTCTGGATATTATCTAGACATTAATAACAAAAAAGAATTGCCACCATCTTCTTTGTCATTATGAAATTAATATTCATATTAAACTATATTGAAAAGTCATCACTTTCTCTTTTTATATTAATATACTTCTTTTATTATTTTGATACATTTGACTATTACTTGATGCCCTGCCAGAGTAATGTAGATATGCCTCAAAAATTATGACTGTCAGGGACAGAAGCATATTATATCCATTCTGTTCATTCTGCATCCATAATGGATTCATCATAATGTGCTGAGTGTAATATATAAATAATTAAGTAAGTAAGCACTATTTGTATACTCTTATTTGAAATGGGTTAAGTTGACAGAGCTAACAATTGACACGAGTAAATTAAGATAACATAAGGAGGATTGTGTGTGCATGCATACATGTGTGTGTGTTTGTGTGTAAGTGGAAAAGCATCTTTACCTACCTTTTCCTGTAATTTTTATAGACATATAGAAAAATTAAATGTTAGAGCTTTACATGAGCTTAGATGAATTAGGAAAATGACAGCTTGAAAGTATGAGTGACCTTCCCATGGTCACAGAGGTAATTACTGACAGAAGCAGACCTAGAATCCAGGTTTCTTGGCTCCTGTTGCCTCTTTCCAACCTACAAATATTTGTTTCTAATATCCTTCTAGTAGTTTCTCAAGGTAAACATATATTGAATGCACCTTTCAGCATTTTACAGGTTCAGAGACTTAAAATCTGAAAGAAATTAAATTGAACCTCTGAAGAATTAGCTGCATACCTGTAAGGATTTAAATCAAAATCTAAAAAATCATCCTCATCCATCCAATGTTCAAAAGCTCAAGAAAGTAGATGCCACTTTGCTGTTAGAGAGTTGAGGTATGGGTGAAATTTTAAATTTACGGTAATAATTTTTGTTGACTACTGCCCCAATATGTGTATATTAAGCTTAATTCACTGTATCTCATGTGTCAGAAGGTCAAGACTTTGCCTACAGATTAGTGAGTTTTAACTTCTTTTGAAATTTTCTGTTTTTTTTTAAAATCCTACATAGAATTGCCTAACTTCTACCTAACTAAGGAAGTCATTGTCCAACTGGTGCATCTGAAATGAACATAAATCTTTATTTAAAGCATCTGTGCTAAAGTGGAACATGATGGAGACTTATAGATACCTGGATGAAGAAAACTTCAAGTGATCAATTAAAATATACTTTGAGGTATACAATTACAAGGCAACACCAAGGAAAAGTAAACTGAATTCCTTAAAAAAACTGATCTTTCAGCTATATATCAGCACCTGAAGTCAAAATAAGATCAATCACTACTACACTAAATTACTGCATATAGCTTAAGGGCTACAACAGAGACTACAGAGGTTTTCCATCAACAAGTTGAAAGGCATGATGGGTAGAAGTCAGTGCAATGGCCTCTGTGAGTTACAATAAGGATACCAGTACAGCATTTGATAGACACTGGACATTTCACCAGGAGCTGGCACTGACTAACAAAATCCCAAAATCTGAAGAATATTTCTTTGCTCCTAAAAATATAAATTATGTTGGTAGGAATATTACTTTGCTTACCTGATTTTCTCATCAAAACTATCCATCCTGCTAATCTTGAAATGAAGCCTGATTTAAAGTGAGAATCATTCTTGATTCAAGGTTAATTCCACTGTCATATTTACATTTTTGATGATACATTTTCAAATCTTGATTTAGACTGAATTAATAATATATCAAGATATTTGCTTAAAAGCAACCATTGCACAATCAACAGAGTAAAAATGCAGCCCAAAGAATGGGAGAAAATATCTGCAAATTATATATCTTATAAGGAGTTCATATCCAGAATATATAAAGAATGTCTACAATTTAATACAAAACAATCAGATTTTAAAATGGGCAAAGAACTTGAATAGAAATTTCTCCAAAGAAGATAAACAAATGGACAATAAGCACATGAAAATATGCTGAACATCACTAAGCACTAGAGACTTGCAAGTCGAAACCACAAGATATACTTCATACCCATTAGGAGGGCTACTGTTAAAAAGAAAAAACAGAAAGTAGCAAGTGTTGGTAAAGATGTGGCAAAACTAGAACCTTACATACTGTTGGTGGGAAAGTAAAAATATTACAGCCACTATGGAAAAAATATGTTGATTCCTCAAAAAATTAAAAACATAATCACCATATGATCCAGCAATTCCGTTTCTTAATATATACCCAAAGAATTTGAAATCAGGTTGTCAAAGAGATGTTTATATACCCATGTTCATGGCAGCATTATTCACAATACCAAAAGGTACAAGCAATGCACATGTTCATTAACGGATGAATGGATAAACAAAACGTGGCATATAAATACAATGAAATGTTATCCAGCCTTAAAAAGGAAGGAAATTCTGACACATGCTACAATGTGGATAAACCTTGAGGACATCATGCTAACTGAAACCAGTCACCAAAAGATAAAAATTGTATGATTCCACTTATATGAGATACTTAGAGTAGTCAAATGTATAGAGACAGAAAATAGAAGTGTTATTGCCAGGGGTCAGAGGGAAGGGATAATGAGAATTGTTGTTTAATGCCTATAAAGTTTCAGTTTTGCAAAATGAAAAGAGTTCTGGAGATTGGTTGCACAACAATGTGAATATACTTAATACTATTGAACTGCACACAAAAATAGTTAAGATGATAAATTTTATACTGTGTGTATTTTACCACAATTTTTTAAAAAGCAATTATTAGGTTCACTAAAGGCAGAAAAAATGTTTATTATTATTGCCTGTTAACGGTAATGATAGTTACCATGAATTGAGCCCTCATTCCTCAGGCTCAATTACATGCATTCTCTCACTGAATTCTCAAAAAAAAAAAAAAAAAAAAAAAAAAAAAAAAAGGCCAATAGCAGAAGCATCATTACTGTTCTCTGTTTACAGATGAGGAAACTGAAAATTAGAAATTAAATAATCTCGTCACGTCTGACTCTGAGAGACATTGCAGTTAAAAAAAGAAAAATACCCTAAAACTTAGTGGAGTAACATGAATCTATAGGTCAGAAAATTGAATAGGCTTTAGAGGGATGGCTTATCTCTGCATCAGTATGTCTAGTAATTAACCTAGAAATACTTAAATGACTAAAGCTATAATCATCTAGAGACTTCTTCACTCACATGTTTGGTATCTGATACGGAGAGAGGCACTCAAAGACTGGGCTCAGCAGGGACCGACAATTGGAATGACCACATGTAGCCTTTTCACATAGCTTGACCTTCCTCAAATCATGGCTTCCTCAGGATAGTCAGACTTACAGCATAGTAGCTAAGGACTCCAAGAGTAAGTATTCCAGCAAATAAGACAAAAGCTGTCTAATCTTTTATGACCTAGCCTTTGCAGTCACATAATGTCATTTTTGCCATTCTTTATTGGCCAAAATTCACAAGCCTACCTAGATTCACTGACAGAAGACCTAGAACCTATGTCTTGATGGCATAAGTGGAATCAAAATGTTTGTGGTCATGTTGTAAAATCATCACAGACTCCAAAGCCCTTATTACAGGACAGCGTGTGATGTTTAGTCCTAGGGCTTCATAGGTTGTTATCAGTGGAGGAAGTGAGAAAGAATGGGTAGTTGACACATACTTTTACTCTAACAAAGCAGAGTTTAAAAGTGAAATCATATATAACTCAAAGACATTTTCACTTGAACCACAATGCCAACCTAAGAATATTTTAAAACAGTGAATTCATACTAAAGCAAAAAATGTTTACATAATTTTGTTCTTAATGATAAATGCACTTAAAATAGAGGGAAATCCACAGCAGAGACTGGCGCTGTATTGTTGGCATCTGAGTAACAAAAGGACGAAAAGATGATGGATGGCCATATGTATATTAGCAAGCACAAAACATCGTTAATAGCCACTTGCCTGCTTTGAAGGACGACACTGGACTTACACCAAAGTCTTGACAAGGAGGAGAGCAGCAGTGCAGGAGCAAGCAGAACCCTCGGGGTTTAGACTGGGCTAGGAGGGTTATAAATAGAGATGCCCCAGGCCCCTCAGCAGGCAAAAGTACACCCATCAATAAAACTAAAAATGAGGAGAAGAAACAGTCTGAAAATCCCAGGGGGAAAAAAACAGAAGCCTAGAATAAATGAAGAAAACTCTAAGTTATTCTTCCCCATGAAGAAAGTCATCAAAAGACTTCTTTTTCAGTCATAGAAAAGGGAGGTGTAGAGGACATTGTTTTCATGGCCTGCTGGTATTTTCTTTAGGACATTAAAAAATGTCTATGAAGCCACATAAATAAAACGAGCCTTTTTTTCACTATCAAAGGAATAATAACACAAAATTACAGAAGTTGTAATTAGTAACTGAACCCACTTTAAAATAACAATATAATAATTTTTAAAGCAGGATTAGTTTTTGTCAGTGAGAATGACTAGAAAAATAATTATGGCTTATTTTAAAAATTGTTAAATTCTAGATTATTTTATGGTTTATTTTCCTAGTGGATGTGCATTAACGTTTGTGCTAAGTTGAACTTGTCATATAAAGAAATCAATTTGTTTTTAAGAACTACTCTGTAATTCAGCCAAGCAATAGGAAGGAGAGAAATGTGAATTGATATACAAAAAATATTGCTTTATCCAGATTTTATTATCTAAAAATCTGTACTGAGTCACTTTAGTAATCCAAGTCACAGTTAACAAAAACAGTACAGTTGTTTAATATAATGCCTACAAAGTTCTAAAAGATATTAAGTGACTCCTGAGTCACCAAAGCAAAATGAGAAAGGTTAGCTGGTGAAAGGTTATGCGTGGGGGGTGAGGAGTGGGGGCATGAAATATCAGCCTAAGGCATTTAAGCTTTATTCAATGGGCAAAAGGGAGGCATTGGAAGTATTTGAACAAAATAGTGATATTACCAAACAAGACTTGTAGGAAAATTAATCTGGTGTTCAAAGGCAGTTTAGATTTTAATATGGAATGATTGAAAATCAGTGAGAAGTCAGAGTGAGGGGGAAAAGTCAGTACCTTAACTAGGCTTCGTGATCATGAAAGGGGAAGATGAGGGATAGGTAAGATTATGTGGGGATGTAGGGGACCAGCCATCCCAGTTTGCCTGAGACTGAGAAGCCAGGGGTGTAGGATGCTCAGTGCTTAAGCCAGGACAGTCCTAAGCAAATCAGGATGGTTGGTAACCCTAGTTGGATGCTAGGGGAAAAGAAAGAAGAAGCATTTTTTGATTACAGGGAGTCAGGACTGGGACAACCATTTGAAACTAATAGCTGACTTTTCAGGTTTAGGGCAGCAAATTGCTGTCCCAAGATTCCCTACCTGTGTGCTCAATTCAAGCTCCCAGTGGAAACAGTTTTCAACATTTTTGTGTGACTGAAAATGGTTGGTCATCTTGGTGGAACTGACAGAGAAGAGCTGTAGGAAAGGCAGATGGCCTGACTAATGAATGTGTCTATTAATTCTTACTCCAAACTATGCTTCCAACTTTGTCTCCTACCACTTCCCTGCAAAATAGATACATTAGCCTTCCTGGATTACTCATTTTCCTCAATCGCTATCCCATCTGTATGTCTCTTTGCCCTTGCACACACTGCTCCTTCCATCAGAAATCTTACAAACCATTCACAGAGCCAAATTCTTCCTGTCCTTCCAACTCAACCCAAACACTACCACACTGATGATACTTTCACGTCCCATGTACTACAAATGGTTTGTATATTTTGTACATTCTCCAATTACAGCTTCTAACATATTGTATAAAAGTATCAATTATATTTTTTTCTCTGTGCTTCTTCAGGGCAGGCATTCTCATTTTAAATTCATCTTTTCATTTTCAGTGACTAGACAATTTTTGATTAAATACTTAAATGAAAATTAATTGTAGTTTTTTATTATGAAATTACATTAATCTAGTCTCCTTAGGAGAAACAATCTGAGCTTATAAAAAGCCTAAATTAATAAATATTTTCAAAGTAATGTTTTTAGGAAAACACTTCTCAGTATTCACAGTAATGAAACTAAGGCTCATAATTAATTAAAGAATGAGTACTCTAATATATCTGTTTTAATTAATAGAGTCATTAGATATAAGCACATCTGTTTCGTGTTAATAGATATTGCCAAAACGGGTTTAACATTTTGTGGAAATAGTTTATTTCATGTAAACTAATCATTTTCTTGGCTTTCAATTTATTATATATTTTATTGCATGAACAATATATCTTTTCCAGAGATGGTGCAAGAATAACTAGTGTACGCTTGAATAAGTCTGAATATTGAACCCACATAGTCCATTTGAATAAGTGTACTCTACCTGTCTCTATTTGTCATGACAGGTAAATACGCATGCCATTTTTCAGAACTAACTGCTACTTTTAAAAGCATTTCCCTTTCGAGTGCCTGTCTCTTTAGCATTGTTCTATTTCAAAACTCAGAACTGCCTTGTCCTTTTCTTTCCTCTTTCTCCTTCCTTCTATTCCTCATCTCATTCAGTTTCTTCTGCAATATGACTAAACTCTAGCAACACCCTCTTTTTGATTCTTTTATTCTCGTGACCTGAGCTGCTTTCATTCTTGCCTTTACCCCCTATACTCTGAAATAATGGTGATACTTTGAGTGTGCTACAAATATCCACTTTCCTCTGAACCCATCATGAGTATACTTTCCCATTTCACTTGAGCTTATCACTCACTTTAGAGTGAAGAATTAGCAGATGTGCTTGCATGGTTTGGCAGGCTTCTTGTGCCTGCCGATTCACACAAGAAGAGTTCATCCCAGGTAGATGCCGGTCCTTCCAACAGGGCACCAAATCAAAGACACATTGAACAGACTCAATGTACAGCCTGGAGCTGAGCCCAACTTACTTTGCCATCTAAAGCAGATGAGCCTACTCTAAATCAGATATACTGATGGACCTGCAGACCTCAGAACATGACAATAAATTCCCATTGTTGCCAATCACTGCATTTTGAGGTGGTTTGTTACATAGCATTATTGTGTAAAGAGCTGACTGATACAAAGTTCTTTCTAACACCACAGGTTTCTGACTCTAAAGTATTTTAAAAAAATTCTTATATTTATATTTCTCTCACATGACAAGACATGCAGATGTAATTAAAGGCTATAAAAGAGCTGATTGTGGTTATGATTGAGCACCTAATATATGCCAGGGATTATTTATATGTATTATTTTTAATCCATTCTTTTACTGGTAAGAAAATTGATTCAGAAAGTTTAGATAACTTTCTCAAGGTCATGTTACATGTTAGTGGCAAGTACTCAAACTAGGTCTGCCTGAATCCAGAATGTTGGATCTTCTTCCCTCTCACACTGTATATTATCATTATGCTCTAAATTAAAGTGACAGTCATCATAATAATTATTTCAGTCCCTAGAATTAATGTTGTTTTCAGATAGTTTCTGCTTATGATTGATATTTGATGGATAGCAAATGGTTAAAACTACCTTAATATAAAAGGATGAAAAGATTTAAAACATTTTAATTATGCACATAGCATATTAGACATTTTTAAATTTAAAATTTCAAGATATTATGAAAGTTGTCAGAACAGGTTTGGAAGATGATTTTTATTTGTGATATCACAAAGGTGCAGCGTGTTTAAAAATAAAGTAAACTTGTTGTTCTGGGCCTTTCCCATAACATGTCCAGTGATGGACAATTGTATTTGTGCACAGAACAACTTAGATTTGAGAAAGACTAAATAACTGTTATTTTATCATTATAAAGAAAAAATATGTCTGAAAAATATGACATACAAATGCTCCAAACAGCAACTTAGTGAAATTATAGTTGAAAGATATCAATTTGAAGTCATTTACTCTTTAATTTCTTTTAGTTCTTTTCACCATCCAAACAAAAACTTGTTTTGGGTGTTTGATTTTGTTTTGTTTTTCATTCAGGCATGTTTGATAAATATCGTGGCTTTATTATTACAGAGAGTATCTGTAGAAAAACAGAAGACAGTAATTTTTCTAATTCAAACAGCAGGCTATTGTCTGTCATGATCGGCCACAAAGTAGTTGTATACCAAAATATCACAAATACAATGACTCCAAGCAACAATCTGAAGAAAGGCTTAACAAGAATAAGTATAGCAATATTGTGATGGTCTTGCTTCAGCCCGTCTTGATCTGCCAAAAGGAAGATCTTAAACCGTCAGCATAACTAATATTCCACAAATTTGTTCACATGTGGCATGTCAAAACTTTAGGTAATTAAGATGTCAGAATTTAGATAGTTTGGATGAAATTTGAGATAAAAGTAAAAAATCAAAGTTAGCGGTGTAGTTATGAATTAGGCTTGATGTTGAAAGCAACTCAAATTTGCTGCGAGCTTAGGGAATGCTAGGGCATACACATGAAAAATGAGCTTACTACTAGGCAATTGCTTGCCATGGTAACAAGCCCCAAATTTTTAGTATCTTAACTCGGTAAGAGTTTGTTTCTCCATTACAGTTCAGTGTAAGTGATTGTAGTGGTAAGGGACTTGTGCTACTGTCTCTACATCCCTCAGTGGAGTCCTCAGAAAAAGAGCATGAAGCAAACACACTCCCTTCTTTACCACTCTTACCCTGAAGCGGCATCATCATTTCCACTCACATTCTATCATGAGAAATAGTCACGTGTCCTTACCAAGTTGCAAAGGAAGATGAGAAATGTAGTCCCCAGCAGGTAGCCACATGCCAGTGATAAAACTGTATTATGAAAAAGCAACACAAAATTTGGTAGAGAGTTTGCTATATTTCTTCAGAAAATAGTTACTAAATTTCATGATGTGTATTCCATTACAGTAGGCACTATGAAGTTATAAATATATTTTCCCCTCAAGTAGCTTATAAAATAAACGGGGAAACAAAAGAGATTAATGGCATATGCTTATAAGCATTTATAGAGCCAGTTCTCGTTACTCAGAGGATCATTGTGGATTTATACAGCCAGGTTAACTTAGAGGACCATTTTGGATTTATAGATTTGTTGTTTTGTCTCTTTTCCTTTCAACCACATTTTTAAAAACATTCTCTTCTGCTTGAAAAGTATACGATGTTCACACACACACAGACACACACAAAAAATCATGCAGTCAGGAAAACTGTAAAATTCAAATCAATCACTTGTTATTTGTCCTCAGTCCTCATAAAACACTTGGTTGAGAAAAACAGATGTTGATTTATTGGAACCTCTCAAATAGTCATGTTCGCGCTGCCCTTACCACAACAAATATTCAAGGTTTGATGGAGTAATAGGAGACACTTTCATAGGCATAGCAGTGAAGGGAAAACATGTTTGAGATACAGACAAGAGTTAGCACAAGTCATAATAGCACCTATCATTGATTGTGTATCCATTAGAGTCAAGGCGCTGTATTTGTGCTAAACCATATGTATATGTGTTTCATTCTAATGCAGCTTATAAAGTAGATTTTATTATTTGCATTTTGGGCAAGCATTAGAAAGAAGAAATAACATGACTAATTGTATTTTCAACTAAGTGTTTATGTGTTATTAATTGAAGAAAAGAATATCCCTTTTAGATTATCATCAGGCATTTAGATCAAGATTTTTTGATGTCCTATTTGTTTGCTTGTTTTATAAATGTTTTATTGGTACTGTACGGAAAGGAATGTATGAGTACTGTCTTAATTATGAAAGATTATGGAATCTAAGAAAATTGTAAAGAACATATGCAAAGGAGGAAGACAAAGACTTTTGCTCAAGAATTAGAGCCAGGTGCAATGGCTCACACCTGTAATCTAAGTGTTTCAGGAGACTGAGGTGGGAAGATCCCTTGAGCCCAGGAGTTGGAAACTAGCCTGAGAGACATCGGGAGCTTCGTCTATACAAATAACAATGATAATAATAAGAAATTAGTGGGGTATGGTGGTGCACACCTGTGGTCTCATTTACTCAGGAGGCTGAGGAATGAGTACCGCCATGAGCCCAGGAGGTCAAGGCTTCAGTGAGCCATGATTGGGCCATTGCACTCCAGTCGGGCAACAGAGTGAGACACTGTATCAAAAAAATAAAAAAAAAAAAAATAGAAAAAGCATTTTTTAAATGTTCCTATGAAGGTTAACATATTAGCTTAAAAGCATTGCGTCATATTATAGCAGACCTTTTCCTGAAAGCAGGTTTCGGTATTATGGAAAGGGCCATGTAGAGGAAGAAAATAAATTGTAGAGGTAAGCTTCAGATCACAGAGAACATGCTTAGCCTACTTCATAATTTGTCCAGGGTCAACCATGAGCACAGAAACAACAAAATTAAAGTGGCTAGATCACATATATTATTAACTCAAATATATAGGAAATGCAAATAGCACTCAAAGACAAATACGTAACTTGGGTGAGAAGTAAATTATATAGATCGACATTTTGGAAGTTTAGTTTGGGTGAGGTCCAGGAACCATTGATTTTATCTGGCAAAACCAGGGAGTAGTTTCTGGACTAAGTGACAGGGAAACTTTCCAGGTTAGGATTAAAAGGAACTTCTGAGTTTTCTTGCTGCATAAAATGGTTGTCCAAATAAAACGGAAGTTCATTCATCTATATACCAAACATTTATAAAGTTCCAATCTCTTCCAGGCACCTCCTTAAGCACAAGCACAGGGATAGCAAATACTTAGTCTTAGAGCTATTCTTTCTTCCTATGCCCATGGCAGACATTGCTAATCAAACACGGTTATCTTTTCCACTTGTGTCAGACAGTCTCAGATTGCTTTTCAATACATCACTGCAGGCATTTACTAACAATCTAGTTGCAGTTGACACAGAGATGAAACTTATTTGCTACTCCAGCATCAGGCAAACAAAAATGGCATAGACATGATCTTATCGCTCAACAAGCACATATTTTAGTATTAAAGGAGGAAGAGATTAGGACAGCTTTGGAGATAGTTGGCTCAATAGCTGTAGCTCAAAACTGCAGAATCAAGTGTACTTTGAAAACACTGAAACCAAAGGAAAAAGAAACTATGAGAACGCTAAGTTTCATATGAATATTTCCACCTGTGCACCCAAAATTGAACTATAGACCTATTAGTTATGGCTAAAGTTTTCTTTAAATCTAACAAAAGCAACTAAAAATTGTAATTGTAACTAAACTAAATTTTTTTTTTTTTTTGAGACAGAGTTTTGCTCTTGTTGCCCAGGCTGGAGTGCGATGGCACTATCTCGGCTCACCGAAACTTCCGCCTCCTGGGTTCAAGCAATTCTCCTGCCTCAGCTTCCCAAGTAGCTGGGATTATAGACATGCGCCACCGCACCCGGCTAATTTTTTGTGTTTTTAGTAGAGATGGGGTTTCTCCATGTTTGTCAGGCTGGTCTCAAACTCCCGACCTCAGGTGATCTGCCCGCCTCCCAAAATGCTGGGATTACAGGCATGAGCCACCACGCCCGGCCAACTACACAAAATATTAAATAGTGGCTGTTTTAGTTTAGAGATTATTAAGGAGCTAGCACTCTAACATATAAGTGTACTGTTGTTCTCAGCTGAAATGTAAAGGTTAATGAAACAGGTCTTGTTGGTAGAGGATTTGGGGTCAGTTACTTTGGATCAAAGGAGGAAAAATTTTTTTTTTTTTTTTTTGGAGTATGAAAAGAAAACCTTTAATAATTTCTAAACCTTCACTATTGACATCGGAGAGCAAAATATTTCTAAGGCAACCAGCAATAGGGAATATAAAAACCAAAAATCATGAAGGTGGATTTTAAAAATAATATCTTATCAACAGATAATTATTTTTCTTCTGTTCTCTTTTCTTTCCAAAATAAAATCTCTGTGAAAACCCAACACAACCCTTACCTACATCTATCAGATTTTACCTTGCTCAATACTCCCTCCAAGTCTTTTCTTTCATGTATTTGCATTCTCTTAAATGTGAATAATATTGAAAGTTTTCACATACATTGTGGTTTTTAAGATAAGTTGATTGTTAAATCAGTTTGTTTTTAATTTACTAAAATCTATTCATTCATCATCTATCCTATGAAATGGTGTAGGAGAATATTCCTTGAAATCAGAGAGATTAACATTTAAGAAAAAGAAAATAAAATTATAGTAATATTTTAATATCTCTTTTCCAAGGCCTAGACTTAACATTTGAATGAAAATTTTAAATACTTACTCTGTTGTGCTCCCAGCATAACCAATAATATCTATGAGTAAAATTTTAAAATATTACTTTCATTTAATTACAGTTGAAATAAAATAATGGCAAATAAAAACATCATCCTTGGGTACTAATGTTGTTTGCTTTTATGTTCATCATTTTAAAAAGTAAACACTCATTTGAAACTTAGAACTGAAAGTAATATAACAGAGAAAAAAGGAAATACTGACATTTAATTATTTTAATAAGCTGGGCTGCTGATGACTGAAATAGTAATATCTACAAACTGGCTGAAGCATGAGGCAGAGATTTACAACTTAAATAATAGCAGTTTTAAAATAGACAACTATTTAATTGATTTTGTTCAACAGTTTCCCTAATACTTTAGGCTTCATAACTCTTGGTATCAACCAAAATTTAGCTACAGCCTGATTATAGCCAATAACTGAGAAATGTTTGCTAACAGGCACAAATGATAAACATCAGTCCACCATGACTTGCTTCTTGAGAGATCAACATTTTTAGTAGGAAAAGTCTACAAATTAATTGCAGCCAAAAGAGGACTGCATAAGCAAACCTAACCAAGAGCTGAAATCTCGACTTATTTAATGTAATTGTCAGCGTAGAAAGGGAAGAAAATGCTACTATCTGCCCCTCAGTTCAGGTCATTGCTTCCAATCTGACCCATTCCCCAGTGGAAATTCTGGGACAGTGGGAACCCGGCATAATATAAGAAGGATGTTCTGCTGGGAAAAAGGGTAACTTAATGATTTACTAGAACTTTCAGATCAACTGAGAGATTCAGATACAAAGAATGGAAGTCCAAATCATAAAAGACCTGAGTTTTGCAATTCAGCTTAATTTCCTACTCTAGTTCCAAAAATGGAAATGAACTTACATATCTCAGGTTTTCTGCAGCTATCTATTAGCCAGATTATATTTCCTACAGTGACAGATCAATTAGCCAAATATTTCAATTGAGTCAATTTTGTTGTGTGCAAGTCAATCAATTTTTAAGAATTAAAATAAACTGAACTGTGCATAAGAAAAAAGCCCATGTGTGACTTTGGCAGGAAATAGTCTCGAAAAAAAGAAGGTCAGAAAACTCATCTAGTTAGTCAATCATCAACAAAGATTTATTAAGCACCTACTCTATACTGTTTTAGAAGACAAGAATACAATAGCTAACAGGATTGATTTCATTTGATGAAGTTGCAACACAAGGAAAGATACAAATAATAAATAAGGAAATAATTACACAAGAAAATTTTTAAGAATGATGAGTGTTATGAAGACCATTCCTTTCTAACATGCAATAAGGTAGACAGTAGTGAGAGAATAGCAAGGAGTGATTTGGAAAGGCCTTTCTGAAGAGGCTACCTTTGAACTGAGACCTGAAGCATGAAAAGGCACAAGCCAAGCAAAGATCTGGAAAAGAAAATTTCAGGAAGTGGGAACAGTATGTGCAAAGGCCCTAAGCAGGCATAAACTCAGTATGTGTCAAGAACAGACACAGAAAGATGGGAAGCAGCTGGAGTACAGATCATAATGCAGAGCTCTGAGAAGACGTTAACATGGTAGCCAGAGGCCCTCTAGTTCATTGTGAGGAGTTTGTAATCTATTCTAGCACAAAGGAAAGCAATTGGAAGATTTTTCAAAATAAAGTAAATCAGAGGTCTTAATATTTTTCCCAAGGTCTTTCTGACTTCCAGGGACCATAAATTATAAAAGACTATACTGGAAACCAAAAGACCATAAGCATGAGACTTCCACAGTGTATTAAAATCTTATGGATAACTTTCTTCAGGTCATTGTCTAATGTAGACAAAGCCCAAATGGCTCTAGTACTGGCTAAACTCTATAATACAAGCACATTCAATTAATTTTTTTAAAAATTTACAAGGCATCCTCATTGACCAGTGAAAATCATTTAGTAAGTTTGTGGGTTTCTGCTGTTCAAAAAAGAGTTTCTAGCATAGAGGCATCTCTGTTCTTTTTCTACTATAAACAAAGTGGCATTTCTTCTGTGAGGTTTTGAAAGAGCTTATTTTGGAGATTTTATCAATTTCTTTTTTAAAACTGCCTTTCCTTTCCACATTGACCTCAGCATTTCTTATTTGATATACTTTTCATTATTAAAGCTTGAATTTAAGGTGAACTAACTCAATAAATGTCTTCTTGTAATTGACTTGTGGGGACCAACTCACTAAACTAAACTAAACAGTACAGGAAAGAGCATTAAATTGCATAGAAGATATGATGGGAAAGAACGTGAAATTACACAGAAGGTTTCCTGGATAACCTCTAACTATGGTTTCCCTGTTCTTTATTTTCTTTGCTAAATGTTCTTTCTCTTAAAACTTTGTATTAGAACATCAATAAAATTTAACTTATAGATACCAATAAAGATAGCTTCTAAGCAGTTAATTATATTGAAACACATTCAATTCTTTATCTTCTCTGCTTCTCAGTCACCAAGTTTAGCCTGGAAGGCAAATCTCCTGGATCTTTGTCTAATGTTCTTTCCAATAAACCAGAAGTCTGAATATGCCTATGACCATGGAGGTACACAAAGTCTTTCCAAGGGACTCAGTTGAAGGTATTGTGTTGATTTCTCCTTTCACACCTCCTTTTTCAAAATTACCTATTTCTGCCTATACAAATGAAAGAATCATGCTCAATCATAGCTAGTTTTACTTTGGTATGTTGTTATTGGGGGAAAATATCACAGAGGCCATTCAAAACATTGACTTTAGGTTGAGAAAAGATGGCCCAAATGACTTCCATTCACTTTTTTCAACAGCAACATCAATCAAGGGATTGTGCAACATTGCTGTTGCAAAACTTCCTCCATTCTCATTTTTTATTTATGCCAACAAATTTTCTTAGAACACAGCTCATGATGTAGAGCAAAAATTGATTCTGAGTTTTATCTCATTCTAGCAATAAATAAGCTTTATCCATGGATGCATGATTTTTTTTCAGAAGAATAAATTTCCATACATTTCATTAAAAGATACACTCCCAATTAAGTATACTTTTTATATTTAATCATTATTATCAAAATGTATAATATATGCAGATATGTGTGTGTATGTATATATATAATCAACTGTATACTAATAATAGCTGTAATGATAACTCAATGCAGAATAATCTGTTTTGTAAATTTATTTTATTGTTGTAAAATACGTATAAATTTGCCATTTTAACCATTGTTAAGTGTACAATACAGTGACATTAATTACATTCACAATGTTGTGCAACGATTACCTCTGTTTCCAAAACTTTTTCATCACCCAAGCAGAAATCGTATAACCACTGAGCAATAATTCCACATTTCCCCTACCCCAGTGCCTGATAACCTCGCTCTATGAATTTGCATAGTCTAGATAAGTTATGTAAGTGGAATCATAATATTTGTTTTTTTGTGCCTGGTTTATTTTACTTAGCATAATGCTTTAAGTTTCATCCATGTTTTTTGTGTATCAGAACTTTCTTTTTATAGCTGAACACTATTCCATTGTATGTATATACATTTTTGTTTTTTAATCTTTTGACAATTTGATTATAATGTGTCTTGGTGTGGGTTTCTTTGGCTTTATCTTATTACAGTTCATTGAATTTCTTGGATATATAGATTCATGTATGTCATCAAATTTGGGAAGGTGTCAGTCATTATTTCTTCAAACATTCTTTTTGGTCATTTATTTCCATTCTTCTTCTGGGACTCCCATAACGCATATGTTGGATTGTTTGGTGATATCACACAGGTTCCTTAGACTCTGATGAACTTTTCCTTATTTGTTTTTCAGTCTGAAACTCTGACAATGATTTTAAGGTACTATTGTCAAGTTCACTGATTCTTCCCCCGTTTGAATATGCTTTTACAACCCTCTAGTGAACTTTTTATTTCAGTTACTCTACTTTTCAGCTCCAGAATTTCTATTTGGCTCCTTTTAATAATTTCTGTCTCTTTATTGATATTCTTATTGTGTTCATTCATCATTTTCCTGATTTTTTTTACTTCTTTGTCCATGATTTTCTTTAGCTTGTTGAACATATTTAAGACAGTTGTTTTAGAGTCTTTGCTACTAAGTCTGATTTCTAGGCTTCTTCAGAGATTATTTCTTCCTATTTATTTTGTTCTTCTGAATGGACCATTTTTTCTTATTTCTTTATATGCCTTTTTCTTTTAGTAACGGACATTTAAACACTATAATGTGGTAACTCTGGAAATCAGATTTTTCCCCTTCCCCAGTGTTTTCCTTTCCTCCCTTCCCTCCCTCCTTCCTTCCTTCTTTCCTTCCTTCCTTTCTTTTTCTTTCTTTCTCTTTCTTTTTTCATTCTTTCTCTCTTTCTTTGTTCTTTCTTTTTTCTTTCCTTTATTTTTTTTCTTTCTGGTATTAAAGGCTATAGCAGTCCATTGGCTTAGTGGCTTTCTCAAACTATTTATGCAAAGACACAGTTATTTATCATGTGTAGTCACTGAAATTGCTGTTCTTCAGCTTGTGTTCAGCTAGAGTTTTGACAGAAATTTCCCTGAAGACCAGAAACTAAAATCAAACAAACAAACAAATAAAAGAATAAAACTCTCTTCTAGTCTTTGTATATTGGTGGTGTGCAAGAGCAATCTTTCAAAGCTTAGCCAGGCTTGCACTGAGCCTAAGGCTCAGCCTGAGGTGTAAGCTTAGGGTCTTCTCTGTCCTTTTCTGAGCATGCACCTTGCCCTGGTCATGTACATGAGTTTCTAAATTTCCCCATATTCATAGTGCACTGAATAACCCAATTTTCAAAAGAAATTCTCCCCAGCTTTTGCTCACAGATATTATGTGGTCTATTGTGCCTTTTAACCATAATCTTTTATGTGAAGTGTCTGCAGTTGTCACTTCACCTTGCAGGACTTTTGAGTAATACCTACCACCTTTCTGGTGCAAGGTGTGAGTTAGGTAAAAGAGACAAGTACCATAAGCCAGTCCTTCAGGCAGCCCCTAAATAAGTCAGAACCAACATACAGAACAATGTGCAAATCAGGTCAGCTCTGCTCCCCCCAGGGACCAGAGTCCTACACTGAGAACATAGGCTTTCTTCTTCAAGACTGCAGCCACACAAGGAAGGGTGAAACAAGTGCAAGTAAAAACACCGCAAAGTTTTCCTACTGCTTTGAAATTCAGCATTTGCTTGGTTGCTGAAAAACTTGAGCATTTTTCAGAGTTCTTACAAAGTTGGTAATAACAGTGCCTGCTTTTCATTTTTCTTAAAGATAGAGGATGGGGAAGGAGACCTTGGACCTTCCCTTCTCTTTTGCTGACATCACTCCAGAAGAAGAACAATAATCTTAACTCCTCAGTGTTGGGAGTAAGCCCCCCAAAATCTGGCCATAAACTGGCCCCAAAACTGGCCAAAAATAAAATCTCTGCAGCACTGTAACTTGTCCATAATGGCCCTAACGCCCAAGCTGGAAGCACTGGGATTTTTAAATTTAGACTTAATTTTTTTATATATTGTTATTGCATTATATATGATAGAGTGGTCAGTAAAAGACTTTCACATATAAAAATATATTAAGATACAACTGAATGGAAGAAGTATAATTAAAACATAAATTTGAAGAATAATTAGACTATGGTATTTATATGCTACTGGGTACATTTAAAAAGAGAAGTAATAATTTTATCTTAAACATAAGTATTTACAATGTTTTGAAAATTACATTATTTGCAACTATTACTTTAATTTATAATAAAAATATTTTGGAGGTCAACTTACAAATTTGCAAAGGGTGCTTACTTTGTCAAAACTCATTTAAGAAGTATTTGTGCCAATATTTGAAGAGCACTGCTCTATTCTATGCCATTTCCTTAAATGTATATCAACTGAATTATCAGGTATAAATACAAAAGAGAATTAGAGTTGGGTGCTATTAATGTCCTCCTTTTACTGCACCTTGCAGCAGCAGTTAACTAGTTGATTACTGCTACATTAAAACACTCTTCTTGGCAATAGTATGAGTGCTTATGCTTCTGATGTTCTTTCTACCTTGGAGACTGTTTCTTCTCAGTATTTTCTCATTTGTCCACATATTTTCAGCCTCTAAACATCAGAGTGTACAAAGATGCAATTCTTTGCTCTCTTCTATTACTACATGAATCTCCTGGCTTTTAAAACTATTTGCTAATAACCACCAAATTTATATCTTCCTTTATCATCTGTTCTCCAAATTCTAATATCTGTCTACTTTATGCCTCCTCTGAATGTTTACTAGTTGCAACGTTAATATAACAAATCCTAAAAACAACTCTTGGTCCTCTCCACTTTGCAAACCAATTATCGTTCTAGTCTTACCCATTTAAGCTAGTGGCTTTCCTTTTAACTGTTTTTCACCCAAAAATCTATGTGTCAGCAATTTTTTCTCACTTCGTTCATCATGCCAACCACCACCATAAGTGTATCCAATCCATCAGCATGTTAATTTAGCACTAGTTTCTTAATATATTCTGAATCCAACAATGTTTCTCATCATCACTGTTAATACCTTGTCCCATCTACATCATTTCTGATATAGCCTTTTTAGTATTCTTTCTGATTCACCCATAATACATTTTCCACATTGCAGTCAGAGTGATTTAATAAAACAAGTTAGGTCATGTCACCCCTCTCCTAAAAATTTTCAACAACTCAGAATAAAATTCTAGTCATCAAGAAGTAACCATAATCTAAAAAGACTCTACATCAGGTATTTTTACCCAAGTTACATATTAGAATCATCTAGGGAATTTAAAAAAATACTGAGGCCTCTTACAACTCTAGAATATCTGGGACTAGGGCTAGTAATGGTATTTTGTTAAGTACTGTAGGAGAATCTAATGTGCCCCCAAGGTTGAGAAAGTTTATTGCCCATCTTTTCAACCTTACACTCTACAACTCACATGCAATATCTGGGCTCCAGTCACATTGCCTCTCTCTATTTAAACATACTAAACTTGTTCCATTTGAAGACCTTTGTGCTTGCTGTTTCTCTGTCTGAAATACTCTTTCCAAAGACCTTCTGATGATTGACGTATTTTTGTCAATTTGCCTCAATTTAAATATCTATAGTATGCCCTTCAATGACCACCCATCCTAAATCTCTAACTGAAATGACCCTGTTAATTGGTTCCTACTTATATTTCTTTTATCTCCCAATGGACTGTAAGCACCATGAGAACAGTAGCTTTGTCTGTCTTGCTCCCCATTCTGTTAGTCCAGGATAGGCTAAGTTCAGCGTTAGTGACATACAAGCCTACAACCTCACTAGCTTTAACAATTAAAGTTTACTTCTCACTTATGCTTTATATTCACTGCAGTCAGCTGGAGTTTCACTTCAGGACTCAAGCTGATGGAACAGCTACTATCTGGAACACTGATAAAAGAACACTTGAGGGTCTCAAACCAGACATTTAATTGCTGTGACCCAGAAACTGACCTATGCCAGTTTCATTGACAACCACATTGACCAGAGGAAGTTACATAGCCCTATCCAGCTACAAAGCGGCCAGGAAGTGCAATCCTTCTATATTCTAATATTGTGCAGAGAGGCAGAAAGATTTGATTAGTAGTTCAAATGACCACAGCCATCATATTCTCATCTCCTGTAATAGCATTTCAACACAGTAGGTGCTTACTAAATAGCAAATTACTTAAGATATTCTGGTACTGGACAGCTCTACCAGTAGCCAAGCTGCTACACATTTTTGTCACTTAAAATAGGGATAATTTTACTGCAAAGTAGATGACTTTGATTTGCATAATTTTACAACTAAAAGAGGTTTTTATCTAATTTCTTCAGTTTTATAGAAAGTAAGGCCCAGAAGCTTAAATAATTTTTCCAAATTTATACTATTTGTTCTTCAATAGTGAAAATTTGACCAAAATATGGAGTATTTACATCACACTGATGACCCTTAAGCTGTAGTGTATTATTTTGACTCACCTTAACAATGTTTTTAAATCTTGACAACTCTATAGAAGTTTTCAAAAGTCAGTATCACTTTAACCATTATGTAAGGCATTTGAGAATCGTCAGCCTATCCTATATGCAATTGCCAGAACTCCTTGCTGGTCAATCAAAATCAAAGGCATTCTGGAAAACTCACACGAATAAAGTAAGGCCTTTGCCAAACACCCACCATGTTATAGGGGAAGCCAGAATGTGGTATGGGTGTGAGTTTAATCCACTTTAGTCTGAACTTTTTTATGTCAGAGTCAAACTGCCCCTAAGCATCAATATATTACAAAGTATAATTTGCTGAACATTCTTTTTCCAGTCCATTGAAAATTTATCAGATTTTCTTTTTCAACGATTATTAAGGTAGTAAAAAGCTTAAATTTATTATCACTGAATTAGTCAGCAGCTGAGTTTCAGCATGAATATAAAGATATAGTATAAGCTCTTGACTTACTAGCTTCCTAAAACAGGCTACAAGGTCTACCACGACCTGGTCTTGGTCTGTTTCTCCCAGCTGACCCTCTGTCTCCACCATGCCCATAGCCAAAATGTGCTTCAGTATTTCTCCAACACACAATGCTTCTCTGTTTCTGTGTCTGGAATGTTCACATATTTGCTGATAATGGTTTTCTTTGCCTGCACAATGTCAACTTTTTTTCCTTCACATCCTGGATCTTGCATTATCTCTCAGAACGCGTGTCCTGATCTCCTTTTACTAAGGAGAGATTGGGTAACTACTCCTATGCCCTTTTGCATGTCCCTTCTTAAAGATAGGTTGTAGTCCTAGGATAATGCCTGGCCCAGAGGAGAATTTCTAAAACTTAAGAATTCACTGGTTGATTAATTAATTGACTATCATTTGTTACATTATATCAGATTTATTGCTTGATTTTTTTTCTCTCTCTAATTTGATAACATGTTCCTTAAAAGCAGGGGCTGTATAGTATTTATCACTGAATCAGTCAGTACCTGGCATTACAGTCAGCCCAAAGAGGATGCTCCACAAATATCTGCCAAACTGAATCTAAATTGCGCAAATATTCTAAGAAGTAAGAGCTCTTAATTTATAAAATCCTCACAGTAATGTTTAAGAAGGAATAGAGTTGAACCAAAGCAAATCTAAAAACTATTTGTGAAGCAAAACATTTGGTTCAGCAAGGGAATTTAACAGTTCAAATGTGTTTTTGGTTGAAATGTTTGCTCTACTAACAGGCATTTCTAAAATGTGTTTTTGCTGTTGAGGCTGAAAAAATTTATTTTAAAGGTATTAGGACATCGAATGTTAAAAACATATCTAGCCCTTACTTAAACTAGAAAAGTGATTGTCAGTAGAAATGCTTGCAGGCAAGGTTTCAGCTTCGCATGGTTTCAAAATGTTTCCTTGGGTGAAATGTTCTTAGAGACACTTCAAATTGAAGGAATTTTGTTTGCCAGCTTAGCTACTAACATCATTTCATTAACATGGAAGCCAGCGCATTGTTGGAAAGTAAAAATGATATTGATTACACATGACAACAGAACAAAAAAAATCAATATAAAGATAAAAATAACAAAAAATCAAAGAAACTTATTCCTCATTCCTAAAACTTAATCATCAGTCATAAAGCACTGCAGAAGAAGATGTTAAAATTATATTCTCAAATGCCAATTGATAAAGCAACTTGTAGAATGATATATAAAACATAATATAATTTACAGTGTCTACAGTTATATACACATATTTATAGGGATTAAAGGCCTTGAAAATATACAAAAGATTTACAATACCACATACCAATACCCAAAACAATAGTTGTGGTTCCCTCTGGGAGAGAGAAAAGGAACCAGGGTAGGGAACTTCAATGTTATCTTCAATGTTTACATCTTTACAAAGAATATGTATTTGTACTATTTATAAAATTGGAAATTATTGTTTACAATATCTTTCAATGCCAAAGTTTTAAAGGGAGTTAACACACAAAATGAGTGATTATACTAGGTAATTTTTAACATCTGTTCTAACTTAATGTTAAATGATTTTATTAATTTTTATACTTCTGAAGGGAATTTAAAGAGAATTCATATAGTTTAAAAAGTCAACAAAATATTTATTTTAATCATTTTTAAAGCTGTTTTCTCCAGAACAAACAAAATATACCTCTGTCTTAATGGTATCTTACTCTAAAATTATTGTCATAATTTTCATCTAAAGTTTTTTATAGAACATGAAAATGTGGCTTCCTTAGTATTTTTTGTATGTGTGTATTTTTCCCGATTTCTAAATCAACATCTCAAATATAGAAAGTAAGACTGAAAATCAGTTTCTAATTGTAATTTTAAAATATGTACTTGGTTTAGAGTTTTTTGCCACGAGAAATATAGTGGCAAATTAATGACAATCCATGTAGTAGTCAGTTCTCATGCTGCTAATAAAGACAAATCAGAGACTGGGCAATATATAAAGAAAAGAAGCTTAATTGACTCACAGTGCCATAGGCTTGGGGAGGCATCAGGAAACTTACAATCATGGCAGAAGGGGAAGCAAACACAGCCTTCTTTACATGGCAGCCTTCTTCACATGAAGTGCCAAGCAAAAGGGGGGAAATGCCCCTTATAAATCATAGATCTCGTGAGAACTCACTCACTATTATGAGAACAGCAGCATGGGGGTAACGGCCCCCATGATTCAATTACCTCCCACTACACATGAGGATTATGGGAACTACAGTTTAAGATGAGATTTGGGTGGGGACACAGCCAAATCATATCAATCCGTAAAGAAATATTTGAACAAATTAAGGCAAATCCCCACGAGGTAATATGGTGCTGTAACAAAGAATCAATCAAACGTACATCAACTAATTTGGACAGATTTCCATATTGTATTGTTAAATGAGGAAAGTGAAATTTAGTGAAATGTGTTATATTTTCTATTGCTGCATAACAAATTATGTTAAATTCATAACTTAGTGATTTAACAATAGCAGTTATTATCTCAGCGTTTCCATGGGCCCAGAATCTAGACATGGCTTAACAGGGTCCTCTGTTCAGGGTCTCAGCAAGGGAGATATTGGCTAAGGCTGAGTCATCTGCAGGGTCAAGGAGGACAGGATCTGCTTCTAAACTCACTCAATAGTTTTATGCAAGATTCAGTGTCTCAAGGATGTTGGACTGAAGGCCTCAATTCTTCACTGTTACCAAGGCCACTCTCAGTTCCTTACCACTTGAACCTCTTCGAAAGGCAGCTCACAACATGGCACCTGGCTTATTCAAAACAAGCAAGCAAAGAAAGTGGCAAAAAGATAGAAATCAGTCTTGTATTGAGGCAGATTAGGTAAGGTTAGGAAGCCATACTGACTTGTCCCCTTGTGTGAAGCCCTGTGGGCTTCTTTTACAGTGGGTTTCTTTTGCTAGCACCCTAATGAGTCAGCACCTAACTCTTTTGAAAGGTAAGCACTCCTGCAGGACACCAGCAGACTGCCAGATGGTTACACGTTCCTGATACCTAGTACAGTCCAGGAAAGAGAAAAAAAATAAGAGCCTCTTATTCCTGACATAACTTCCCCAGTTCCCAACCAATCAGCACTGAAAGCCCAAGAAGCTATTAACTACAAATTCCTGTGTTGAGGGAGGGGGCAGGGACTTCACCAGGGTCCTGCATGTGCAGCTAGGCTCAAATTTTATCTTATAGTAACCTTTTCCTCATTTTAATAGTAAAAAAAAAACCCTACGTGGAGATTTTATATGCTAATGATACATGCAATGCATGTTGGAGCATGTAGATACTGAGCACATGCACCAGCTCATCTTTTGCATACTTGACCTCACCAGTATTTTACGACTATGTATATACAGCTCCCATAAAAGGAATTCCTCTTAAGGTGCTAGCTGCTGTCTCTCCCTCTTAGAGTCCACTCTGCCTCTTAGAGTGTACTTTGCTTTGCAATTAACTTCTTTGCCTACCCTTACTTTGGACTCACTCTCAAATTCTTTTGTGCAGTGAAGTCAAGAACTTGAACCAGCCCACCACCAACAGTATGACCTAAGCTTGGAATTACAAGCCATCACATTTGCCGTATTCATTAGAAACAAGTGACTAGATCCCATTCACATTCAAGGCCTAAGGACTAGCCAAGGATGTGCATACCAGAAAGTGCGGTTATTGGGAGCCATTTTTGAAAGTTTCCTCACGTGTGTTTAATGCGATATAATTTGTATTAAGCAAACAAGACCAAAATCCACCTTTTATTATGCATGATTATACAAGTCTCATACACATCTTATGAACTTGCAGAAAATTACGGAAAGATGTTAAACAGGTGAACAGAGGGAATCTGAATAACAACCTGTTAGGAAAAAATAAGAAATTTAAAAAAATAAAGATGTCTCTAAAACAACAACAACAAAAACACATGTATAATGATTTATGTATATAAAATCATATGTGTTTGTGTGTGTGTGTGTGTGTGTGTGTGTGTGTGTGTGTGTATCCACTATATACTATTAGGTATAAATTTTTAAAACAGACTATCTTAAAAAAAAGCTGAAGTTATCTTGTCAGCCAACAGAACACTCACCAGTGAATAAAATTTACTGAGTGGTTCACTGAAAATTCAAAACTTTCTAAGTGTTAGAAATGTATAGTTCAGGGTGGTTATGCCAATCAAGATTGAAAACTAAATTCTGAATAAAATGGAGTGAATCCATAGAATTGTACACAGTTGATTAAACAATTCCTATTGTTCCTTATTCAGGGAAGAGTCTTCACTTAGGTCAACCAAGGGTCTAGTGTCCTGGGATCACTCAAAGTTCATGGTTATTTATCAACTTCAGCTGGTTACATCCAGTTTTGCAGAAATACAACATTCAGTTTCTCATTTCAAGTGCCCTGTAAAGGGATTTCTTTAATCAAGAAAAAAGAAAACAACTTGCAGAAAAATGTGTATAGCAGGATTCTATTTTAGTAAAAACAATAGAAAACACACCCTGTAAATTTGTTGTATGTATGCTTCTATGTGTTGGTATAAGCATAAGGCTATAAAATAACAGGAAGGTAGCCAGGTGAGATCACTATTTTTTTTTCATCTTTGCTGTGTCTGCCTGTACGGTGTGTTGTTTCCTGGCAAGGTGATAAACCAATCCAGTTTGCCTAGGATTGAGAGCTTTCTTGGGATACAGGATTTTGAATGCAAAAGCCTGGAAAGTCCCAGGAACTTAATTGCTTGTAGTGACAAGCATGTAGGACTTTTGAACTTTGAAAACATCAAATAAAGAAATAAGCTAGCTTTGACTGGACTTAATGATTTTGGAATGCTCTAAGAAAAGAGTTTTAGTTCCCTTACAAAATTCTAAGTGAGGTGGCCTGTGAAAGTTCTTTTCTTTTCTTTTTCTTTCTTTTTTTTTTATCATTATAACAGAGTCTCATTCTGTCAACCAGGCTGGAGTGCAGTGGTGCAAACACGGCTCCCTGCCCTTGACCTCCAGGGCTCAAGCCATTCCCCTAACCTTAGCCTCTCCAGTAGCTGGCACCACAGAAGAATGCCAGCCTGCCTGGTTGAAACTTATTTTCTGACTCAAAAAGAAAACAAGGCCACTGACTAAGTGTGAGAATAGTAAAGCCATGAAGGTAGTTTGAGAACAGAAAGGAAATGGAATGGTCAATGGAAAAAATGAGTTGAGGAGGGAAGTAGGGTAGGCTTACCAAGCTGCATAAGACCCAATTTTGTTTTGAAGTAATGAATTTCAAGTGGGACCAGCCTGCACAGGTGTGTGCTTCTTCCAGCTATGTCTGGCTGCACAAAATCCAAGCAGAGTATCTGGGAAATCTCAGTAGGGTTTATGTAGGGTTGCAATTTTGCTAGGAGAGTGATGAAGAAAAAGAGGGGCCAGGTGGGTGAGAAGATAAGCAAAAAAAGAAACATGATGATAATCCATTGGGCATAAACTTGATACACAAGGAAATGAGAATACAAATGGGGGTGAGAGACAGTGAAAAGGTGGTGGAATAGAAAATTGTGGAGTGGCAGAATTGGGGAGGTGGGACTTAAATTGGGTGACTAACTGCATAGAAAGATAAGTGGTTGTGATCAGAGAACAGGAGTGAGAGTTACAGCATCTTAAAACAAAACATTCGGTTGGCTTTCTTTTCTGGAGAATCTAATGGCTCTAAGTTATAGCCATTCTGATAATATGTACGAATAATAATAGAACAGCTCCTTTCCCTGTTCAGAACACAAGAATTCATTGAGCATGAGATTAATGTAGTGGATGCAGATGGTGATGGCAAAGAACCAAAGCATGTGGAGAAAAGGTGAAGGATAGAGAGGCCAGTTCCTTATGTCAGTATAAAAATCATGAAGAATTATAACAAGAGTGGAAGGAAACAACAACAAAAACAAAAAAGAATAAACTCTGGCTTCTGACTGAAGCCATTCAAAATACAAATACGGTAGATATCACAAATAACAGAAGAAGTGAGATAAAGTGACTGAGTGATTTAGTAATGCACAAGGTGCCATTTGAAAAGGGCAGTTTCAAACCCATGGAAAAGTAGAGCAAAACTCAGAGCTATTAGTGCTTACCAAGGAAAAAGAAGCACTGTACAGGTTATTTGTAACTTTCTTCTAAATAGCTTTTGAAAAACATATCTGGATCAGATGAGACCAGAAAATATTTTTTTAAAAAAGTGACTGCCTATAGATGACAGTAGACAAAGTTGCAGAAAAGTGACACGAATATCATTTAGGTAAGCAAGGTCATCAAATGTATCCTTAGATGTGACCTTTTTAATCTACTGCTTACAGAATGATATAATTTGGCTCTGTGTCCCCACCAAAATCCCATGTTGAATTGTAATCCCCCATGTTGGGGAAGGTGGGAGGTGATTGGATCGTGGGGCGGATTTCCACATGGTTGTGCTCATGATAGTGAGTTCTCATGAGATCTGGTTGTTTGTAAGTGTGTAGCACCTTGCCCTTTGCTTTCTCTCTCTCCTGCTGCCATGTGAAGATGTGTTTGTTTTCCCTTCACCTTCTGCCATGATTGTAAGTTTCCTTAGGACTCCCAGCTATGCTTCCTGTACAGCCTGTGAAATTGTGTGTCAACTAAACCTCTTTTCTTTATAAATTACCCAATCTCAGGTAGTTTTTTATAGAAGTGTGAGAATGGACTAATACACAGAGTAATGAGTAATATGTAACATCTATAATGAATGTTGGTTGGTGTGCTGATTTCTCAGTGAAGTATAGTTTTGTAGGGAAAACACACTTGGGTTCTTCTTGCTTGCTGGATGACATATTTCTCTCCACTTATTCATTTCTAGAGGAAACCTTCTCAGTAATTCTAAAAGAGCAATCTGCCCAACTGAAACTACCTACCCAAAGTGCAGCTTTAAATTAATTATGTCACTTCTAGCTGGCCCATTGCATATTTTTACCTTTTCTTTGATGCAACAGCACAGAACTATTGAGCATACTAAGTTTCTTGAAAAATTATTTAAAAATTATGGTATCTTGAAACAGAACACTTGTTTGGACTTCTTTTCTGGAAAATCCAGCCAGGACTCTAGGTTATAGCCATTCTAATAACATGTACAAATAATAGCAGAGTAGCTCCCTACCCTGTCAAATCACCAGTGCTAATATTAGAAACTCAGATTTCCTACAGTGAACATTTAAAGACCCCATAACATTTGGAGGCCTTCTTTAACATCTTATTTTTCTTGAAAGAAAAGGTACAAAGATGAAAGATACATTAACCAAGAAAAGTAATAATGTGCCTGAAAGAATACAAATTGTTATTTAACCAGGGGGTGAAAATTTCCAAGAAAGATCCTTAAAGAAAATGTTTACATTCTTTTTTTTATACAAAAGGATTCATCTAACAATGTATTACAAACAAAACTCACAACCCGGTTGCTGATCTCAGCTGGAGTGAGAGGATAGAATGCAGACCAATTTATTACCAACTGGTTTAAAGAAGTTATAGGCCTAGATCCAGGGGAAAAAAGGAAGAGAAGCTGTTCAGGGCATAGAAGGTAGGAAACTCACATTTTATGATCATCAAACATGAACAAGCTTTGTGCCTGTCAGTTTACAGAAATTTTCTTATTAATCCAAAAAGTAACTTCATGATAAACAAACCTGATGTGCTGTTAAGGAAAGTGAGGCTCAATGAACTTAGCAAATTGTCCAAGGTAAAACAGCCCACAAAAGGTAAACCTAGTTTATCTGATTTTGAAGCCAGTGAAAGACACATAAAGAATTTCATCTGGTATTTTTAAAACCTTATTTGAAAAACAATAAAATGCAAAAATGGAAATAATTTTCAGGCTCTGTCCCTTGTCCCTGCATATTTACTTGGACAATAATTCACAAAGTGTAATTATAGCAGCTCTGTGGTGTGACTTAAAGACAATTTAAGATTGTTAGGCTGTGTGCCTTTTGTAGCTCTTTTGGACCCTGCAACTAAATGGTGGCATGTCTATACCCGAAAAAAGTGACAAGTGCAGGATTAAATGCACCAGTAGTTGAAATTAAAAGATTAACTTCAGCTTTTATAAACAGGTAGCTGGTGGACCAAATACAGCCTGAAATCTGTTTTCTATGATTGGAATTGGGTTTGAATTTGACAGGTTATTCAGTCTCTAGTTTGCTACAGGCTTTGCTTCCCTCCTCCCTATGATCTTAAACCCAGCCAGATTCACATATTTATGTTACCTGCCTGACCCTTGGAGGCATTTGAGTTTGTAATCCCTGGACACAATGCTGCAGAAAGCTTCTTCCAGCTCTCATACTCTATGATTATTTGATCTAGAATTACTGAAATATGTACCCAGAGCCATCAAAACTTTAAAGAAAAAATTTCTAACTCACAATTTGATATGAAGAAAAGGAATTCTTTTTAAAGGCAAAGCCTTTCTGATCTTCAGAAGACATCAGTATTTATAGGAAAATAAAATGAGAATGTGACATTTCCTTAGCATTTAACTGAAGTACAATCTTTATATTGTAATCACATGTCAAAAAATCAACAAATGTCTATTAGACATCAACACTGTACATGACCTAAGCTAGACATTTACAATAATGCAAAGAAGCCAAACATATGTCTCTCATAATCCAAAAGGAAGCTTCTCGTTTAATTTATAAATTAATAATAATTACCCTCTAAATTTTACTGTGTCTGAATTTCTGAAAAAAGGGTGGATAGATTTTAAAATGTTAAATCAAAAGTATTTTCCCTAGGAAAGAAATAAAATCAAAGAGATATATAGATAAATTTTTGTAGGTAAAAAAAAAAAATGCCAATCATGGCCCTTTGGGCCATACTGAACTAAATGAACAGAACAATACTGGCTTATGTGAAAAGGGGATTTTTTTAAGCTCATTCATGAAATTAAGTCATTTGTTATGCCCCAGAAGCTCAGATAAGTTGAGATATAATCTTTCATCTTGTCTTCTTCATTACGGGAATCCTTGCCCAGAGAGTCAGATAGCCTATAAGTTCCAAACATAGTACTCTTTTAATTTGGGTAATTTCAGGCAAAATGTGTTTATCCTGTCACAAAGGTGAAGCCTGTGGTCAACACCTCAAATTTTTTGTTCATATGCCTGATAACTGCTGTTTAATGAATAGATGTCAGCTTCTAGAACAATGACCAGCACATAGTAAGTACCCAATAAATATCAGATCTTTATAATTTTTATTGTCATCATTGTCATTATTTTGGCTCTAATTGTAAGAGCCAACTTCTTGATCAGGAAGCTCCCAGTGTTTTTAACTGATATTTTCTAATATACTTTCATTTTACAGTTAAAATAAATACTTGGGAAATCAAATTCATAGGAAAAAACTCAGAATATTGAGCACTAGACATATGACAAAAGAAATGGATACTCCCCAAGAGGATGGTTTGCATTACTTGTTTAGAAGCACTCTACCCACTGCACTTGTCTCTGGACTCCTAAACTACGCAGGTGACATACAGCCTTACATGATATAGTGATCAGCTTAAACTCTATCATCGTAACCTTAGCAAATATATTTCCCAAAAACATTAGAAGGTCTTCTTCATTCCCATAAGGGGAATATGTACATCTTAAACAAATTGGAAACCAGGTGCGAAAGATAGAAAGTGATAGCTACAAACGTGAAGTGGGATAGAAGAAAGAGTTTAGAAAAGGAACTTTCATTGAATGCACATGGACACAAAGATGGGATCAATAGACACTGGAATTACTAGAGTTTGGAGGGTGAGGGTGAGGGGCATGGGTTGAAAAACTACCTATTGGACACTATGCTCGCTACTTAGGTGACAGGATCATTTGTACACCTAACCTCAGCGACAAGCTATTTACCCATGTAACAAACCTGCACATATACCCTGAAACCTAAAATAAAAGTTTAGAGGAAAAAAAAAGAAATGGAGGTTCCCCATGAACTACAGTTGACAGTTGCTCATTGTGTATTTACCCACACGCTCTCATGGCCCCATGTGCTTACGTATGCTGTTACCACCATTGTTTTTTAAGTATCTTATATGCTTTTCCCACTGTACAATGAGTAACGTTACTGTGATTTTACTCACTATTTGGCCCCTAGGCCTAGCAGAAATCCTGAACATAATGGGCTTTTGGTTCTTCATTGTTGAGAAAATAAATGTATGAAATTGCAAGTGAGGTACTCACTATTTAACTGTGAAACTGACCGTGTGAAAATTCATCAAGACCAAAATTAAGTTTCGTGATCTGAAGTTCATGGTCTAACAAGAAAATCCTTGTTATTTTTGAGATGTCTCCTTTTCTTCAAATCATCATTTATGTATCCTGACTCTGAAATTTTATCTACATGAATTTTTTGGAAGACATTTGCTTCAAGAATTTCAGCTAAATATGTCAACATGGATTCTAATAGGCAATAAAACCTATTGTAGATTCAGAGTCAGAAAGGAGTGTCTGACACATGCAAGACCCTGAGCCAGCTGCTTCATATGTTACTTTTCTTCATTCTCACTGCAGCCCCTTGAGAAAAGCAATGTGATCACCATGCTGCATATGAGTAAACTGAGGCTCAGAGTGATAAAGTTAGCCAGACATTAAAGAGCTAGTATGTGGAAGGGCTGGACTTCAAACTAGACCATTCTGGATTCCAAAGTCTATTCATTTTTCATAACTTGGTAAATAAGTAAATAAAATTTAAGTGGAAATGTATTAATGCAGGTTTGTAAGTTTTTAAAAAATTAAAATTCTAACAAATGTGTATTCCAGTGATTTAAACTTAAGGCCCAGAATTAAAGTACAAAATCCTTTGTATTTGGTTCAAATTATTACTGCTAAATAACCACATTGCAGATATGAAAATATTTGACCACTGTCTAAAAAGTCCAATTCTGTAATAGACATCAGTATGATGCATTGGCTTTTTGCTATAAGAACCTGAAAATTATTTTCCCCACATTTGTATTTTGAAAATAATCTCTTTATGAGGGTAGAAAAGTATATGACCTTGCAATATATTTGCAGGTATAACAAATCAAAGAGCATAATTTTGACCACCAATATTTTCTTCAAAATATGAGAAAAAAGCTACTTCCTAGGACATGCTTCCCCGAGAACTGTTTCCCCTTCCGAATTGGGAAGTAATAGGAGTTTTTAAAAGGATGGGAGGAAGGGCTTGACGAATTACTAGGCATTCAGTGTCAACCATATGCTAGTGCTTGATTGGATAAAGATGTAGAAAGATGAAAGTTGCAACTACAATAATTACTGGGAAATGTCTATCATCTTTCTATATCCCAGAATTCTCAGTTGAAATCTTGTTCAGAGAATTGTCTGTGTTCAACTCCCCCACCCCCGGGAATTCCTCCAGCTATATCTCTACGGAAGGCAATATTCTGCTTAGCCACAGAGAGGAGGAAGTTAATCTGCTGAGCTGTTGTCCTGTTCTTTAGAAATACCAAATCACTGACAGTATTGATTTTTGGCTGTTTATACAACTTTAACTCTTCGGAATTTAATATGAAGAAAATAATGTTCTTTTTTTTAAGACCTTTTTTGTGGGGGCAAGCTCAGTGCTTTGAGGGTAAACAAGTGTTTTGTAAATTGGTCCAGTGAATGACAAGGCAACAGATTTGAAGCCAGCTGTCACCTTTTATTAGTCACACCCATAAGTCCAGCCTGGTACTGGGATTATTCCCAGTGTCAAGCATCATGGACCAGGTACTGAGGGAGGGTGTTATTTCTCCCTCTAGAGCACTTTATTTGGAAGTGTGAGGGATGGGCTGTGTTCTGTGGATTAATTTCCTTGCAAATTTTCATAAGGAGAAAATTGAGGACCTATGTTATTTTTCTTTCTCTCTCTCAAATTGTCCACCCTTCAGTCATACATTTGGACACGAGTCCTGACTAACAATTTAAATCTAAAATCGATCACTCTCCATCAGTGCAATATTCCTGTTTTGTCTCTCCTCTCTAAAAACAAGTGATTCTACCTTCTTGTTACTAGACCTCACAGGCTTGCAGCATTACTAAATAAAGTATAATAACGGTAGCTGAGCCTTTGTTTTACCATCAATATGAATTTTAAAAGAGTGTCATCAAGAAAATCATCTTCAAAGATTATTTTTTTTTGCATGCTTAAGTCCTGCTGCTGAGATGAAACCAGAGTGACTGCAGCAGTTCTGATACCCTGGGCTTTTTGGTGTTCTGATTCTTTCCTCACTAGCAGAGGCAGTGAATTTAACACTCAGATTTGCTCTGACAGGCTGACAACTGATATCACAAGACCACAGCTAAGAGTGGTTTATTACTTTTAGTGGGATTTATTTAATTCAGTCTCACAGCCTGAGGGTGGGGTAAAGATTTAACTTGAAATTAAATTCCAGCAGGAGACCTTTTAATATAAGAAAAATGGGCAGAGGGATAAATGACATGCTCAATTGCAATGAATTTTTTTTAAAAAAGCTTATATTTAACATGGAAAAAAATCTCACAAAATCATTTCAGTTATTTGACAGATATAGAGAGAAAAAGTGCAGAGGAACAAGTAAGAATGACAGAACTTAAAAGAGAATGATCTAAAAGAAAGTTTTTGACAAACTAGAATTTCTTCAATCCGTCGTCCAAAAAAAAAAAATCTCAGTTTATGAATGCTTTCCATCAATGTCTGGATAAGTTGATAAGAAATCCCAAATGTTCATCTGTTGTTTAACTTCAAACTATACAATAATTCTGGATGAAATAGTAGAGTTTAAGCAAAGCCATTGGTAGAAATTACTCGGTTTTTTTAACCTGAACACAGTGAATGCTTATACCCAAAAATTCAGAACGTGAAAGTGGTTTTCATTTATATTATACAACAAAGAAAAAACGGAGTTTTATCATAACAGGTAGCCCAAATAGAGTCTTGTCAGTTAGGATACTTAAGGGGTATTGGATGATTATAATCATGGTCTTCTAGTGTTTGCTTATGAGAAATAAATATCACTTACAGAGAGAAAATGAGATAACTCATGGTTGATAGATATTGTAGTATCAGTGATATATTTTGCTTTCTATGGTAATATTTTGGTGGTTTGGACTTTGTTTCAAAGAAAAAAGATTATTTCATAAAAGCCTATCAAGTTGGAATGCTTTCTAATAAAGGCATATTTAATTTTGAGGCTTCTGGAAACTCAATGCCAAAGAAAGAGTAGAATAGAGTAAGCAGAATGGCTATTTGCCTTACTCTGTATTTAAAGACATTTCAGTTCAGTCCAAGCTTCAGAAATGTGAGACCAGATCATCTGAGACCTGGGGTCCATCGACTTAATAGCAAGCTTGGCCCTGGACTCAATCATAAAGGTCATGACCGTTTTGTTCTCTAACTATATGCCACATCTTTACTGCATCTCTCCTTCTTCAGGAACCCAAAGTTCTAATGACTCTTCAAGAAACCCTTCTTTGAAACTCCACACCCACTTGCTAAGGAGCTTTCTGATTCCCTCTTCCCCACAGAAACATGTGCTGTGTTCACTGAATCTAAGTGATTAAAATATTGCCATGATTAGTAAGTGGTAATAACTGAATGCAGGGCTTTCCATGTCATCTTGATTCATGACATCCTTAATTGTCTCAACAATTGTTTCACGTGATCCCTAGGTGAAAAGAAATACCTAAGAGTCCCATTTATTAAATTCTTATGTCCAAGCACCTTAGCAAGCATTTAAGTCTTAAACACTTGGTGCCTACTGGACACTACACAAATTTCTCAAACTGTGGAATCAGATTGGACTTCACCACCTTCATTGAAAGAAATGTAGTGATCAACCTTAAAAATGTTAACTATCTTAAGCTAGTAGCCTACAAAATATCCAAGATACTTTACTATGTTTTTCTTAAGATTTTTAGATATATTGCACTGTCTTTTTGAGTTTGTATTGGAGCCCTAGGTGACCTCAGTACTCAGTCTGAGAATCATGAGTTTAATATATTGTCTCTATTAACAACTCTGCATTTTAACAGAGATGCTCATTGTTTATTCCAATGAACTATTGGTGCCAATTTCTCACAATTGGTAGACTCAACTAGGAGAGATATTTCGAGACAATGATTCTTTTAGTGCCTCTGTTCTCATACCACTCACAAGCTGCCTGATCCATGGAGTGATAAAGCCCTAGTTAGAATCTAGCACATTCTTATGGGTTTATTCAAAGTCCTAAGACTCCAGGGGCAAGTCTACTCATCCCAACTGACTTTTTTATATTATTATTGACATTTTTCATACCATACCATCTCACTGTAATTTATCAATGAATCATTTTCTCTAGAAAGAGTCTGATCGGGGACATGTCAAATCTCTGGCCCAGTGTAGGAAAGCCCTCCTAAGTAGGTAAACCACAAACTATGACCATGGCCACTTGAAAGACAAATATTTACCTTTCTCTGGTTCCCAGCATCCCTCTTCCTCCTTTTGCCTACCCGCCTACCTGGACATACAGCATATAATGCAGCCAGCATCTTCCTTTGCTTGCATCTGTGTTTCTGTGGGACTGTTTGTCTCTTAAACTTGCCCCAATATGTTTCCTCTACCAGCGTCCTTGTCTAGGATCTTGCTTGTACAAGTTTGAATGTGTTCAGCTTGACATAACTTGATATGCTATTGCCTTAATCCAGTGGCTCCTCATCCTTGCATGGACTTTCGTCTTTTCTTCCTGGGTGAGCTTCTTCCTCAAACTGGGATCTGAAATGACTATTGTGCCTTAGGGCTCATGGCCACAATCAATAATTTCCACAAGAAGAGAGAGAGAATCACTTCCAAAAGCACTCTTAGAAGAATGAAAAAGAACTTCCTCAAAAACCCCTAACAAGGAGGAGCCAAGATGGCCGAATAGGAACAGCTCCGGTCTACAGCTCCCAGCGTGAGCAACGCAGAAGACGGGTGATTTCTGCATTTCCATCTGAGGTACCGGGTTCATCTCACTAGGGAGTGCCAGACAGTGGGCACAGGTCAGTGGGTGCGCGCACCGTGCGCGAGCCAAAGCAGGGCGAGGCATTGCCTCACTTGGGAAGCGCAAGGGGTCAGGGAGTTACCTTTCCGAGTCAAAGAAAGGGGTGACGGACTCACCTGGAAAATCGGGTCACTCCCACCCGAATATTGCGCTTTTCGGACGGGCTTAAAAAATGGCGCACCACGAGATTATATCCGGCACCTGGCTTGGAGGGTCCTACGCCCACGGAGTCTGGCTGATTGCTAGCACAGCAGTCTGAGATCAAACTGCAAGGCGGCAACGAGGCTGGGGGAGGGGCGCCTGCCATTGCCCAGGCTTGCTGAGGTAAACAAAGCAGCCGGGAAGCTCAAACTGGGTGGAGCCCACCACAGCTCAAGGAGGCCTGCCTGCCTTTGTAGGCTCCACCTCTGGGGGCAGGGCACAGACAAACAAAAAGACAGCAGTAACCTCTGCAGACTTAAATGTCCCTGTCTGACAGCTTTGAAGAGAGCAGTGGTTCTCCCAGCACACAGCTGGAGATCTGAGAACGGGCAGACTGCCTCCTCAAGTGGGTCCCTGACCCCTGACCCCCGAGCAGCCTAACTGGGAGGCACCCCCCAGCAGGGGCACACTGACACCTCACACGGCAGGGTATTCCAACAGACCTGCAGCTGAGGGTCCTGTCTGTTAGAAGGAAAACTAACAAACAGAAAGGACATCCACACGAAAAACCCATCTGTACATCACCATCATCAAAGACCAAAAGTAGATAAAACCACAAAGATGAGGAAAAAAACAGAACAGAAAAACGGGAAACTCTAAAACGCAGAGCGCTTCTCCTCCTCCAAAGGAACGCAGTTCCTCACCAGCAATGGAACAAAGCTGGATGGAGAATGACTTTGACGAGCTGAGAGAAGAAGGCTTCAGACGATCAAATTACTCTGAGCTACGGGAGGACATTCAAACCAAAGGCAAAGAAGTTGAAAACTTTGAAAAAAATTTAGAAGAATGTATAACTAGAATAACCAATACAGAGAAGTGCTTAAAGGAGCTGATGGAGCAGAAAACCAAGGCTCGAGAACTACGTGAAGAATGCAGAAGCCTCAGGAGCCGATGCGATCAACTGGAAGAAAGGGTATCAGCGATGGAAGATGAAATGAATGAAATGAAGCGAGAAGGGAAGTTTAGAGAAAAAAGAGTAAAAATAAATGAGCAAAGCCTCCAAGAAATATGGGACTATGTGAAAAGACCAAATCTACGTCTGATTGGTGTACCTGAAAGTGATGGGGAGAATGGAACCAAGTTGGAAAACACTCTGCAGGATATTATCCAGGAGAACTTCCCCAATCTAGCAAGGCAGGCCAACGTTCAGATTCAGGAAATACAGAGAACGCCACGAAGATACTCCTCGAGAAGAGCAACTCCAAGACACATAATTGTCAGATTCACCAAAGTTGAAATGAAGGAAAAAATGTTAAGGGCAGCCAGAGAGAAAGGTTGGGTTACCCTCAAAGGGAAGCCCATCAGACTAACAGCGGATCTCTCGGCAGAAACCCTACAAGCCAGAAGAGAGTGGGGGCCCATATTCAACATTCTTAAAGAAAAGAATTTTCAACCCAGAATTTCATATCCAGCCAAACTAAGCTTCATAAGTGAAGGAGAAATAAAATACTTTACAGACAAGCAAATGCTGAGAGATTTTGTCACCATCAGGCCTGCCCTAAAAGAGCTCCTGAAGGAAGCGCTAAACATGGAAAGGAACAACCGGTACCAGCCGCTGCAAAATCATGCCAAAATGTAAAGACCATCGAGACTAGGAAGAAACTGCATCAACTAACAAGCAAAATAACCAGCTAACATCATAATGACAGGATCAAATTCACACATAACCATATTAACTTTAAATGTAAATGGACTAAATGCTCCAATTAAAAGACACAGACTGGCAAATTGGATAAAGAGTCAAGACCCATCAGTGTGCTGTATTCAGGAAACCCATCTCACGTGCAGAGACACACATAGGCTCAAAATAAAAGGATGGAGGAAGATCTACCAAGCAAATGGAAAACAAAAAAAGGCAGGGGTTGCAATCCTAGTCTCTGATAAAACAGACTTTAAACCAACAAAGATCAAAAGAGACAAAGAAGGCCATTACATAATGGTAAAGGGATCAATTCAACAAGAAGAGCTAACTATCCTAAATATATATGCACCCAATACAGGAGCACCCAGATTCATAAAGCAAGTCCTGAGTGACCTACAAAGAGACTTAGACTCCCACACATTAATAATGGGAGACTTTAACACCCCACTGTCAACATTAGACAGTTCAGCGATACAGAAAGTCAACAAGGATACCCAGGAATTGAACTCAGCTCTCCACCAAGCAGACCTAATAGACATCTACAGAACTCTCCACCCCAAATCAACAGAATATACATTTTTTTCAGCACCACACCACACCTATTCCAAAATTGACCACATACTGGGAAGTAAAGCTCTCCTCAGCAAATGTAAAAGAACAGAGATTATAACAAACTATCTCTCAGACCACAGTGCAATCAAACTAGAACTCAGGATTAAGAATCTCACTCAAAACCGCTCAACTACATGGAAACTGAACAACCTGCTCCTGAATGACTACTGGATACATAACGAAATGAAGGCAGAAATAAGGATGTTCTTTGAAACCAACGAGAACAAAGACACAACATACCAGAATCTCTGGGACACATTCAAAGCAGTGTGTAGAGGGAAATTTATAGCACTAAATGCCCACAAGAGAAAGCAGGAAAGATCCAAAATTGACACCCTAACATCACAATTAAAAGAACTAGAGAAGCAAGAGCAAACACATTCAAAAGCTAGCAGAAGGCAAGAAATAACTAAAATCAGAGCAGAAATGAAGGAAATAGAGACACAAAAAACCCTTCAAAAAATTAATGAATCCAGGAGCTGGTTTTTTGAAAGGATCAACAAAATTGATAGACCGCTAGCAAGACTAATAAAGAAAAAAAGAGAGAAGAATCAAATAGACACAATAAAAAATGATAAAGGGGATATCACCACCGATCCCACAGAAATACAAACTACCATCAGAGAATACTACAAACACCTCTACGCAAGTAAACTAGGAAATCTAGAAGAAATGGATAAATTCCTCGACACATACACTCTCCCAAGACTAAACCAGGAAGAAGTTGAATCTCTGAATAGACCAATAACAGGAGCTGAAATTGTGGCAATAATCAATAGTTTACTAACCAAAAAGAGTCCAGGACCAGATGGATTCACAGCCGAATTCTACCAGAGGTACAAGGAGGAACTGGTACCATTCCTTCTGAAACTATTCCAATCAATAGAAAAGGAGGGAATCCTCCCTAACTCATTTTATGAGGCCAGCATCATTCTGATACCAAAGCCAGGCAGAGACACAACCAAAAAAGAGAATTTTAGACCAATATCCTTGATGAACATTGATGCAGAAATCCTCAATAAAATACTGGCAAACCGAATCCAGCAGCACATCAAAAAGCTTATCCACCATGATCAAGTGGGCTTCATCCCTGGGATGCAAGGCTGGTTCAATATACGCAAATCAATAAATGTAATCCAGCATATAAACAGAGCCAAAGACAAAAACCACATGATTATCTCAATAGATGCAGAAAAGGCCTTTGACAAAATTCAACAACCCTTCATGCTAAAAACTCTCAATAAATTAGGTATTGATGGGACGTATTTCAAAATAATAAGAGCTATCTATGACAAACCCACAGCCAATATCATACTAAATGGGCAAAAACTGGAAGCATTCCCTTTGAAAACTGGCACAAGACAGGGATGCCCTCTCTCACCACTCCTATTCAACATAGTGTTGGAAGTTCTGGCCAGGGCAATCAGGCAGGAGAAGGAAATAAAGGGTATTCAATTAGGAAAAGAGGAAGTCAAATTGTCCCTGTTTGCAGACGACATGATTGTATATCTAGAAAACCCCATTGTCTCAGCCCAAAATCTCCTTAAGCTGATAAGCAACTTCAGCAAAGTCTCAGGATACAAAATCAATGTACAAAAATCACAAGCATTCTTATACACCAACAGCAGACAAACAGAGAGCCAAATCATGAGTGAACTCCCATTCACAATTGCTTCAAAGAGAATAAAATACCTAGGAATCCAACTTACAAGGGATGTGAAGGACCTCTTCAAGGAGAACTACAAACCACTGCTCAAGGAAATAAAAGAGGATACAAACAAATGGAAGAACATTCCATGCTCATGGGTAGGAAGAATCAATATCGTGAAAATGGCCATACTGCCCAAGGTAATTTACAGATTCAATGCCATCCCCATCAAGCTACCAATGACTTTCTTCACAGAATTGGAAAAAACTACTTTAAAGTTCATATGGAACCAAAAAAGAGCCCGCATGGCCAAGGCAATCCTAAGCCAAAAGAACAAAGCTGGAGGCATCACACTACCTGACTTCAAACTATACTACAAGGCTACAGTAACCAAAACAGCATGGTACTGGCACCAAAACAGAGATATAGATCAATGGAACAGAACAGAGCCCTCAGAAATAACGCTGCATATCTACAACTATCTGATCTTTGACAAACCTGAGAAAAACAAGCAATGGGGAAAGGATTCCCTATTTAATAAATGGTGCTGGGAAAACTGGCTAGCCATATGTAGAAAGCTGAAACTGGATCCCTTCCTTACACCTTATACAAAAATCAATTCAAGATGGATTAAAGACTTAAACGTTAGACCTAAAACCATAAAAACCCTAGAAGAAAACCTAAGCATTACCATTCAGGCCATAGGCATGGGCAAGGACTTCATGTCCAAAACACCAAAGGCAACGGCAATAAAAGACAAAATTGACAAATGAGATCTAATTAAACTAAAGATCTTCTGCACAGCAAAAGAAACTACCATCAGAGTGAACAGGCAACCTACAAAATGGGAGAAAATTTTCACAACCTACTCATCTGACAAAGGGCTAATATCCAGAATCTACAATGAACTCAAACAAATTTACAAGAAAAAAACAAACAACCCCATCAAAAAGTGGGCGAAGGACATGAACAGACACTTCTCAAAAGAAGACATTTATGCAGCCAAAAAACACATGAAAAAATGCTCATCATCACTGGCCATCAGAGAAATGCAAATCAAAACCACAATGAGATACCATCTCACACCAGTTAGAATGGCAATCATTCAAAAGTCAGGAAACAACAGGTGTTGGAGAGGATGTGGAGAAATAGGAACACTTTTACACTGTTGGTGGGACTGTAAACTAGTTCAACCCTTGTGGAAGTCAGTGTGGCGATTCCTCAGGGATCTAGAACTAGAAATACCATTTGACCCAGCCATCCCATTACTGGTTATATACCCGAAGGACTATAAATCATGCTGCTATAAAGACACATGCACACGTATGTTTATTGCGGCATTATTCACAATAGCAAAGACTTGGAACCAACCCAAATGTCCAACAATGATAGACTGGATTAAGAAAATGTGGCACATGTACACCATGGAATACTATGCTGCCATAAAAAATGATGAGTTCATGTCCTTTGTAGGGACATGGATGAAATTGGAAATCATCATTCTCAGTAAACTATCACAAGAACAAAAAACCAAACACCGCATATTCTCACTCATAGGTGGGAATTGAACAATGAGATCACATGGACACAGGAAGGGGAATATCACACTCTGGGGACTGTGGTGGGGTGGGGGGAGGGGGGAGGGATAGCATTGGGAGATATACCTAATGCTAGATGACGAGTTAGTGGGTGCAGCACACCAGCATGGCACATGTATACATATGTAACTAACCTGCACAATGTGCACATGTACCCTAAAACTTAAAGTATAATAAAAAAATAAAAAATAAAAAAAACACCCTAACAAACTTCTTCTCACATCCAACTCTTTTGTTTTTGAACTTTTCCACCCAAAACATACTAAATAAATATACTTTAAGAAGGAATAGTTCAGATAGAAGGTGTTTTCCTGTTCACTAATATTACTTTTAAGTGCAGGCTGAGTGCCGGTTAATCATTAGCCTCCAAACAGATGGAAAAATGAAAGAATAAAATTGTACAGAAAGGAATATGCCCTCTCAAAAGATATCTATCTCTACTTCTTCTCGCCTACCACCAACTTCTTGGAAGCTTCTTTTTTTTCGTGAGTTATTACATTGCATTTTACATACAAATTATATTTATTTACTTTTAAATCATTATAATGTTTAAAACATTATAACATTGTTTTCATTATTCGAGGATGTTTGTCGGTTTGTTTTTTTACCTATGGTTTGGAATAGAACTCCTCACAAATTTTCCTGTAAAACTTAATTGAATTTTTTTCATTTACCAGCTTTTTATTCAGTGGCAGATTTTTTCAGAGAAGAGTTAAAGTCGTTAAGCAAGAGATAGGTGTATACTCAAAGCAATTTACTTCTTAGGTGATTTGATAATTGAGACATCACCATATTTTTTTCTACAGTGAAGTTAAACTGAAGGTCCATCTGCTGATGAGTAGCATAACCAGATTTTAGGTTAATTAGCTCCCCTGTGTCCTGTATGTATTTATATCATCAAAAGATCAAAAGGTATGCATTGGAGTGTGTCTGAAACCAGAGCGCCCCTCTACTGAAATCTAGAGTATGCATTTTACAGAGCCCCTTCTCTGCCAAGTAAATAGTCAGCAGTGCTTTTACAAATATATTCACATGAAAATTTTTATGCTGAAATTTATTGGTAAGGAATTGCTAAATGTTGTACTTTCTTAGCTTCCTAATGATGACATATATACATATGTTGAATTTCTTCTAAAAATCTTTATGTTGAAACACCCTAGCACATAAACTCCTTGAATGAAAGCAATATTTGTTTACAGAGAATATGAATCTTAGACCAAAGAGTGTAATATGCAAAAAAAAATTTTCTGTATTGCAATTTAATTTCTATTGTATTTCAAGACCCCTTTCAAACCAGCTGGCAGGAAATTTTAATCTCATCTCTGTCCTCAGGACTGTGTCAAGGTTCTAGGAGATTTACGCAGTACCAAGACACTGGATTTGTGTCTTTGAGTCATCTTACCACACATTTCCTCCAACATACTCATTATCCCAATCCAGAGGCTCTTTACTGATAAGTCACACTGTGGAGCACAAAAATCTTTCTGCAAGGATGTGATGTCCCTGATCCCCTTACCCAAAAAGATATCTTCCACCTGCTGGCTGATGCTTGAAAATGTCTCTGCAGAAGGTTCACCATTTAGAATAAACCCCAATGTAATGCAAATATCCTTGAGAGAAGAAAACTGTAAAGAGGCAGCCATTTTTGCTGTGGTATGAATTGGTGCTGGAGTTTTTCTTAAGAGCATGTTGACACATGGAAAGACCACAATGCAGAGTTCTCAAAGAGAAAAGGAAACTACCCCAAAATTCTGGGCGCTCCATACATCATACTTGTCAGCTCCCTATTTTTTCATGTACAAGTTACAATCTTTACTAAAAGCCTAATAAACTGGCAGATGGTGATTATTTCCATTTCCTATTGTCTTGATACACATTTTTTAAGAGAAAGTTCTGAATTTAAGAAATTTTTAAACTTAATTCATATCAGTACTTGGATGTAATAAATCCTACAGAACACCTAGTCATTTAAATAAGAAATAACTTCAGTAGAATATTGTTTATAGATTTTTTCAAGGTTTTATCCTCCTATGAAAGGGCTTAATTCTCAAAATACACACACATACACATGCGTGCTCACTCACGCTCTCTCTCTTTCTCTTTATCTCACCATAAACAAAAAAACTTAGAAGTAACCATGTGGAGATAAATGTGAACACTTTCACTTTTATAAAGGAACTGAAGCAAAGAAGATAAATAAGTTAGCATTTCAGTTGGTTTCACTAATAGATTTTTGACTGAAAATGGAAAGCAAGTTTTCTAGGGTTGCAATAGGAATAGAATTAGAATTCTAGTTGCAATTGGAATAGAATAAAATCCATTTCAGATAAGTTACAGAAAAAGCAAAAAAATATACAAATATAGTTTATCTGTTTTAATCTAATATTTGCATGTATGTACCTTTTACACTCTTACCAGTTCTACCTATTTTTAATATGCCCTGAAAAGACTAACTGGACTACATGATTTCCTTTGTAGGTTAGCCACATTCAAAGCAGGACTTGGCAGGGGCATTTTGGGCAGAAGGTGGGCAACCTTAGAGTTAGTAGAAAGGGAGCCCTGTTTCATCGCAGAGCTTTAAGTATTACTTTTTATTTCAATTTTTTTTTTTTGCCTCACTTTGGCAGCCCAAAGATTCTTTGTACTTTCTGTGCCACTTGCCCATGGGCTGTAAATTAAAGTTAAGCCAATAATTATTTTCTATATTCCCCTTATAAATTCTCACTTGGATCTTGTCTCAAGTTTCTCTGTTTTTACTAAGATTGGGAAAAATTGTGGGAGATCATGAAGCTATGTTAGAAAGTAACCTTTACGTTCGCCACTCTGTCATTTGTGTTCTACTGGTATGTTAGGCAAGGCAAGCCATTGGCTGAACTAAAATTATAGGCAACGCTCCCTAGTGAGGGAGACGTGGGTTGAGAATCAGCTTCAGACTCTCCTGGGGAACATCATACATCATAGCCTTCTTATTACATGAGGGTGTGTTTACCTCAGTGTGCTAGAGCTACAGTTAAAAAAGATTATTACTTCTATTAAAATTTTAATTAGTCAATTAAAATTCCAATACTCCAGGAACCTAAAAGCAATAAAAAAGATCAGCAAAATTTATTTTCAACACTACAGCTAGGTAAAAACAGGGCTCTGTCTACATAAAGGTTGATGAAAAAAGAGGGTGCTACAACTTGAGAATCTGTCAAAGAAAGGCATGTTCAGATGAAACGCTAGAATGGAGTACTGTGTAAATAAATACCAGTACACAGGTTACCAAAGTCAGGGATGGAGAAGCAGAGAAGATAATGTTGATGGGTGAGCTTGACTGAGTGGTGTGTGGTACCAGAAGATAGAAGTGCTCTTAATTGGAACATTTGTTCTTTCTGAGCCTGCCTAGTGCATTGATGGTCTTCATCAGAACTTCTCCTATTAGCTGACCTTGGATCCTTGAGCTGGCCCTGGTCTTGCCAAGCCCACCAACTTGCCAGGACAAATACAGTGAATTAACTTCTCTCCCAGTTTCCTTCCCAATGTGTAACAACAGCTAAGTACTTGCCACTTTAACCTGAGCATACTACTATAATAAAATCAGTGTTAAGTTGAAACTCACACTAAGAGAGGCAGCATATGAATGCTGGGAGTATGAGGGGTATAATCTTTCCCCTCAATGCAACTGCTACTCAAAACTTCCCTAGCTATGACATTTTTCCAGTCACCTAGGAAGGAAACTTTATAGTTCTTATTCTGCTATTTCATCTTCCATATCAGTTATTAATTCTCAAGTCTTTAAGAATCTGAATTCCCAATATTCCTTACTTTTGTTATCACCTTGCCATTCCCACAGAATCCACTCTGGTTTAATTAACTAATTCATTTCTTAGATACATGCCTAGCCTCACGGAAGAGCGCCGTCTTTGGAATTAGGTAAATTGGGGTTAAATCTCATTTTTTCCACTTGCCAGATGTGTGATGTTGGGCAAGCTTGTTTATCCAAAGTTAAATTTTCTCATCTACAAAATGAAATGAATATTTCTTTACAGTGTTATTTAACTAAATAATGTATAAAAACTATTTGGCATATTTAGTCAGTGCTCAATATATGTTAAATATCTTCTAGATTTGAACTTAAAATGCTGCATTAATTTTATTGTTTTCTTCCTCAAATATATTTTATTATTCCCAAATACCTTGAAATAGTATCCAAATTTCTTCCCCTGGCATCTTAGGTCCTATGCAGATGGTTCTACACCTTGTCATTCAATTAGGGGAAACTCCTTCGATTCTCCTACACCAGCCTCCAGCTGCAGCCGAGGTGGAGTCCTTGCTAGCTCCCGTGCACAACGGCCACAATTTGTGCAAGACCAATCATATTTTTTTTAATCTCCCAAAGAAGAAAACTTTATTTTTACCCCGTTGCCCATCTCGAGCACAACTTACAACTAACTCTTTCTAGACTGAAAATGTCTCCAGTCACTTCAGACTTAGGAACAGTCTTTCATTGATAATTAAATGTCCACTTCAGTGTCATAATCCTATAACAATATTCACTTTGCTTATCTATTTGAAAAATACTTCCCACCCATCTCCAGTTCAACCTGAGCTAAAAATAAAAGCCAAATAATACACAAGGGGGAAACCCAGTCATTGTGTCTGAACTTTGAGAAACACTGAATGAATAGTTCCCACTTACTCCTCTACATCTGAGAGTACTGGTATGTTCAGCTGCAGCTCTGGGAAGAGATGTAAGACGTACTTCATATACTGTCATTAGAAATACAAATGTGCCAGTTTTGGGAGGTGAAAGAGAATCTACATTGAAGACTAATGCAGTCCATAAAGATCTGCATTTCAAGGAGGTGTTCACTGCTTCCCAGAGGCAGCAGCATTAATTCTCTATTGGAAATTGAGTATGAGGAATTCCAAAGTTGTTAAATGGCATAAAACTGTGGCCTAAGAACTCACAGTACTCACAGTAGCACAACAAAGAATTGTGGGAGATGTAGAATCCTGTCAATTTAGAAATGGGAGATACTTCATAAATCATGATTTAAAATGCTAAGTCACTCTGTTTACAGTAGAATAAACAAGTCTACCACCTCCAAATTTAATTTTTGATGTATCTGTAGTATTTGTGTATTATGTATTTTAATTTGTGATATATCTGTAGTATTTGTGATGTATCTGTAGTACTGCCACCTCCAAATTTAATTTGTGATGTATCCGTAGTATTTGTGATGTATCTGTAGTACTACCACCTCCAAATTTAATTTGTGATGTATCTGTAGTATTGGAGTAGTCTACCACCTCCAAATTTAATTTGTGATGTATCTGTAGTATCTATCTGTTTACAGTAGAAGAAACAAGTCTACCACCTCCGAATTTAAATTGTGATGTATCTGTAGTATTTCAGCATCACTGATTCAGAAATCTTCAATTCTTCCCCAGACACAAATGATACCTCTCTATATTGACAAACTCTGAATATATTGTCTGAAGGTGATCCATGAACTTTTGATGTAAACAAGCTTGCAAAAGGGCTAAGCAATGTACCAGACATTGCCCAAAAATATTGTTCCTCGACTACTGCAAAAAAAAATACCATTCTTCTCCCTAGATTTCCATGATATCAAATCCTGAGGATAACCCATGCTTTGCCTCTTTCTCAGCAGCTGGGTCAATTCTGCATAATCAACCACTGTGTCTCAGGACTTGTGACCTTATTTTGGACAGCTAGCCTCCAATATCCCCCAGAATAGCTCTGAGGGATCAGATTATTATTATTTTAGTGAAAAAAGGTAATTATCATTTATTGCATTCATTAACAAAAACATGATCTAAATCAGAAAAGAGAAACTGTCATGTGGCATGCCACATTTTCATTCATTTCTCCCTCAAAAGAGGTGCATTAGCGTGGACCTCATTTCTTTCAAGAAATAAACTTTCTAACTCCTAAGTTGAGTTGATTATCTCTTTCAGGCTTTCACATAGCCCCCTATGCAAAACTCTGATTTAGAAACTAATACTTTGGATTATAAATATCTGTATATTCACTGGCATCTCTGAGATTCTTTTTACCTTTCCTCACATCCACCCTGAACTGTAATCCTTTGGCAGCTATTTCAGTTATTTATTGCTGTGTAATAAACAACTCCAATATTTAGCTACTTAAAATAACAACATTATATTGTCCCACAATTTTGTGTGTCAGTAATTTGGACAGCACTCATCTGGGCAATTTTCTTGCTCCGTGTACTGTCAGCTTAGATCTTGCAGGTATCAGCTGGTGGATGGGTTGGCCAGAAGAATCCAAGCCAGCCTCATTCATTTGTTTAGTGTCTGGGAGGGGATGGCTGAAAGGTTTGGCTCAGCTGGTATTTTCCACTGGAATGCCTACAAATGGCCAATCTGCACGGTGGTCTCAGGGCAGTAGAATTTCTTCAAGGGTGTTCCAGGGCTCCCACAGTGATTATTCAAACAGGCACAGAGAGAAATTGCATGGCTTCTAAAGACCCAGCTTTGGAAGCCTCAGAACATCAGTTTATTCATCTTAAATTGTTCAAACAATTCACTAAGGCCAACCCAAATCGAAGGAAAAGGAAATCAGACTCATCTCTCAACAGAGAAAACCAAAGAATTTATTATCATATTTAGTCTACTTTAGAAACTTTCCTTCATTTATTCAACACAAACTTATTGATCCTGTTTTAATGCATGCCACACAATGTACTAAGGACTTGGGATAGAGAAGTGACAACTAAAAAAAAAAAAAAGCCTGCTTTCCTATTACTCATCTTTACATACTCCGTACTCCAGCACCAAGTGCAATGCATGGAATATACAAATGTTTATATAGTTTAGATATTTGCCTCCTCCAAATCTCATGCTGAAATTTGATTTCCAATGTTGGAGGTGGGGCCTGATGGAAGGTATTTGGATCATGGGGATGAACCCCTCAAAAATGGATTGGCACTATCCTTTCAGTAATGAGTGAGTTCTTGCTCTATTTTGTTCACAAGAAAACTGGTTGCTTTAAAGAATATGGCACCCCTTTCCTCTCTCTCTCTTTTTTTCCTCCTCTCTTGCCATGTGATGCTGGCTCCCCTTCCCTTTTTGCAAGGATTGGAAGCTCCCTGAAGCCCTTACCAGAAATGAATGGTGGCACCATACTTCTTGTATAACCCTGCAGATTATATAACTGCAAGCCAAACAAACCTCTTTTCTTTACAAATTGCTCAGCCTCAGGTATACCTGTAGAGCAATGCAAATGGACTAAGACGGATGCCCAATAAATTTTTAAGGAACTTAACAGGTGGAGTTGGAGAGTCACAGGAATGGACAGCTCTTCCCTTTAGGAGTGTTGAGACCAAAGCAATGGAGAGGGAAAGAGGAGCACTCCTTACTACTTTGACTCCTTCTGGGCAGCTGTCATATCTTCTGGTGATGAGGATGTCCGACATGGCCAAGTCAACCAGGCCTAAGCTGGGAGTTTACCAGTGTCAATTGTTCACTCATTTAGTGGAATGTATACCTGGTGAAACAATGTTATGCTTTAGATTGAAGAAAGAATATTTGGTTTCCAATTCTGCTTTAACTCTTCCAAGACTTAGATGTCTTTCTTTTACAATGAAATTCAGAATGTTTTTGGAACGTCTCTTTTTAGTGCAGAAATCTACCTGAGTATTAAATTATAATGATAGCATTCTTATATATCTCCGAGAATACCTCTGAGATGTGTACATATAGACTATTGTGGGTATTTGGGATGTTTTATTTCTGTGAGACTTGCCCAAATAACTTGAGAAAATTTCATACAGTATGCAGAATAGCCTATCAGTTCAGTTTTCTTCTATATGTTTCTGATGGCATTATGTATTTCAGTGTCGATGCACTCCCAAAAAGAAAATCAATTGCTGAACAACAAGGACTCGAGATGCAATTTTAATGATACATTTCACAAAGCATGATGCAATGTTTAATATAATGTTAAGGTGGTACGCCTATGACTCTTCATAAAATGCACATCATCTTTATAAAGCATTATTTTAAGCAGAACCCTTTCAAAGGAATTTACAGGAAGCAATCTTTTTTTTATCACAGTTGGGTTTTATCATATAGGCAGTTTTTAACTATCACCACAAAAGGCAATCCTCGGTATAAGGGGAAATCCAGCTCCCCTCTTTATGAAATTTAAGAAAACTTTGCAAATAATAATGCGTTTTGACAAGGTTCAATATTATACACATGTATATAAACTTAAATTATATATGTGTGTGTATATATATATATATATATAGAGAGAGAGAGAGAGAGAGAGAGAGAGAGAGAGAGAGAAAGAGAGAGAGAGAGTAGTTGCCAGTAGGTGTTGTCTAGTATGACGGACCCTTTGGTATGTTTTCTTAAGCTTCCTTTTTCTTCACAAAACAATATGAATCTAGCAAAATAAGACCTTCTAAGAACAATTTTCGGACATTTGAACAATATGCCACTGAGTAATGATGTACCTTTCCAAGAGGAAATAATATTCTATTTTTTAAAAATTCTCCTCAGAAAATACAAAGAGAAAAATCTAATGCTGAAAGCAAGCTTGCAAAAATGCATGTTCAAAGAGCTTTGATTTATAAAAGAGTAAGAACAAGATTGCTCCAGAGCCATTCATACTTCTACTTAATGAAACTGCATATATATTTTTCTATTTAACAACTGCATTTCACTTATTTTTATCATCTTTATGGAAATATTTTTACAGATGGTTAATAGAGAATTTCAAAGAAGAAAAAAGTGATCATTTTCAGAAGTTAATCATAACTAGAACCAAATGTAATGAAACAAAATAATATTAATATAAAATTATAATTTCCATTTAAAAAATTTTTGCCTTTACAAAATAACTTCTATTTCCTTATCTCTGAAAATAATAAAAATAACATGAAGGTCTATTCAGTTCACTTCAGTTTTATTTCATAAGTGTTCTGCAACCTTGAAGTCTCACGTAAATTTTGTGAATTATTAGGTTAATTCTCCCTGGACGTTTGATGTGAATATTATAGATGATAATAGATAGGATGGAAATGAATTTGGATTTTATCTAAGAAAAATTAAAATGTTTGTTCATATTTACAGAAATACAAAGATTAAGATCTTGTCATCCATAGACACTTTCTGAAAGAATCTGTAAAGGATGTTCATCAGCAGAATGTACAATGAACACAAAGGAGTCAAATGACAGAAACAAGTTATAACCGCCGAAACTGATAAAAATGTGTTGGTAAATTTAATCAAATATTCACTATAAGGAGTAAATATAATCATTAAAAATGTGTTCTTATGACAGATGTGGAAAAAAGTCTAAACAATGAGAGGTGGAATATTGTTCCGTGGGTAGTTAAAACATGAAACATTTCTTATACTATCCAGAGAAAAGATGAAGATACTGATTCAGTCTGGATCTTGTTAGAAAATTTTGTGGCTAATTGTGTATGTTGAAAAATTTGAATGAACACTAAAAAATATAATATGATTTCCAAAGTAGCAGAAAAATGAAAAAAAAAAGGTTCATCAATTCAACTTACATGTAAAAAAGGAAAAAATATTTTTTAAAGTTTAATTGATAATAGAAATAACTGTAAATGTGCACCAGTAATCTCAATGTACTTAAATGAATTAAACTCACTAATTAAAAATGATAAAGATGAGCAGATTCATTTTTCTAAATCCTGTTAAAAATGTTTATAATAAAACAATACTGGATAATACTGAATATTTGAAATAGGACAATACTGAATATCTTAAATAGGATAAGTTATAAAACGCAAATACTGTATCAACCAAAAGAAGACATGTAACAATAAGCATTTTAGATAAAACAAATTAAGAAAAAAAGCAATAAGGATAAGAAGTTACGGTATCTAAAGATAAAGACTACAATCTACCAAAAATTATACAATTATCATGAATTCGTGTGTACCTAACAAATTGGTTTGAAATACAACTTCATAATGTTAAAAAGAAATAGATGAATATGCAATAATATACCTCTACCAGGAACTGATAGATAAAGCAAAGAAAAAATTATAAGATTATAGAAGATTGGAACAACACAGTTAGTTGATTTCATTTAATAAGTGTATATCCACATTGCAGCCTACAAGCAAAAAATATATCCTTTTAAACACATATGAACAGGCCTGGTGTGGTGGCTCACGCCTGTAATCCCAGCACTTTGGGAAGCCGGGAGGGAAGATTGCTTGAGGCTGAGTTCAAGACCAACATGGCCAACATTTCAAGACCCAGCCTCTATTAAAAAAGAAAAAAAACACACATATGAACAATTACAAAACACAAACATGAAGAAAGTCTTAACAAAGTTCAAAGAATAAATATTATACAGGTCACATTTTCTTTCTTCTTTCTTTCCTTTTTATTTATTTATTTTTTAATAATTTCAACTTTTATTTTAGATTCAGGGGGTGCATGTGCAGGTTTGTTGCCTGGGTATATTGTTTGATGCTGAGGTTTGGGATATAACTGATCCCATCAACCAGGTACTGGGCATTGTACCCAATAGTTTCAACCTTTTCCACTTCCCCTGTAAGTCCCCAGTGTCTACTGCTGTAATCTCAATGTCCATGAATACCCATTGTTTAGTTCCCACTTATAAGTGAGAACATGTGGTATTTGGTTTTCTGTTCTTGCATTAACTTACTTAGGATACTAGCCTCAAGCTGCATCCATGTTGCTATAAAGAACATGATTTCACTCTTTTTATAGCTGCATAATATTCCATGGAGTATACGTACCACATTTTCTTTATTGATTTCATGTCTTTGCTGTCAAATGACATGTTTTCTTAATTTCCATTTCAAGACAATTGAAATAGAATTTTCAGATAAAATACAGGACATCTAATTAAATATGAATTCCAGATAAATAAATAAATTTTTAGTAAAAGCATGTTCCCTACAATATTTGATACATGCTTAAATTTAAAAATTATTTGTTGTTTATCTGAAATTCAAATTTCACTGGGCATCCTGTATTTTTATTTTCTAAATCTGGCAATCCTATAAATATAAATCATCAATAAAGATACAGAAAACCAAAGCAAAACAAAACCTAGACTATGCTTTTCTAAAAAATATACTCCAAATGTACTCTCTGCATATTAGATCAAAAGAAAATTAAGAAGAAAAGTATCTGAATGAAAAGGGAATGGCAAGGACAAAAGACCCACCCTTCCAGATATTCAAACCATTATAAGGCTTTGGTTTTTAAACATGGTAGTATTGCTGCAGAAATAGATACAGAAGGCAGTGAAGCAGAATTGACACACGCATCCTTATATGAAAATTGGGCATTTGACAGAGGTGATATTACAAGCCCAAGGCTGACAAATGAGTTTTTAATAAGACTCATTGTAACAGTTTATTTTCAAAATGGAAAATAAAGTTACGTTACCTCTCAACATGAAATTTCTTTTTATAAATATTGAAAACAAATTAAAAACTTAAAGCTTTAGAAGAATATATAGAATATCTATTTGAGGTCAAGTTAGGAAAGGATTGTCTTATAGAGAGCACAAAAGAGTACATGAAAAAATATTAATAGCATTGTCTCATTGTCTCTGCATCTTCAAAAAAATGTCTATGGAAAACGAAAAGACTAGCTACAAACTGAGCAAAGGTACTTTCATTACATATGATCAACAAGGGATAATTAGTAGCAAGTATATGTAAAGAACTCATACAAATAAGCAAGAGAAAAGCAAATAACTCGATAGAAAAATGGGCATATGATATCAAGAAATAATTTATAGGAAAGGGACAATTTGAACTTCCAGTAACTGAAAAGATGTTCAACCACACTAATAATTGGATAGATGAATTATATCACCTAAAAGATAGGCAAAAGAAATAAAAATAAAAATATGTAAATGACAAGTATTGTCTGATTTCAAAAGTAACTCTGCCCTTTATTAGTTATATCACTATGGCAAGTTATTTAATCTGTCTATGTCAGTTTCTCATCAGTAAAATGAGAACATTAAAGCAACTTTGTCACAGAATTGTAAAGAGAATTAAATGAGTTTGTGTTTTCAAAATTCTGAGAACAGAACGTGCCCATTTTTAAGCATTATATAACTTTTTGCCAGATGAAAGAAATATTGGCAAGGATGTAGGAAAGTGGGAGCTCTCCATGCCTGTGAGTAGAGGTGTATTTTGGAACCCCTACATCGGAAGGCATCTTGATAATGTCTAGTTGAAGTTGAAATGTGTATAATTCTAATTTTAACAAGCAGAATACATTCCTAAAACAGCTATGATTTTCCTTGAAAACAGTGTTGAGTCAATAAAGCAAGTTGCAGAATTATGCATATTGTCTAATATCAATTACATTGTTTAAAAACAAAATAGTGTAGTATAGTATTATGAGCACACAAATACACAGCAAAATATAAAGCACAGTCAAGAAGGACACATGCCGACTTCATGACAGTGGTTACTTGATGGAGAAAGCAGTTTGCATTGGGGATAAGTTGAGCAAAATTTAAAGATAATATGGCAAAAGTTGGCATTTGCTAGTTCTAGGTGCAAAGGATTTTGTTACGTTTCTTTTTCTGGTGTTCTCTGCTTTTGAAATATGTGTCATTGAAGATACATGAATTTTTCAACAGGGATTTAAGGAAACTGGTACATAAAAATCTATATTTCATATATTAACAATAAAGATTATTATATTTTATAAAACATAATTATAGAGCATGTAAAATTTTAGTCATTTTGAATGTAAAAATGAATAAAATAGTCCTAATTGAAAGTTTCTTGATTATTGAAATATTTACAACCAAATAATGATAATATTACTATTAGAAATAGTAATGATATGTATTCTAACTAGTTATCTTTTTGAAGCAATTCCGTCGAGGTGGGGGAGGAAAACAGCAAGTATCACAGGTGGTATATCTAAGTTTTAGATTATATTATTAATACAGAAATAAGCTTAAATAGTCTTTAAAATATGGAGTTGTTTGCAGGTTCTTTAAATTATTCATCTGAATGGCCAATTGACTAAGTAGAAACTCTGACAGCAGGTGATTCAAACTTGAAGTCACTGACACACACTTGAAACATACATATTTTGTCCAGTAATTGGAAGAAGACCTGCATGCTGTAGATCTCAGGTATGTCAATGGCAAATAGATTTTTTTTTGTTTTAAAAGCTTTGTTATATTTTTGCTTTAATGTTGTGGATGGTTAGTAGGAAGGGAATAAACCTCTGAAGAGATGAGTAAATTTGCAAATTTTATTAATGATACTAAAGCTCTTAATATTTATTTAGAAGAGGTTAAATATGCAAACTTTTTCTGACTATATAGACTGTGTCTTAGGAAACTAATTTACACCAGACCAATCCAATAACTACTATGACTCATTGCTATGACTCTACAACGTATGTTCTGTTATTCATAGTCTTTTAAGACTATGAATAAGAACTTACTAATTTCCTCAATTACAGTTGTATCTATTCCTACATGTCAATCTAGTTTGAGAATACAATTTAATAAGCTGGCAAGATCAATGGTTCACCGTGATTTGCTTAGTCATTTCTATTAAACACTTTGTTTACTGTCATCTAGGAGACCTGGTCAATTAGAGATTTTTCCATTGTAGGGTCAAAAGTCTAATTAGAAATGGCATTTTAATTAAAATATATTAAGTACCAGTTGTGTCCAAAGCTATAATTTTTATTTCAAAAATCTTTATTAAGTAATGTTTTTACTTAGCTTGACATGGAGCCGAATTTAGCTGCTAATAACAAAAAATCACTGTTAACTTTATTAATGACCATTTATCTCCATATTATATTCTAAGTCAATGGTACTAATTTGTTTAAAATAGCTATAATGCTGCTGGCAACTGAATTTTTTCAGTGTTTTCCACTATTAATCATTGCCTCCCTTTTTTTCCCATCCAGAAATTAGTAGGATGTTTCTGTTGCTTTTTACATTTCGTACCAACACTCTAACTCAGCTGAAAGCAAGGCAGATCCACAATGGACTATTTAATTCAAACTGGGAATGGAGGCGGTAGGGGAGTTTGGACAGAAAGTAAAAACGTGAAATGCTTCAATTGATTGTATGTCTAACAACTACATTAATTAAGATCAGACTATTTCTATCAATTCATTTCCTCATTGCAAGTGGCAGAGATTCTATCAGACAGAAACTGGTGTAAATCCCATGCAAATGATTTTTATTGAACATGTACTGCTCACATTTTAGGGACTGTATTCTACCTAAATAATGCAGGAGCATGTGATGCCTGCCAAATCCCACACAATGTTGAAACCCCAGTTAGTGTTTTATCTTTAAAGAGAGAGCTCTGCATCCTTTTGGCAGCTGATGAGTTCAGATAGAAAACATGCCAGGAGTGTGGACCAATGCATTATCACACGCACCCCCCGCCGCATAACTGTGCCTCGTCATATGCCATAACATTGGCAAGCAGAGCCCAGAGCTCTTTAAGAACAAGAAGAAGCTCATAAATAATGGTTGAATCACACAAGGGATAATTAAATGAGACAACTGAATGCCAATGGACTCCCCAGCAGAAAATGCTCCTCAGTGAGGATCATTCCTGCGCGGTTTTATTTTCTTTTTCTTTCTCAGTTTTAGTTCTGACTAGCAGTTCATTACTGCAGATACTTTTCAAATGGGAGTGTTTTAAAAAATTGTCAAACTCTGGAAAACATTTTGAGACATTTTCATATTTAGGAACATTTCTTCAACATATATAAACATATCAATATATTCTTATTTAAACCTTTTTTAGCTCTAGCCTCACCATTTAATGGCATATACCTGCTTGACAAACCAACCACAGATAACACTCTTGAAAAGCAAAAGGGGAAATTTTCATAATGTGCAAAATCTCAGTGAGTTGTGTGTCCTACAGTGTGAGTGGAATTCATTCATTCTTTTCATTTAGGATAAATGCACATCAATGTTATAGCTGCCTCCTCATTCTTAAAAAATGAGATTCACAATGAATTTCAATGTTTCTCCACCAACCTCCTCCGAATTCTTTTTCAGAAATGCTTAATGTTTCTGGCTTGACAGCTTTGTGCTCAAGGTTGACAGGATATTTTTAGTATCCCAAGTATTTTAAAGGCTCAGAAAAATCTAGCTCTGGTTTGCTTGTTTATGAAATACATTTAGCAGACAATTACAGTTCATTTAATATGCATTCATTGCTGTCTGAGAAAAAAATGCCTTCAGCTTTTTTGGCAAAATGAAGAGAAATATGTATTTTCTCACACTGAGGCCACTCAGAACAGGGCATACTCACTAATCACTGAGGATTGGGCACCTCGGACAGTAAAAGGGAAGAGGTATAGAAGGAGGTAAACCTAGTTCAGCTCTACTTCTTAATCAAGGAAAGGACAAAGAGCCTGGGGTCACCAGCCTAACACGTTTAAATTTAGTAACGATAAGATAATCCTGCATAGCATTGCAAAACTGCACCCAATTTCAGGCAGGCTTCTGAAAAGTTAAGTGAAAATTTACATTATCACCTCTGCCAGTCATCAAATATTTATTTAGCACCTATCATGTGCCAGGCCTTGTGGTCAGTTTTGGAGCTAAAAATGTAAATAGAATAAGGTTGGTCACTGCTCCCTTGATGATTTCTATCCAACAAAAAGGGCAGAACAAAGAAATAATTAATTAAAACAGCAATGATATCTCTGACACAACACAGTATCACTTATGCATTATTCCAGCCTGAAAGGCAAAGTATAAATCTCACCATAATAAAACATTGCACAAAACCAAAACTGAAAATGTTCTCCTGAAAAGGAAAAGGCAAGTTTTTTTAAAAAACATTGATTTCTTGAAAAAGACCATAGAAGGTATGGAAATTGTATGAGACTAAATGTTTTAAAATTAAAGAGATAAGATAATCGAATGAGCCTACACTGTATCCAGTATTACTAAAAATGCTTTAAAAAGACATTAGTGGGTGAATTAACAAAAGATATTATATAGATCGTAATTAGATAAAAGTAATGTGCCAATGTAAAGCTTACTAAAGGTGATTACTGTGGTTATGAAAGACAATATCTCTATTCTTAGAAAATACACACAGATGTATTTAGGGATAAATACGTCATCCTATTTGCATAATGTATGCAACCTACACCCAAATGGTTAAAAAGAAAAACCTATGTATGTGGTGTGTGTGTATGTGTGAGAGAGAGAGAGAGAAAGAGGAAGAGAGAGAGTGAGAGAGAGAAAAGAGAATGCCAACAATAAGGCTAATAAGACAAAATATTAACAACAGGTGAATCTGGCCAAAGGATTCTATTTACTATTCTTGAAACTTCTTGGTAACTACGAAATTATAAACTGATAATAAGGAAAGTTTTTTGCTGAAAAGGAGTTGCACACTGTGCTATGAGCCATGTAGGAAGTAATTTAACCGAGTCTCTAAGGGAGCTTGCCTTAGAAAGTAACACGTACAATGATGCCTGAAAGACAAAGAGGAGCGTAGGGGTGAAGTGAAGAGCGTGATGTGTTAGGAAATCATTCTAGGCACCAACATTCTTGAAGACCTTGAGATAGTTGAGTGTTCAGACCAGAGAAGTCCTATATAGCCAGAGCACAGAAGTGTCAGAGAGAATGGGCTGAGAGGAAAATAGAAGGGGAGGCAGGGGCCTGATCATGTGGAGTCTCATACGCCAAGTCACAAGATTGGATAAGTCTGGCAATGTCTTGACAACTAGTGTAATGTAATTCAAGGCAAAGGAAAGAAGCAGAACGATTCTTTTGCATTATTAAAAATAAATTTTAAAAGATCTTTGAAGGGTAAAGGGTCTGTCTTGTCAACTAGAATCCAACCTGAGACCCCAAATGGTGAGGGCTTGCACACATTCCCTCCTCCTTTCTCAGGATCCAGAGGACTCAACTCTATTCCCACCTCATCCATTGATGAAACGTAAAGTAAGAAGAGGCCCCATGCCAGAGATGGTAGGACGGTATCATTCGAAGAGGACTTGTTAATGAATGAGTCATGGAAGCCAATGGGCTAAGGAAGAGAGAGGTAGGAAGAAGTTACAGGAAGGATGTTCTCAACAAACCTCCACAGGATATCCTCAGAGACTAGAGGTTAACGTTTAAGGTCTCAGGCCCAGGGATTTGTCTTAGGGAAAGTCAAAGAGAATAATGAAGCCCTCTCTTAAATTACTATTTTCTATTTGCATTTGACTTTATCACTTGAGTTTCAAGTGAAGGGCTAACCAGGACCTCCTCTAGTGTTTCTGTGTGTTTCGCCACCTAAGAGATTAAGACTTCTTTGTGTTACGTTTTTCTTCCATGACAATAGGTTTAGTTTGAGATGACAGAATTTTACAAAGATAACTTATCCCAATGCACTGCAATGAGGGCACTGTATTGTGGCAAAGACTAGGGTAATGAAAGGGAAAGAAAGATGTCTGGGAAACTAGTTATAAGGCTGCTGAATTATCCAGATGGCATCCATCCATGGATACCTCAGTTACACCCATGTTGGTGATGACATATCTTTATGACTTATTTATGAGTCTTATCCTTTTATATGTTTTGGAGAGAAATCTGTTTTCATAGTTTGAACTAGCTTAAAATAAGATACCCTTATGAATTAACAACCTAACCCCTTGGAATTTCATACCCTGCAACAAATTTATCATGTACACCGTTATATGGATAATCTAGATCCCAAAAGCATTCTGCTAACTAGGGTTTTACCCCTAATCATGGTAAAAATGAATAGCCTGAACTATCCAAGAAATTGTGTCATCAACCACAGAGCCTCTAAGAACCTACCTAGGGCATAGGCTGCATTCCCTTAAGAATACAGAAGGGCCCTCAAGGTGAAGAGGTTGGCACAGAACTGCTAGGAATTGAGATAACCCTGACACCTTTTAAATTTGCAATGTATTCCACTAGGTGCTGACTGTAGATGAAGTTCATTAAAGTCAAAATATGTGTTAGATTAGCAGTCTTTTTAATTTTTAATAGGCTTAGAATGCTTTGTTTATGTATATGTCTTTGGTAAAAATCAATTGTTTTTAAAATATTAAGTTTTGATTCATAAAACCAAAGAAACTATATCTATTTTTGAGGTCAAAATAAATGTGTAAGCCATAAATGAATAAAAGTCCTCTATGTTCTCAGAACTTGAATGTAAGAATATTATTGACTTCCTACAGTTTTTCTCATGAAAATTATAAAATATGAGAATAATTTGAAAAAAAATATATGATTCTCTAGGACTCATACACTTATTGCTAATTAGCATGGGGAGCTGAAACAAACATATAAGTTATCAATTAATCTTTATATTGTGTGCTTAATTTGCCCAACAGTTGCTTACCCCTAAAGTACAATCACACATGCATTAAATGGGAAAAATGCAGATCAAATCCAGTATTTAGAGGTCAATAATTTTTCTCTAAGGAACTTGAAATGAGCTGCAAATTGTTCATTTCATCCTCACAACTTGCCTTTGAGGCAGAGAATACTCATAACTTTGATTGAGAGGACATATGTCACAATATGATAGAGAAATTGGGAACAGGGTAGCAGAGCAGTCATTGTCTGAACAAAGGTTAAAGCCCAGTTCTGTACCTTTCCCTCTGCCATTTCTATTCATTGAACTTTGATAGCACTCACAAAAAGCATCACTCTCTCAACCAGAATCTCTGCCCTTGTCTCACACCACACTCATCCAGGAAGGCTCAGACCTCCCTCCTCTACCCCACCCCCAGTCACCATGCTAACTCATCCCTTCCATTGGAAGCTCTTGAGCTCCTCCATCAGAAGTCTCCTGAGAGCTTGCCACTATCCTGGAATGTAGCTGTATCCTGGGTAACCAAGATCAACTGAAGCTGGCCAGTAACTCTACGTGGATATGAAGGGGCTAGACTGGTGGTGCTATGCTACATGCATCTGCAAGGATCTGTATTTTGAGAAAAAAAATGCAGTTTAAACAATAGAATTTACTGGTTTATGTAACTCAGTATTTTGCAGGAAGGTTGACTTCAGTTAGTAGTAGACCAAGAGTTGTTTCTCTGTATCTCTCTGCTTTGCGTTCTATGGCTTGGCCTCCACCCTCAGATTCCATAGGCCACTTTCATAGCTCAAGAGTCTCATCGTCAGGTCCAGGCTTTATGCCAAATTGTTGCATTCCCTTGCTAGGGCTGCCATAGCAAAGTACCACAGACTAGGAGACTTAAATGTGGTTACTTATTTCTTTACACTTCTGGAAGTCCAAGATCAAGGTGTTAGCAGGGTTGGTTTCATTTTGAAGCCTCTGTCTTTTGGTTCACAGATGTCCATCTTCTCCCTGTGTCTTCATGTGGGCTTTCACTGTTGCATGTCTCTGTACTCATTTATCTTTTTTTTTTGTCTTTCTTCAATTTAGGATTTTATTTCCCTTTAAGTAGCAAAATTTTTATTTTCTCAAAGAAAAGGAAGTGGCAGCTGCACACAGAGTGGTGTGTCCTGACATTTTTATTTGTTTGCAAGTTTTATTTCCTTTTTTTATTGATATAAAAAAAGCTGTACATATTAGGGGGTACAAGTGGTATTTTGATACAAGCATACAATATATAATAATCAAATCAAGGCAATTGGGATATCCATCATTTCAAACATTTATCTGTGTTGGGAAAACTTCATTTTCTTCTAGCTATTTTGAAATATACGATAAATTATTGTTAACTATTGTCACTCTACTGTACTATTGAATACTAAAGCTTATTCTTTCTATTTAACTGTATTTTTGTACCCATTAGTCAGCTTCTTTTCATCCCGCCTCCCCACCCGACACACACACACACACCCTTTACAGCCTCTGGTAACCATCTTTCTACTCTCTATCTTCATAATTTCAATTGTTTTGACTTTTAGATCTCACAAATAAGTGAGAATATGTGATGTTTGTCTTTCTGTGCCTGGCTTACTTTACTAAATATACTGACCTCCCAGTAAGTTCTATCCATATTGCTGCAGATGACAGGATTCCATTCTATTTTATGGCCAAGTAGTATTCCATTGTGTATATTTACCACATTTTCTTTATTCATTCATCCATTAATGAACACTGGCTCATTCCATATCCTGGCTATTATGAATACTGCTGCAATAAATAAAGGAGGGCAGATATATCTTCAGTATACTAATTTCCATTATTTTGGGGGTATACCCATCAGTGGCATTGTTGGATCATATAGTAGTTCCATTTTAGGTTATTTCAGATTATTTGTTCCTGTGGGTTTGGGGGGTTTCGTTTGTTCGGTTGGTTGGTTTATTGGTTGGTTTTTGCAATTGAGTTGTTTGAGTTACTAATATACTCCGGTTATCAATCTCGTGTTAGAAGAATAGTTTGCAAATATTTTCTTCTGTTCTGTGGGTTGTCTCTTCACTTTGTTGATTGTTTTCTTTGCTGTACAGAAGCTTTTTAGCTTGATGTAATCCCATTTGTCTATTTTTGCTTTTGTTGCTTACACTGTTGATGTCTTACCCAAAAATCATTGTCCAAACCAACATCTCTAGCATTTTCTCAATGATTTCTTTTAGTTTTTTTGTAGTTTCAAGTTTTATATTTAATTGTTCAGTCCATTTTGCATTGAGTTCTGTGTATGGTGAAAGACAGGGTCCTAGTTTAACTCTTCTGCATATGGATATTCAGTTTTCCAAGCACCACTTTTTAATGACACCGTTCTTACTCTAATGTATGCTGTATTAGTCCATTTTCATGCTGCTATGGAGAAATACCCGAGACTGGGTAATTTATAAAGAAAAGTGGTTAAATTGACTCACCATTCTACATGGCTGAGGAGGCCTCAAGAAACTTAAAATCATGGCAGAAGGCACCTCTTCACAGAGAGACAGGAGAGAGAATGATTGCCAGCAGATGAAATGCCAGACACTAATAAAACCATCACATCTGGTGAGACTCACTCATTATCAAGAGAACATCATGGGGGAACCACCCCAATGATTCGGTTACCTCCACCTGGTCCCTCCCTTGACACGTGGGGGTTATGGGGATTACAATTCAAGGTGAGATTTGGGTGGGGACACAGAGCCAAACTCTATCATATGCACTTGATACCTTTGAAAAAAAGGAGTCAGCTGTAAGTGCATGGATTTATTTATGTTATCTATTTTATTCCATTGGTCTATGTGTCCATTTATATGCCAGTAGCATGCTGTTTTGGTTGCTATAGCTTTGTAGTATAATTTGAAGTCAGGTAGTGTGATGCCTCCAGGTGTGTTCTTTTTGCTCAAGACATTTTTTTAGTTATTTGAGGTCTTTTTTGGTTCCATATGAGTTTTAGGATTGTTTATTCTGTTTATGTGAAGACTGTCATTGGTATTTTGATAGGGATTGCATTGAATCTGTAGATTGCTTTAGGTAGTAGGGACACTTTAACAATATCAATTCTTCTAGTCGATGAGCATAGAATACCTTTCCATTTTTTTCATGTCCTTTGCAATTTCCTTCATTGGTGTTTTATAATTTTCCTTGTCAAGATCTTTCACTTGTTTGGTCAAATGTATTCCCACTTTTTTTTTTTTTTTTTTTTTGGTTATTGTAAAGGGGATTGCTTTCTTGATTTTTTTTAGATTAACTATTGTTACCATATAGAAATACTACTGATGTTTGTATATCGGTTCTCTATCTTGCAACTTTACTGGATTTATTAATCAGTTTTAAGAGTCTTTTAGTGAAGTCCAAGATGTTATAAATATAAGATCATGTCTCTGCAAACAAGAATAATTTGACTTCTTCCTTTCTAATTTGGATGTCCTTTATTTCTCTCACCTAACTGCTCTGGCTAAGACTTCCAGGACTACAATGAATAGTAGTGGTGAGGGTGGGCATCCTTATCTTGCTTCATATCTTACGGGAAAGGCTTTCCATTATTCCCCATTCAGTATGATATTAGCTGTGGGTTTGTCATATCTGGTCTTTATCATTTTGAGGTATAGTTATTCTATACTCAACTTGTTGAGAGAGACTAACCTCTTTTTATTAAAGCACCAGTCTTATTGGATGAGGACCCATTCTAGTGATCTTAATTATGTCTTTAAAGGTTCTCTCTCCAAATACAGTCAAACTCTGAAGTACTAGGTGTTTGGACTTCAGTATATGAATTTTGCAGGGGCACAGTCCAGCTCATTACGGTGGTCAACTAGACAATTAAGATACATAGGATGAGGTTTCTGAGAAAGAATGATGGTTATCCCTGGTAATTCCTATGAAAGAGAGAGCTTGCTTCACTTTCGCAGGAGTCTCAGAAAATCTATTGTTGCTGATCTTATCAGTGTTTAGGGGGTCAGGTGCCGTTCTTGAAACATTCGTCATGGCCAGAGAGGTGAGATTAGACTGTCATTTTGGCCCATCCTTAAAAGTGGAGGGGAACTCCAAATCACATGGAGAAGAATAGGAAAGTAGTGGTTTCCCAAAAGAAATTTGGGATATTACTAGTAAGTGGTAGGAATACTAAACAATCCTAAATAAAACCCATGTACTGCCTTAACTCAACCTAAAAGGTGGCAAAATCCTTCAAGCTATAAAAATAGAAAATCACTGTATTGCATTAACCATAATAGTTATTGACTCAGACAAGAAAACCAATGAGTATAGAAATGTTGGGGAACAAGATATTCATTGTGTCAATGTATCACTTTACAGGCTACATATTAATTACAATGCAAAAGTCTGGAAGATACCAATTAACCAAAACGGTGTAATTTAGCAATCAGTGAGACACAGAAATCACAAGATCACCTAGATAATATTTCTGCAAAAAAAGTTTCACTTGAATGTAATCATGAGGAAAAAAATCCAAAATAAGGGACATTTTTCAACAAATGCTTTCAAAAATGCCAGTATCATAAAAATCATAAAAAGGGTGGTGAATTATGCTAGATTAAGGAGACTAATGAAACAAAATGTAATGTATGATTTTGATTGGATTTTGAATCAAATAAGACAACAACAAAATATTTTAAAAGGCACCATTGAGACAATTGGAGAAATTTGCATATGAACTATACATAAGATAATAGAATTGTCAGTGTTAAATTTACATAGTATAATAATTGTATTTTGTTTATGGATGAGAATGTCCTCGTTGTTAGGCAATACATGCTGAAATATATCAGCGAGTATTTGAATGCTAAAAATCACATGTGTCCTAGTATTGGCTTACTTGTAGGAAGTGAAATAGATTTCATCAAAAATAATAAAGGCTTTGATGTTTATTTTCTTGAAATTTTTAGTCTTTTATGATGTCAAATAACTATTGATATTCCGTTGGTTCCTTGAACTTTTCTTCATCTTTAAAATGAGAAGAATATAAAGTATGAAGAGTGTCACTGTTAAAAAGTGCACTGCTTTTACAATACAGAGAAAGGAAAATTGGAAGAACCTGTTTGTAACCTTATTAAAAAAACTCAGTATTTCTTTATGCAAAAGGCAATTGTGGCAGTGAAGGAAATTGGGGCATACCATGAAAATTTACCTAGAATATTTTTTAAATGCTAAAGACCCAGCATTTTTTTCCTGCCAGTCTCCTTTTTTAAATTTTTTCCCTCCCCACTAAAAAATGAAAATTACCTTCTTTCTCATGTCAATTTTTGTCTTTAAGCAATGATTACAGAATATCTTCTTTGTGATTTTATAAAAAAACATAAAAACTCTTCCTGTAGGTAATTTGGGAAGATTGTTAATGGAAGGTGGGGCAGACACTTTTAACTGAATAGTTTCCTCCTTTACAATGAAAATCTATATATTTATGATAATTTATAAGTATGAAGATTTGACATGTGTCTTGAAGGTGAAGAGGTTTTGGTTTTGAGCAATTTAATTAAAAATAGAGACTCAAAATTATAGCTAAACTCCAGAATAAACAATGCCCACCCATGCTCACTTCTGGTTTTATATTATGTGCCAGGTAGGTGGCCTAAGTCACTAATGGTGCTTACTTCTTATAGAATATTAGGAAATAACAAATGCATTTGTGACAAGTCTGTATTTACATGACAGCTTCATATTCAAAGGAGTAATGTAATTGACTTAGCTCTAAATCTTTCCAAGAGTTTCTAGTTCTTTTGCAGTAGTTCAACCAATTTGTATTCACTGTTCCTTTCATGAATCAACATTGGCTTTTTTCTTCCTAATATATAAAGAATTGACAGAAACTTATCCAGGCAATCACCATACACCCATCACTATTTATAAAGTCATATATTTATTAATTCATTTAATGCTTAATGAAAGTTTTTGTTTTGGTAATCTATAAAATATCACAAACCACATCAAAACTTTGTGGCTTAAAACAAACACATTTCAGAGTTAATCTGGAAAATTCCTTTCAGGTAAACTGTGAAAGGTTGCATTTGTTTTAAGTCACAAAGTACTGAATCTGCCAGCACTTTGATCTTGGACTTCCCAACCTCCAGAACTGTGAGAATTAAATGTTTGTTGTTTATAATCCACTGATTTTATGGCATTTCCTTATAGCAGCCTGAATGAATAGATTAAGACAGATACCAAAGTTAAGAAGGTAATCTTTGTCCTTAAGGAGATCCCAGTCTGCCAGAGAATAGAAAGGTGTAAACAACTACTGCAATTACAAACTAAAATAAAAAAGGTCCTATATTAAAGCTCCATAAAAAGTATATTGGGAGTACAAAGGAAAAAGTGGCTCATTTATCCCAGCTCCCCCTTCCTAGCCCAATTCCAGTGCTGGGGAATGGGCCTCATGAGGGATGTGACTCCAGGGGGCATTGCAGACAGTAGCAGATGGAAAAAGTAAAGAGCATTCCAGAAAAAGGAGGTGTGTGTGCACTTTGCTAATATTTATTTTATTGTGCTAGTTTTTCTGGAAAGAACTTGTGTTGTTTATTCCTGAAAGACCCTAACCCATCTCAGTTATAAGAGTGAGTAGAGGGAAACCCTCTGAGCATTTATTTATAATCTGCCATAATACCTGTAAAGAGCATTGAAAAAAATATGCAATAATATTACTGAAATTTTTATTAAATAAATGTATAGTTATAAAAAAAACACAACTTTTCATGATCTCTCACAATTCTGCAATATGGGCCCAGCTAAGCTAGGTAGTTCCTCTGTTCCATGTGCTATCAGCTGAGGATGTAGTCATTATTCTCAACTGGGGTGAAAAGTCCAAGACGACCTGTTCACAGGGCTGACACACAGGGCTAGTTATGGACTGAAATATCAGGTAGGGCTGTTGACTGAACTGACTCCATTCACCTCCACTTAGTCTCTCCACACAGCTTGCGTTCACAGCATGATGGCTGCCTACAGTTTCTTAAGTCCTGATTTGGATGTTGCACAACGTCATTCTGTCACATTCCGTTAGTCAAAGCAAGTCACAGGGATAGCCCAGATTCTAGGGAATTATAGAAACAAAAAGCACAGTATTTACTATTACTATTATAGTATTTATTTGCAATAGAATACACAACAACAATAGCACACGGAGGAGAGAAGGGAGATAAATGAAGTTAAGGTGTCGTATGGTCCTTCCTTTATTGCTAGCTCAAGAAGACTGAAGAATCAATGACCTAAGCATCCATCTCAAGAAGTTCCTAAACCCAGTAAATTATACCCAAAGTAAATAGAAAAAATAAAGAACAGATAATAAAGAAATAAAGAACAAACATAAAGTATGTGATCAACAAAGTAGAAGCTGGTCCATTGAAAAAAATATAAAGTTAATAGATTTCTGAAGAGAATTATAAAAAGATAGCATAAATAACCAAGAGTCAAAGTGGAAAATAGGGCAGGGCTATAACTCTTAAAACCATTACAAATATAATATTATAATATATTTCTGTCAATATATTTTATAATTGAGATGTAGGGACAAATTTCTAGGAAAACATGACATACCATAATTGACCCCCGAGAAATAGAAAATCTGAATCGTCCTATCTATTGTAGTTTTGAATATATTTTTTTAACATCTCCCACGCTCACACAAATGCATGAGACCTTTAGGTCCAGAAAGCTTATAAAACATATAAAGTATATAACAAAATAATGACACCAATTGGTAAAAACACTGTTAGAGAATTTAAAAGTCCTTAATAGCTCCAATTTCATTTTACAAGACCATGATAACCTTGACAGAAAATCTGATAAGAACTCTATAATTAATTAGTCGGGCGTGGTGGCGGGCGCCTGTAGTCCCAGCTACTCAGGAGGCTGAGGCAGGAGAATGGCATGAACCTGGGAGGTGGAACTTGCAGTGAGCTGAAATCACACCACTGCACTCCAGCCTGGGCGACAGAGAAAGACTCCGTCTCAAAAAAAAAAAAGAACTCTATAATTTAAAAAACCAGGTTAATCTCATTTATTAATATAGATTCAAAAATACTACACAAAAGTATTAACACATTGAATTTATAGATATCTCACATGACTCAATGTGTTAATGTGTGCATGTTAACTCTAAAGATGTGTGTGTGTTGTTTATGTGTGTTTATATCATATTTCAAAAAAACAAGTCTAGTTTATGCCAGCAACACGAGAATATAAGGTCAGTTTTACATCAAAAATCATCAGTGCATTTTACTACATTAACAAAATAAAGCAAAAAACCATATTTTCACCACATTAACAGAATAAACAGAAAGTTACGCTTGAGTATTTTATAAATTTTAATATCCGTTCATGGGAAAAAAAAACCCTTAGAAAACTAGAGAAGGAAAGAAACTTGCTTAATCTGATAAAAGATACCTGTTTTTCTGAAAGAAAGTACAGCAAACGCTAATGGTGAAATGGCGAGAGCTTCCTTTCTGAGACTGAGTATAACACAAAGATGCCCACTATCAGCACTTTTATTTAACACTGTGCTGAAGCTTTCAAACAGTGAAATTAGACTAAATGAATAAATGGTAAAGAGATTGGGAATGAAGATTTGCAATATTTTCAAATAATATGATGGTTTAAGTGGAATATCTAAAGGAATCTACAGAAAACCTATTAGAATTAATGCATGAGTTTAGCAAGTTTCCAGGATAAAAGGCCATTATCAAAAATCAATTGTATTCCAATATAACAACCAAAGAATGTGAAATAATATGTTGTAATTAAACCAGTTACAGTAGCATCAAAAATATTAAATATCAGAGAATAAATCTAACAAATGTGGATACTTCTCGCAAACCATAAAGTACCATTAAGAAAATCTAAACACAAATTGAACAGGGAAATACATCATGTTCATGATTAGAAAATAATATTGTAAATATGTCAGTTCTCACCAAATTGGACTATAAATTCAATTCAATCACAATCAAAATCTCAGGAGGGTTTGTGCATGTATGTGGAAATTGACAAATGAATCCTAAGATTTCTTTGTAAATATAAGAAGCTAAAACCAGGTAAGTCAAAATTGGAAAAGAAGAAAAAAAGAGTAAGTATTTTTGTACCAGACTTTGACTTACTTTTGAAGATACAGTAATAGAGACCATGTGGAATTTGTCCAAGGGTAGCTAAATTAATAATGAAATAGAAAATATAGTCCAGAAACAGATCCACACATACATGAACTCTTGAATTATGATAAAAGTGGTACTGAAGAGTGACAGAAAAGTACAGTCTTTTCTCTCTTTTTGTGGGGGCGGGGGGCGGGGGATGGAGTCTTGTTTTGTCACGCAGGCTGGAGTGCAGTAGCGCAGTGTCGGCTCCCTGCAACCTCTGCCTCGTGGGTTCAAGCAATTCTCTTGCCTCAGCCTCCCAAGTAGCTGGGATTACAGAAGCGTGCCACCATGCTCAGCTAATTTTTGTATTTTTAGTACAGGCAGGGTTTCACCATGTTGGCCAGGCTGGTCTTGAACTCCTGACCTCTTGATCTGCCCCCCTCAGCCTCCCAAAGTGCTGGGGTTACAGGCGTGAGCCACCGCGCCTGGCTGAAAAGTACAGTCTTTTCAATAAATGGTGCTGAGTCAGTGAGATAGACGTATGGGGAAAAAAAGAAACTTGACCCCAACTTCTGACTATATGCAAAAATCAATTTCAAGTGAATAGTAGAATTAAAAGTAAAAGATAAACAATAAAGCATCTAGAAGATAATAGCTTCATGATCTTGATATGAGCAAAGGTTCTTTTAAAATGACACAATAATCCCTATATTTAAAGAAAAACATGTTAAATCGGACCCTATTAAGACAATGAACTTCTGGTTATCAAAAGTAACAAAAAAGTAAATAGGCAATAAGAGAAGATATTTGCAGCACACATACCCAAGAAAACGTTTGTATCCACAATATATAAAGAACTACAAATCATTCAGTAATAGACAAACAGCCAAAAGGGAGGAAAGAAAGACATGAAGAAGCACTTTACAAAAAGAAAGAAAAAAAACCCTCTTATTATATAAAAATGGTCTGTAAACATTTGTAAGGGTGCTTAACTTTATTAGTTATAGGGAAATGCAAATTAAAGCCACAAAAAGATGAAGTACACAGCCACCAAAGAACTAAAGTTAAGAAGACTGACAATGCCACATGCTATTGAGGAGCAGCACTGGGAACTATCATAAAAGGATGATAGTGATTAAATTGATACAGTCACTCAGAAAAATTGTTTGGCAATATATGTAAAGGTTAAACTTAACATACCATGACTAGCAATAACACTCCTAAATATATGCCAATGTTAAATAAAACAAGCAGGAGGCCATCAGCCTGACGCTGTCTCTTTAATTTGAGTTCCTACACTAAAAAGCACAACGTAATTTAGTAGCATTTTTTTGTAAGAAATAGCCAGGTTTCAGCCAATCACAAACAGCTGAGCCTCAGTCAATCACAGGCAGCCAACTAATCAGACTGTGCCTAAATAAGACAAATGCCTCATCACAGCGTGCCTAAGAAGCAAATGCTTAGCTAGTCCATCAGGTGATTTCTCTACTTTGCTTCCCTGCTCAGCCTATAAAAGCTTACTGCTCATGCTGCTGGGCAGAACTCTGATCCTCTTCTGGTTCTGAGTGCTGCCCAATCATGAATCATTCTTTGCCCAAATAAACGCTATTAAATTTAATTTCTCTAAAGTTTTTCTTTTAACAGTTTGGCATTACAGCACGAAGTGACTGAGCAAAGCTACCCACTGAAACCACTGGGCGCATTGCTTTCTTGCCTAAATTGGAAGTCAAGGATGAGTTTCCTCTCAGATCAAAGGTCTGCAAATCTGCATTTTGAGCTCCAGACTTTATTTGAACAATTCTTTTACAGAACAGAATTTGCAATTGGATTCAATCTAATAAATAACTAGGTTCCTCCTCCTTGAAAGTAGGTTTCTCCAAATCTGAAGAGTCTGGTGCTTCAGAAGTCTGGGACTCTTTTTTCTGGGACACTGACAACTTTTATGTACAATAAAGATGATTTCAGAAACCATGTATTTTGGGGGAAATGGTTAGCCTTACTATGGAAGACTTAGAATTACGGTGGCCACAATGAGGAAGCTTTAACTTGAGAGGCGCTTTAAAAAAGAAAGGATGCAGCAGGGCCCGGTGGCTCACGCCTGTAATCCCAGCACTTTGGGAGGCCGAGGCGGGTGGATCACGAGGTCAGGAGATCGAGACCACCCTGGCTAACACAGTGAAACCCCGTCTCTAGTAAAAATACAAAAAATTAGCCCAGCGTGGTGGTGGGCACCTGCAGTCCCAGCTACTTGGGAGGCTGAGGCAGGAGAATGACGTGAACCCGGGAGGCGGAGCTTGCAGTGAGCCAAGATCATGCCACTGCACTCCAGCCTGGGCAACAGAGCGAGACTCCATCTCAAAAAATAATAATAAATAAAAAATAAAAAAATAAAATAAATTAAAAAAGAAAGGATGCAGGACACCTCTAATAGAATGGAATGTATTTTTGACTGTCATGCAAGAACTTCTAAAAGACTAAACAAATCAAAACACTGCCTCTTTGTAAGAATCCTCATAAAATTCAAATGAAAAATCTTAAAACTCTTTTTCAGATATATTAGTAAAAACTTTAGCTATCTAGATGGATAACCCTGTTCCATCAACCAGAAAAACAAAAAAGGATTCAGAGATTTTTTTTAATGAATTAGTGAGTTTTGTGTTATTTTACCTAACACATGGCTAAAATTTTTGAATGAAAGCCTGTATGTTTATATTTATGTATGTGTGTACATATGCATGTGTGCGTGGTATTTTTCTATTTCTGCACAGTATTGACAAAATTAATTAATTTTTTTTTTTTAAAGCTCTGGCCAGGCGCATTGGCTCACACCTGTAATCCCAGCACTTTGGAAGGCTGAGGCAGGTGGATCACCTAAGGTCAGGAGTTCAAGAGCAGCCTGGCCAACATGGTGAAACCCCGTCTCTACTAAAAATAGGAAAATTAGCTGGGCGTGGTGGCACACGCCTCTAATCCCAACTACTCAGGAAGCTGAGGCAGAAGAATCTCTTGATCCCGAGAGGCGGAGGTTGCAGTGAGCCGAGATCCCGCCACTGCACTTCAGCCTGGGCGACCAAGCGAGAGAGACTCCGTCTCAAAAAAAAAAAAAAAAAAAAAAAAAAAAGCTCTGTTAACTGGCTTAACGGAAAATAAGCCCTTACATAAATTAAGTATTCCTTAAACTCTTAGAAAGATAGAAACCAAACCAAAATGTTTTTCCAGTTCACATGACCTTAGATAAGTCTTTTAATTATTACTCTAGTAAATAATATTCAGTTCATCAGTTTGAATAAAACAGATACGTCTTCAGAGTTCAATATTAAGTATAATGCAGACAACTTTTTCTACTGAGGGTTACTGGTAAAATGCATGTACGTTATTTTTATATTACAAAATTTGTCAGCAAGAAAAATAACTTAAAATGATGGCTACCTGTTTAATGCCTCATTTTTATAAGCAATCCAAGCACAATTGTTAAAAACAAATGAGCTGAATACATATAAAATTCTCATGTGAAAAATGTTCTTTCTATACCAGAAGATTTTAACATTCTTATCCAGAATGCAACGTTGAGGCTGAGAGAAATCGGTACAAACAATTTAATTATTAAGCCTAGCAAAAAAAAATAAGACAATAGAGATAAACTATTGCCTTCCTTACAGCTTCTTATTACAGAGAGACTAAAGATAGGTGAGTCTATTAGTAAGCATGTCCTGTGGCACATTGAAAAGTGTACTATGATAAAGAAGATGCTTCTAGAATTATGAAATGGTGGTGTTAAATTACACAATGTTGGTATACACCAGGCAGTTTACAATTGCTTGCTTCTTAGCTTTCACTGGAAATTAAGGTTATTAAGGGTTAATAATTGACATAAGTAACTAAAATTCATAGAAATAATATGGGAAACAACATTTTATGCAAGTTCACAAGGAAGGCAAAATGTGTTTTTGGTAAGGAAAACTATAAGTCATGAGGATGTGCTTTGTTTTGTTAAGGGAAAAAGTAATTTTTGTTAAAATAGAATGATTGGCTGTTGCACAATAAGAAAAGAGAAAAATATAGGACAAAAATTGAAGGTATATAAGAAAATTATAGAAAGTTTATATGACAAATCTTGGGAAAGGAACTTTATGTGTGATCAAGCTGGCTAAGATTTGAAGGAAATTGTTTACATGTTTTTGAAATTGAGCATTACTATCAAAAGCAAACTGACATAAAACTAAAATTTGGTTCTCTCTGTTAAAACAATAAGGTTTTCCTGGACTTCTGGTCTGCTTTCAATAAGAAATTGTATAAGGTTTTCCTTTACCTTTTAAGTAATTGGCTTAGGGAACAAAAATTCTGCTTATGTTTTGTTTTTTAAGATTATATATTTATGAAGATAATTTCCTGTGCTTCACGTTGTCCTTATTAAGTCTTTGATTACTTAATAAAATCTAAGGTTTTTCCTACAACTATGTGGCTTTCTGTATTTGCTTTTGAAGTCTTTTAATTATCACTCTAATTAAATGAATAAGTATTGATTCACAGTGACCTGTGATCCTATTTTAATCAAATGTTTTAAACTTTTTGACATTTTTGACAATTTCCATTTTTGACATTTTTGATAAATTATAAATTAAAACCTTTTGACTTTGAACTAACTTTGGAAGCTTTCATATGGGCCCCTGGAATCTCTCAAATAAATTTATTTCCTGCTCTTCTAAAAGCAGGGATTTTTAACCAATTAGGCTTATTTGATAATATGTTAAAATGCATGGGAAATATTGTCAAATAAGTGATTCTGAACCTCCTTTAAGTCATACTGGATGTGTCATGAATACATGTTTCAGAAATTGTATGAAACACCTAGAGATCTGATAGTCCTGGTATAATGCTATCAGTCATAATTCTAGTTATCTAAAAATATTGTATGTCACAGAAATAACAAAATTTCCTTGTCAGTTGCATTATAATGAGCTCTAGTCAGATCTTTAACTATGGCTGTTTTAACTCTTGTTATCCCCAAATAGTTAATTGTTTTACTCTGATACTTTCCTGAAAGCTATTTCTAGTATCTATAAACCCAAAGTGTTTTATCTTTGATAAGATTCATTGAAAGGCGTTTGATAACTGTAAAGATTTCTGATAACTTTAGGATCATACCATTAGACTGTTCCCGGAAATCTGGGAATTCTTAACTGATTCATAAAACTGCTAACCTAACATCAAGCAGAATAAGAATTAATTGAATACCAAGAAAATGCCTTGATAGATTTTCCTTCTGTCAGAACATGCAATTTGAATGAATTTCATAAGGTTGATCCAAGTCAAAGCATCTATGATGATCTATTTAATAAATAGTGCTATGCACCTGATTGTTGAAAAACAAAGTTGGTATCTGAAAGGATGTAAATTTCATGTTAAGAAAAGACCCAGAGAGGGCCCAGATAGCCACCTTATCATTCTTGAGTCCTTAAAGCTTTCATTATAAAAAAAGTCTGTACTCTGCATAGAGTAGATAAAATCATACAAATTATGAGAAAAATCAGTATATTGACTGTTCTAAAATTTTTTAAATGATGTATAAACAATACTTAGTTTGCCAAACCCATAATCCTGGTAAAACAGTAAAACCTCAGGTGTTACATTTCCACTACCTGCTAAATCATTTGATACTTACAGATGGATTTCATTCCATTTTCAACCCTCAATGGGATATCAAAATGCTCTTGAAATAGCCTGTACATTCTCTGATTGGATAGAAGTTTTCCCCTGCAAGAAGGTCTATGCTATTACTATAACTAAAAGATTATTGGAAAATGTGTTTCTTTATGTACTGTACTCTTAAAAATCACTGAAAGTAGATTTTAAGCATTCTCATCACAAAAAAAGATAAGTACAGTAGTCTCCATTTATTCATGAAAGATACATTCCAAGACCCCCAGTGGATGTCCAGAATTAGAAATAATATCAAACCCTATATACACTATGTTTTTTCCTATGCATATATATCTATGGTAAAGTTTGATTTAAAAATTAGGCACAGCAAGAGGTTAACAACAATAACTAACAATAAAATAGAACAATTATGACAATATACTTTAATAAAAGTTATATAAATATGGTAGCTTTTTCTCTATCTCAAAATATCTTACTATATTGTACTCTTCCTTCTTCATCTTATGATTATATGAGATGATAATATGCCTGTGTGATGAGATGAAGTGAGGTGAATGACCTAGGCATTGTAACACAAATGGAAAATTTCAGAAATAAACAATTCATAAGTTTTAAATTGCATGCCATTCTGAGTAGCATGATGAAATATTGTACCACTGCACTTCATCCTGCCCAATTGCCATTAGTCACTTAGTAGCTGTATTGGCTACCAAGATCAACAGTAACAGTAACAAAGCACTTGTGTTAAAGTAGCCCTTGTTTTACTTCACAAGAGCCCAAAGTGCAAAATTAGTTATGAAATATCTTTGGGTCATGATTGACCACAGATAACTGAAACCACAGAAAGGGAAACTGTGGGTAATAAGGGATTACTATATGTGAGGCAATGCATACGTTAATTAGCTCTATTAAGTCATTCCATGATCTATACATTTTTCAAAACATGTTATACACAGCATCTGTACAACTTTTATTTGTTAATTAGAAATAAATTGATTAATTAATTAGGGGAAAAAGAAAATATGTTTTTGGCAACCGGAGGCATTCTGGAGAAATCTTCCGCAATAGAAGTACTAATTTCACTGAAAAAGTTATAAAACAGTTAAATGAGTTATTACAAACATTACCATTATCCCTATCATATTCAGTCTTCTGGGAAAGTTGAAAGGACAAGTGGCATTTAAAAATTGAAATTGGCAAAGTTAACTGAATCAACTAGATAGTTTTACTAAAGACATTATCATTGGCCTTGATGGAAATCATATCCATCCCTACTGGAAAACACAAATTAACCCCTTATGAAATAGTTACTGGGAGATCTATGTACCTAATATTAAAACCTTCTGTATCTCCTGCTCTTATAAACTCTGACATGATTCAGTGTTGCAAGGCTTTAATGTATTATGCCAATGTATATTTTCATCAGTTAAAAGGAGCCTTCTGTGACCCACAAATGATAACCAGATATTTAACAAACTAAGACTTAAAGACTGCGTCTTTTGGGAATGACACCAGAGAAAGACTGCCTTTTCACCCTGTTGGAAGTGATCATACTGTATTCTCACCACCCACACATCAGCAAAACGTCAAAGCCTCAAGCCTGGGGTCCATATCTCTCAACTCAAGAGGGCCCCTCCAGACTCAGGAGTGTACTCCTGTTGGAGACCTCAACTTATCAGAGAGCTTCCTCCCAGAAGCAAGTGACATCCCACATGTGGACAGCTTTCCCTGGATCACAGATCAAGACTTCTTTCCTCTGTCATCATGAAATGTTTACTCTTTTTCTTCTTTTTCCTGCACCACTATTCTGTTTATGCATGGGAAGATAATGCTATGGTTATAATTTCACAATTGATAGCTTCCATAGGAAATTTAACTGAATGATGAATATGTCATATTAAACCTAAATCCCTACATGGTCTTAGAGATCCTCTAGTTTATCCTATAACAAATTTCATTCATATTCCAAGTGCAACTACTGTTCAAATTGCACATCTGATTCTTTCCATAGTGTTAGGCTTTTAGATTCATATATTCACAGTGTTTGTTTAAATCTGACAGCAGGCAAAAACTGTAGTGAGGGTTTTGCAGGTTTTTTTTGCCAGAAGCCACATAAGAAAATTAAAGGGAAAGATAATTCAACAATTTCTACACAAATTCCTAACCCTAATTTTCATTATCCTCCTGATAGTCATCATAGCAGTCTCCCTGGTACACTGTATCACGAGTCTTAAATGCTTGTATGCAGCCATCCACTATGCATCAAATGGTCTCAATCTGGTTAGAATAACAAAAACACAAGGAAAACATAAAGCATCAATCAATTGACCTGACACCCTGACTTGTGAATTCCATACTAAGACCAAACAAGTCCATGAGGATGGTAACAGAGAGTGGTGTCAATGTTGAAGGTTTTGAGAGGCTGACCAAAAGGGGGAAATTATTAAAGCAAAATTGGCAGGAGTCCATTAGCCTGAGGCTATCTTCATACTTTGAATTTCTATAGCAAACTACAATAAAACATAGTATGTAAACAAACTGAAGCCTAACTTAGCAGTAACAAACAGCCAGGTTTCAGCCAATCACAGACAGACAACTGAACAGCTTCTGCCAATCACAGTCAGTCAACTGACCAAACTGTAATCAAATAAGGCAAATGCCTAGTTGTAGCCAATCAGATGATTTATCTCCTTTGTTTCTGTGCTTGGCCTAAAAAAGTTCACTGCTCATGCTGCTGGGCAAAGCTCTCTGAACTACTTGTTCTGATTACTGCCCTGTTCATGAATTGTTCTCTGTTAAATGTATCTAAAGTATTTATTTTAATACCTATATGAATGCATATATATATCCACCAACAGACATATGCAAGAATTTTATAGCTGTATAATTTATAAATGTCCAAATATTTTCTTAATCCAGTCTATCATTGTTGGACATTTGGGTTGGTTCCAAGTCTTTGCTATTGTGAATAGTGCCACAATAAACATACGTGTGCATGTGTCTTTATAGCAGCATGATTTATAATCCTTTGGGTATATACCAAGTAATGGGATGGCTGGGTCAAATGGTATTTCTGGTTCTAGGGGAGTGGAAGGATGGCATTAGGAGATATGTCTAATGTAAATGATGAGTTAATGGGTGCAGTACACCAACATGGCACATGTATACATACGTAACAAACCTGCACGTTGTGCACATGTACCCTAGAACTTAAGTATAATAAAAAAAATATAAAAAGCCCAAATAGGAAATAATGCTAATGTCTATCAACAGCAGAATTGTCAAATAAATTGTGTAATATTCATTTAATGGAATAACATAAAGCAAATAAAATGAACAAACGAGTTAACACCACAACACAGCCAGTGTTGTGGTGAACAGTTAAACAATAAGGCTACTGTGAAGATTAATGAGATTATTGCTATAAATGGCCTGTTGCTTGGACTCTTCAAAGTTCCTCTACTTACCAACTGCACTTAACTACACAAGTATGTCTTGGTAACATTTATTTCACTTCTTTAGTGGAAGGATCCTTTCTGATGCTCAGCCTGTAACATTACTTTGCATCTACCTGATGGCCTTCTGAGCTGCTGGCCTTAAGAAAAGGTGGTATCAAGAAGGAGCAAAGGACAGCATGAGCACTGACTATGGGGAAGTTCTGAGTGAGGTTCTGCTGAGTTATTAATGGCTGTGGTCCAAGAGTAAAAGGAAGAGAAATTTTATTGTGATCTATAGATTTATCAGCAAGAGAAAAATTCTCCCTACTGAGCAGCCAAAGAACATAGGATACAGAGTGTGGGTGACAGAGCTGCAGCCCACACTGCAACACAGTTCAGAACCCTGAATAGGGAACATACTGTGCACACATGACAAACTTTCCTATCCTATGGTCTTGGAAAGGAAAGCACAGACAAGCTCTGAGAAATGGACAAATGGCTGGGAAATCATGAGAGAACTTTCACACTCAGAAAGTTTGTATGGCATATAAACAGCCTCTTTAAATGTGATCCAGACTATGAGTGACAACTCTAAATGTTCTTTGATCCACATCTGTGGATGTAAGATCTGTGTACAAGTAACCTCAAATACTAGTCAACCTGTAAAAAACAAACAACAACAACAACAAAATCAAGAGTTCAGTAGTGGAGGCTTTTACACTTTGGAGTCAGAGTTACACATGCTGTAATCTCAGGATTTTGTCAGCTGCTAGCTGTAAGGTGTCTAAATTAATCTTTCTGAGGTCAACTTTTATCATGTCTGAAGGTGGTGTAACAATATCTACCAAACAACAGAAGTATTATAAAAATAAATAATATATGTAAAGTACATATCACACTGGTTAGTGAAAAAATAACTACTGAATAATGGCTGTCATTATTCAGTAGTTATTTTTATATATACTAGTTATATATATAACTAGTATATATATATATATACTAGTTATATATATAACTAGTATATATATATATACTAGTTATATATATAACTAGTATATATATATACTAAATAAATATATACATATATACACACACACACACACACACACACACACACATACATTCATGCTTTCAAGTAGCTCAAAGCCTCATGATGGAAGTTAGTATTAAATCATATGAGAAATATATGCAGAGGTTTAGATTTGTCATCAAACCAAATCTAGGGACTGACTATCTAGGAAAAAATTGTTCTCCTGAAGAGAATGGACATTTATGGTTCCATATACGCTATATGCTAGATGACAATGCATGCTATATAATATTATAATGCTTTCTAACTGGGTTACGCCAATCCACAATTCCCCCATCAATGTGTAAGTATCACAAGTTTCACAAAAACCATGCTTACATAAGGTGCTATTTTGTTGTTGTTTGGACTAACTTCTAGACTTTTAGGATACGTTAATTTCTAGAACTTCATGAAATGTTTAACTGTTCTTCATGATTTTTAGGAGACAGTTAACTAACAAGCATTATAGAGCTGTTCAACTGAGCAAATTGGTTTTCACCACTACCATAGGTTGATGAGGCCCATCAAACAAAGAGTGTGAGAAAGCATAAAAGAGACTTGTTGTGCTCTAAAATGATACATCCTTAATCCGGAAGCTCATGCAGTTCTGAAGCTCTTTCACAAAGCATTTGCAATTATCCATCAAATGTGCTTCCCAAGAGCATTTTGAAAACTCAAAATTGGGGGTTATTTTCGCACATCCCAGTGTTTACAGGCTTTCACTGGTTTTTAAATTAATGGAAAAAGTATGACAAAACAAACACAATTTTTTTCTTACAAGAACCTGTTTGAATGCCCATTGTGCTTTTTGACAGTAAACACCAGGTAGGAAATTCAAGGGTTTTTTTGAAGTCAGTGTGCACAATTTCCTATTTACTCTTAAAGAGTAATTTGTTAAGAAGTTTCTTTATTTGCAGGAATGTCTCATCATCTCAAAAGCAAAATAATCATTAATAGTGACAATTATATATGACAAAAAGGATTAGGTCTTATTAGAGAAGAAAGCCAAATTTAAGTAGCTTGTGATAAATTATTTTGCAAAGTAATGCTGAATATGTATTGAAATATGTGTATGTTTGTGCATACCTGTGTATGTATATGTTTATGTATGAGTGTGGGTACATATATATATTATATATATGTCATTGTTACTGTCTACTGTCATTGCTGACTACAACACCTGTGATTATGGTTTTGATATCACAGACATATATAATCATACTGTGACAGTATTTGTCATTCCTTCTATTATGTGGAAGGGTGGTAACAAGGACCCACTATGTAGCTAATAACGTCCAAGAATCTTGAGAAACCCACTACAACACTGAATTGCTCTCTCATTTTCTGTTTTAAAAAAAAGGAGAAAGAAGAAATCATATGTGAAGTATATCATTGTGCCCTCTACAATTTGTGTGAAACAGTTCAAGACAGTTGTCACCTGAATTAGGTGTGGCCTTCTCTACCACTTTGGAAATAAGACTATTTATTGTACTGTTATTTCTCTTCTATGGTAACTTGCCTATCATTCTTGAGAGTGCAGCACTGAGAATAAGTCTCATTTTTAAAATAACCCACATGACTTGTACTATAAGGATGTTGTTGAGGATGCTGTTTGCTACATCAAACAGATCTTCCTGATGAAGACAGGTTAGAAAAATGTTGCATTAGTTCATTTTTCATGCTGCTCTGAAGAAATACCCATGATTGGGTAATTTATAAAGGAAAGAGGTTTAATTGACTCACAGTTTTGCAGGACTGGGGAGGCCTCAGGAAACTTACAATCATGGTGGAAGAGGAAGCAACTACGTCCTTCTTCACATGGCAACAGGAAGGAGAAGTGTCAAGCAAAGCGAGAAAAAAACCCTTATAAAGCCATCAGATCTCGTGAGAACTCACTCACTATCATGAGAACAGCAGCATGGCTGTAGCCACCCCCATGATTCAGTTACCTCCCACTGAGTCCCTCCTACAATATGTGGGGATTATGGGAACTATAATTCAAGATAAGATTTAGGTGAGGATACAGCCAAACCGTATCAAATGTCTTTCAAGCCCTATGTCAGGAATAATTGAGCTTCTCATCAGTAACTTACCTATTTTCATCTCATGAACATTGGGCCTACTGTAAATGAATGACTGTACTTCTTTTGCCTTGGCTTACCATAAACTTTGTGAACAACCTCTGGCAAATAATACTAGACCACACTACATAGTGGCTATGAACCAATCTTGTATATGAATTCACTTTACCTTTTCCTTTCTTTACACTTATTTCATTTTTGAAATTGCATTATAAAAATTTTAAGCCCCTTAAATTATTTCTGGCAATGCAAAATAGGCATCAATATATTTTCTTGGTGTATTTATACTAATCAATCATCTGCCTTTCCCAAAGAACTGTGAGAGATACCAACATGAATCAAATATGGTTTCTGCTCCAGTTTGGGAAAAGACCTACACATAAATAAGTATAATAGAACAGAAGTAGGTAAAGGTACAGAAAAAAATATATGGAAATTGAGGAAAGAGAGACATGAATTGCCCTTAGTGGAAAAAAAGGATAAGGGACATGTGGTGAAGTAAAATGAGCAATGCTGTTGCTTACTAGCTGTGTGATCTTGAACAAATCACTCACCTTCTTTGTGCCTCAATGTCCTCATCTGCAAAATGGGAATAGTAATATCTTGCTATATAATTAAATGAGATAATGTACTTAGCACAGAATCTAGCACAAAGTAAATGCTTAATATATTTTAGCTGATATAGATAAATT